>NC_000014.9:34763228-35066258 GCF_000001405.40 Homo sapiens
AACATAATACTGCCCTCACAAGCTACAGGGAAGATGGCTCTTCTAGCTGGTATTTCTTAAAACCTTGTTTAAAACAGATGGGGTGGCTCTATCTCAACTTCTCCAACTGTGGTCCTTTTGCACTTTTGCAGTTCTAGGTTGCCTTGCTTCATACTCATTTTCCTGCTTCCACAAGAATGGGGTTCAAATGTTTAAAAAAAAAAAAAAAAGCCGGGGGGAGGGGGATGATAAGAACAAGGAGCACAATGACTTCCCTGATATGACTGGCTATGGTCAGGCCTGCTGACAGAAAACCCCCAGTAGATCTGTCTAGCTTATAGCTACCGGTTAGACATAGGCACCTCATTTTATAGTGCTTTGTGCTTCACTGCATGCTACAATTATAATTTTTTTTTAAACAAACTGAAGGTTTGTGGCAATTCTGCATCAAGCAAGTTTATTGGCATAATTTTTCCAACAGCATGAGCTCATTTTTTATCTCTCTGTCAGATGATTGTTAGCATATTTTAGCAATACATTATTTTTAAATTAAGATATAGAAATGCACTTTTTTTTTAGACATAGTGCTACTGCATGCACACTTAGGAGACTACAGTGTAATGTAAACATAATTTTTATATGCCCTGGGAAACCAAAAAAATTTGTAACTTGCTTTATTGCTGTGGTCTGGAATTGAAATGGCAGTATCTTTGAGGTAAGCCTGTATATCTACCTTGTGGATATAAAATTCTAAATATCCCTTTATTTCGGCCCTCAACCGGAGGTTCAAGTAAGGGGAGATTGCCCCAGTGCTGCCACAGAAGGAATATCCAGGCTCCACACTCATTCGCTAGGCCTGAATGACACAGCATGCTAAGTTGCAGAATACTTAGTTATATGGTAGTATAGAAGCTGTTTCCAGGTGCTAATGTGGCAGAAGTATAAAAATACAGTGCATTTATCACTCTCTCTCAGATTCCCCAAATTATCAATACTCCCTTGGGAATATTTTTGAATGTTTATAATATATAAAAAGCAAGGGTAACTTCAGGCCACTATACGTTAGTTTCTTTTTTCTTTTCTTTTTTTTTTTTTTTTTTTGAGATGGAGTCTCGCTCTTGTCACCCAGACTGGAGTGCAATGGCGTGATCCGTTACCTCACTGCAACCTCCGCTCCCGGGTTCAAGCAGCTCTCCTACCTCAGCCTCCCGAGTAGCTGGGATTACAGATGTCCACCAACACCTTGGCTAATTTTTCAATTTTTAGTAGAGACGGGGTTTCACCATGTTGGCCAGGCTGATCTCGAACTCCTGACCTCAGGTGATCTGCCTGCCTCAGCCTCCCAAAGTGCTGGGATTATAGGCATAAGCTACCGTGTCCAGCCTATATATTAGTTTTAAACTAAGTTACAGACCCTAACTATTCCATTTGTATTTGAATAGTGGAGAAATTGTCTAACTAAGACTTACTGACTCATTTTATTGCATGTTAGGACTTACCTGACTTCTTCCTCTTCTTGAGAGTCATCTTCATCTTGTTCTACCTCATACTCTTCCTCCTCACTTTGACCTTCTTCTTCATCGCCATCAACTTCATCATCCTCACCTCCCATACTGTCTTCCACATCTTCATCACTTTCCAAGGATGGTCTCTGTCTAGAGGAGAGTCTTCTAGAACGTTGCTTTGGTCGACATTCTGGACAAAACCAGTCTCCTTCAGGCACAGTCTGAAAAAATCACATAAATGATCATTAATCATCTATTGCTCAAAATCTTAATGTCTCATTTCTAATCTGATAAGAAGAAAAAAATACCTTGAGCTTTGGTCGAACACAGTAGGTATGATGACCCCTATCACAGCCATCACAAAGAACCATGTTTTCAGCATCGCCTTTCTTTCGACATATCTTGCAACGCGCATTCAGTATAGATTTAGACCATATCACGCTACGATCCAAGGTGGATAGGTGAAGAAAAACTTGGGATAGACTAGCAGAAGAAAGGAGAGACTCTCTCCAACGGTCCAGAACTGTTTTATAAGAACGCCCACTGTCACTGGCATCTTAAATGAAAAGGGAAAGTGATTACAATTTTTTAGGCAAACCTAGTAATCTTCCTAGAAATAGTTTGTTGGTAGTTTAAATATAGGTTAGATTTTACATTTCTTTTCTTCTGATACTTAACAAAAAGACCATGCTGATATTAAAAACAAAAATCTCATGGAAAATATTTGCTGAGCCGCATCTCGTTTATGACATAAGGAATTACTTAAATTCATAAATCAAATGCTAAGGGATTTTAATAGCTAAAGAGAAAAATAATTCAGACAATGTGTTCTCAATCTAGTCTTTGTATCAAATCTTGAGCTAATTTTAAAAACTGGTTACATATGATTCCAAGTCTATACTATTCATTTGCATGAAGTATGTTACTTCCTCATCTCATATAAAAGATGGACTGTTCTCCAACTTAAATTATCTTCTAAGAAAATAGTTTTAAAATTGTGGTAAGTAAAAACAATGTTAATACTACCAAAATGGATTTTTCAGCACTAATATTTATATAGAAACATTTGAAACCTTCTGTCACTTAACATCACCATTCTTTATCTTCTGGGCTAAAAAATTTAATCATCTGATTAAATGCTATCAATCAATAGTCATTTTATACTGGTGTGTGATTTCCACTTCAATCTTTAATATTGTTACCACCTTAATTTTCCAAAAACATTATACTTAATTCTGCAAGGTATATAAGACTCCATACATAATCTGGTTCTATAATACCATTATTTCCTACTATTATTCTCAAATAAAACCTCTTGGGCAGTAGCATAACGGTTAAGAAAATGCAGGCTTTGGAGACAGTCTGCTCTGAGGTGAGTACTGGCTCCCCCATATGAACTTGGGCAAGTTAACCCATCTGTCTCTCAGTTTCCTCAACTGTAATACATGGAGAGTATCTGCCTCTAAGGGTTGCTGGAAACATTAAATGAGATAATACGCATAAGGCATTGAAGTATCTGTCACAGTAAATGCTAATATTACTATCGTTATTAGTGCACTGTATAGCTCCCCCTATGTGCAGCACTTTAGAAGATAAGAAACTAGTCTATTCTATGGTCCCTATCTTCAAGGAATGTTTAGTACAGCTGGAAAAGTGAAGAAATACACAATGAGTTAAAACCATAAAGCAGAGACCTGTCAAGTACCAATGGACCTTGAGCTCCTGTTTGCCTGTCGGGTAGGGTGAGATTGACAGGACATGAAACCTAGGGCCCATCAGGGTGGTTAGTCCCTCTCTAAAAAGCCAGGACCCCAGAAAGCTACCCCTTCAAGTGTCAGAGTGGAAACAGGCACTACATGAAAAAATGGAGAGCAAGGAAGTTGATTCACCTAGACTTCGGCGTTGGTTAGAAAGGGAAAATAATCTCCCTGAGGATCAAGCAAAGCCTTGAACAGGTTTAAAACCCAAAAAAACATAGGCTAAGATTTTAAAGTAGTCTAGGATTGCTAGTGACCTCAAGTGAATGGCAGAAACAAGTACAAATCTTTGCAAATTCTCTCTGAAAAGATTTTCACAGATGAAATCTGAGGAATGAGAGTTAATCAAAACCACAAGGCACATGTGGAAACAAAACATTAAGTGAAAGCCAGCAGAATCAAACTCATAAAGACTTCAGATACTAGAATTAGAAACAGAATATAAAATAACTTTAATATGTTTTAAGAAGTTTAAAATATGAATAACCAGGCAGTTTGAAAAAGATCCAGTTAGAACTTTTCAAAATGATTGAGATTAAAAACAGAGGCAAAAACACAGTGGATGGGTCAAATGGCTCTTCAAAGCTGACATGTTAATGAAGTTGGGAAAATACAAAGCTATTACTTAGAATGCAGCATCAGTAATATTTTTCCATCTTTATCTATGTTGTTTTGTTTTAGGTGTGTCTTTTGTAGACAGTATATAAACCAGCTAGATTTTATGTTAATACAGTCTTTTCTTCTATTTGCTTCACTCTCCCTGTCAACTATCCAAAACTGTATCTAACGTCTAATTGGAGCCAGATGTGGTAGCTCACACCTGTAATCCCAGCACTTTGAGAGGCTGAGGGGAATGGATCACATGAGGCCACGAGTTTGAGACCAGCTTGGCCAACACGGTGAAACCCCATCTCTACTAAAAATACAAAAACTAGCCAGCCGTGGTTGCAGGTGCCTGTAGTCCCAGCTACTTTGGAGGCCGAGGCAGGAGAATTGCTTGAACCCAGGAGGCAAAGGTTGCAGATTGTGCCACTGCACTCCAGCTTGGGTGACAAAAGCAAGACTCTGTCTCAAAATATATATATATGTATAATAATTGGAGAGTAGAGTCCACTTAAATGCATTTGATTTATTTCTCCCCTGTCATTGTGAGCGTTTTACTTATCTTGGTTTTTAAAATATAAGCCTTCATGAAAAGTTCTGGCCTGAGCAGGGCCTCTAAGGAATGAGGAAGCACGAATAGCTAGTTCAAAGATCATGATCCTTCTGGGTAAATCAGAGAATATTCTCATTGGTAATGGCTGGCAAGGAATAAGGTTGCAGAGGTCAATGTGAAGGAATGGGAAGAAAGACAAATTATGAAGAACTTTTAGAATCTTGGAAATTAGTTTGAATGATTTTTTAATGCAAAGGTTGGTGAAATGCTATGGGATTTGATTAATGGGGTGGTTTAAGAAAATTAAACCAGCAGTAGCTCAAGGCCCAATTCTTATTCTAGTCCATAATGAATGTGCCTATTTTTCTATTTTTGCATAGTACTGATATAAGGATAGAAAACAGTATATACAATTGATTCCATTTTTCTGTTGTTTCCTTATCTTAAACCTTGCTTTCCCCCCAGATTACACAACCGTAAAGGGCAGAAAATGTCTTGTTTATCTTTTATCTTCCATTATGCTAGCACAGATAAATTCCTCCATAAATTATTAAAAGGATCTTACTAATATAAAATACTGGCAGTCACATAATCAAATATTATAGTGGGAGACTTCATACTGTTCAATGGCCACTATACAGTAATCCATGTGACCAGGACAGGCTTCTCTAGGGGACAAAACATAAAAACTCTTGTCCTATGTCTCTCCAAGCTAGTAAAAGAAAAAAAATGCTGTGAATAAATACTTTATGTGAAACAGGTAAACATAAGTTCCACAGCCATTCATTCTTTTCACTAATAGCTAAGTATACAAAGATTCACCGGTGTCAACTTTCTATATGCCAATTTAGAAGAGTGATTAGCTGAGGTGTGAAATATAGAAAGGGAAATGCTAGGAAGATACTATTTTAAGCTTACCCCCAAGTCCATTCCCTTCCAAAAAAATCAAATCCAAGGTTTTCCTTCAAAAGCTAAATATGCAAATCACTATTCAGCCATAGAGAAAGTAAAATCATTCTTTAAAAAGACAAAACATAAATTTCTTTAAAAAGTTAAAAATTTACCATCTCTCACACTAGATAGATCTTCCTCTCTCTTTTTCTTGTCCTTTTTTTTTTCTATCTCCCTTTTGATCCTTATTAATTTCTGTTTTACCTAATTTCAAACTGATATAGTTAGTTGAAGATTTTTTTTTCATAGCTTAAGGGTTTAAGCATAAGTATGACTTTAAAAATAACAGAATTATCAATCTTAAAAAACATCCTCATGTATCTTACCTAAAACAAAACATGATTTTATCTTCCCCAAATGAAAAAAAGTCTACTTTTAGCAGTATGATTAATCTCTAGAATAAAAGGGACATATTAGAGAGGTAGAACGTAAGTAGAATTTTTATTTCGTACATGCTTCCTCAAGAAACTGAAATGACTTCTGAAGCTAAATTGGGAAAATGCCTACTATGATTAATTTGCTATCCTGAAATATTATCAGGTGAATGGAGAATTTCGATATATATTCCATCTCAAATATTCATAAAGTAAAACCTGCTTTTCTCTTCCCAATCACTGATATTCTTGATTGCTTTATTTCAGATAGCCTATCTCCATCTCCTGCTGTCCTGTGCAAAACAGACCTTTCAAAGGCTTAAGTTATTCTAATAACTTTTTATGGAGCAGCAACAGTAGACACCCATATTATAAATGACCAACATTTGACTTCAACCAATATTTAACTTTGACACTACCAAAGTAACAAACTTTTCTTATTTCACTTATTTCTTAAGATCTTGAATTATAACTTTCTATCTTTTGGAATGAAATTAATGTTTGAAAACCACTGTATACAAACCAGCATAAGGAACAGTGTCTCTCATATAACCTACTAGACAAGTTGTAACAACTCTCAATGTTAACCTTTTTCTTTGTCTAAATATTTAATAAGTTGTGCAGATGAAAATACAGACATACTAAACAATTAATTTGATTTTCCCCCCTTCAACTTAAAAAAACTTTAATGAAAATTTCAGAAGTGGGAAAATAAGCAATATTGTGTCTTATCCTTTTACTCTTTTGGAATCACAGTGTTAGTAGTAACAGTATCTTACATTTATAAAACCTGCATGATTTGCAAATAATTTTAAATTGAAATTTTAATTTAGCTAATTGTGTATTAATATGTGGTTGTAATAAATACAGAGTGATCCCTTGTACACATAACTGGATTTACACAAAGAAAATCCTAAGAAATACTGAAGACTGGGAAATAAAAGTGACATAGCAAATACCAACTCTGCTATCTTTGGGAGCTGTGATTATACATATTTTATTTCTTACAATTGCTACTTTCAATGTGGCCAGTGGGTTATTAAGCTTATGGTACGATTATCAATTTACAACAGTGTGAATAGACTTAATGAGATACTGGCCACAACTCTTCAATTTAAAAAGTTTACCAGTATATTCACATTTCAAAACTGCTCTGATTGCACTATGAAAACTTTGTTCTAATAATGAGATATCAAAAAATTATTATTTTTGTTTTTTTTAAGACAGAGTTTCTCTCTTGTTGCCCAGGCTGGAGTGCAATGGTGCAGTCTCAGCTCACTGCATCCTCTGCCTCCCAGGTTCAAGCGATTCTCCTGCCTCAGCCTCCCAAGTAGCTGGGATTACAGGCATGCACCACCACACCCACCTAATTTTGTATTTTTAGTAGAGACGGGGTTTCACCATGTTGGTCAGGCTGGTCTCCAACTCCTGACCTCAGGTGATCCAACCGCCTCGGCCTCCCAAAGTGCTGGGATTACAGGCGTGAGCCACCACCCCCAGCTAAAACAATTATTTAAGGATTTTAGTCAATTCAAGTAGTTCTTTCAATAGGAGACCAAAAAGATATGGTTTAAGAAAGTTATTTCTTCCATGATCCCATTACAAGAATATAAATATCTCAACATGATGAGTTATAAATTAAACATCTCAAAAAAACAACAGGGAATTAGAGACAGTTATGATATAAACATTGATTTAGAATTCTGAAACAGATATTTTCCCAAAAACATAATGGTTAGGAGGTTCCTAGATTAGTCCCTAAAAACCCACTAATTTCATAATTTGTCAAAAAGTGATACAGATAGTATATTATTCCTCACTATAAATTATAGAGCATTTCCTCACCCGTGTTCCTTTAAACACTTGGTATTTCTGATTTAGCACTTGGTATTTCTGATATAGCATGTGGGTGACTCATATCATCAAACTATGCCCCAAATGGTAAACTTTTAAGTCACTTATTTGGGGTTCTCTTTCAAATAACAGAAAAAAAAAAAAGTTACACATAATCTTTGATTATTCAAGGTCTGACTAGTTATAGGTTTTGGTGATCTTTTTTTTCTTTTAAAGAGACAGGGTCTTACTCTGTCACCTAGGCCACCATGCAATGGTGTGGTCATAGCTCATTGTAACCTCAAATTCCTGGGCTCATGTGATCCTCCCACCCCAGCCTCTGGGACTACAGTTGCATGCCATGATGCCTAGCTAATTTTTTTCTTTTTTAATTTTGTAGAGATGGGGTTCTTGCTATATGTTGCCCAGGCTGGTCTCAAACTCTTGGGCTCAAGCGATTCCACCTCAGCCTCCCAAAGTGTTGGGATTACAGGCATGAGCCACTGTGCCTAGCTGGTAATCTTTCTTTTGATGAAACTCTTCACAAAAGACTGTATTATTCTAAAAATAAATCTCACCTTAAAAGAACTCATTTAAAAATGAAAACATCTCAAGTTTTTAAGATTATCAATTTCATTATGTCAGCCAATAAAGTTCTATTAGTTAAAGGCCAACTCAAAATTACTTATAACACAACTAATATTTTGAAATAAAAACAGATACTTACCAAGTGGAGCTTTCAGAAAACGCCGCTCAATGCCCTGCTCTATTTGAAAGAGTGCCATTGCCAGATAATGAACCACACTGCTCACTGATTGTGGTGTACTTGCATTTGTTGATACAGTACTTGGAGTTTCTGTTTTTATCCCCAAAAGTCTACAATTAAAACAATTAAGAGTTTATGGTACTTAAAAACACTATTAGGTAAAACTTGAGTCCATTCATTGGTTCAAATGCTTATTTATACCTTTGTAAAAAATCATTTCCTCAATCTCAAGGAGTTGCAGTAAACTAGTAGGGAAGGGAGATTCATTTAGAAGGACTAAGGGTAAATATTTGAAGGAGAGAAAGAAGAGGGAAGGCTTATGGGAAAGGTTTCAGAGAGGTGACATTGTGATGGGCCTTAAAGCCTAAGTATTTCGGGCAGCTTATCTCTATTTCTCTTGTTTTGCCCTTTTTTTTTGCTTTTTTGAGACAGTCTCGCACTGTTGCCCAGGCTGGAGTGCAGTGGTGCGATCTCAGCTTACTGCAAGCTCTGCCTCCCGGGTTCACACCATTCTCCTGCCTCAGTCTCCTGAGTAGCTGGGACTACAGGTGCCCACCACCGTGCCCGGCTAATTTTTTGTATTTTTAGTAGAGACGGGGTTTCACTATGTTGGCCAGGCTGGTCTCGAATGCCTGACCTCATGATTCACCTGTCTCAGCCTCCCAAAGTGCTGGGATTACAGGTGTCAGCCACTGCGCCTGGCCTAAAATGATCATTTTAAAGTGCAAACTCATTCACTCAAAGCCTTTGTACATGGTTTTTCTTCCCAGTGTCCTATTTTTCTCAACTTTAGGGCTCAGCTTTGCAGTCACTTCCTCTTGCACTTCCTTTACTATCTCCCATGTTCTACTAAGACAAGTAGCCCGCCCATGTACTTCATCTGCACTGGGTATAACCTTCTATCAGTACCCCATTCTAGTAAATATAATGCTAGCCTCATGTTTCTCCACTGTTCCCTTCTAGATGACAAACTGCTTAAAGGCATATAATATCCAAAATAATCTTGAAAAAATAAAAGTATCTATAGATATATGGATATAGATTCTGATTAGTAATAATATTTAATACTTATACTTATTTAGAGATGAGGTCTCATTGTTGCTCAGGCTGGAGTGCAGTGGCACAATCATTATTAGCTCACTGCAGCTTTGAAGTCCTGGGGTACAACGATGGAATAGATGGGACTACAAGTGCATGCCGGCCAGGCGTGGTGGCTCAGGCCTGTAATCCCAGCACTTTGGGAGGCCGAGGCAGGGCATCACAAGGTCAGGAGATCAAGATCGTCCTGGCCAACGTGGCGAAACCCTGTCTCTACTAAAAATACAAAAATTAGCTGGGCGTGTTGGCACGTGCCTGTAATCCCAGCTACTCAGGAGGCTGAGGCAGAAGAATTGCTTGAACCAGGGAGTAGGAGGTTGCAGTGAGCTGAGATTGTGCTACTTTACTCCAGCCTGGCAACAGAGCAAGACTCCGTCTCAAAAAATAACAACAACAACAACAAAAACCAAGTGCATGCCACCATGCCCAGATAATTAAAAAAAAGAGAGACAGGGTCTCACTATGTTGCCCAGGCTGGTCTCCAACTCCCGGCCTCAAGTGATCCTCCTGCTTCCGCCTCCCGAGCAGCTGAGACTACAGGCCCACGCCATCTTGCCTGGCTCAAATAACATTCAAGTCTACCAGAATTTACTAATTTACTAAGTTTTCCTATAGAAAAGAAGAATAATAGTATAATTACTTTCCAAAATTAATAAAACCTTAAGTTCAAAGATTAAAAAAAAAAACTTTAAGAAATTATCATTATTCGAATGAATTGTTTTTTGGTTGCATTAGTACAAAGTGGAGTAACAGAGATCCTGAGGTTTAGAAAATGATCAGTCCAATGGTTACAAATATCAAGGTCCTCACGACAAGTTTTTAAAATAAGAAAAAGCAACATATTTACTTAAAAACCAAAAAAAAAAAAAAAACCTTAAAATGGCAAGGAAAAGTAATGGTTACTTTAGAAAAATCTTTTTGTACCTGTCTTTTACTATGACCTTTGTTTGTTCATCAATTTCCATCTCTTCTACGTCTTCATTCACAGTTTTAATTATCCCATTTTCCTTGTTTTCCTCACTTAACAGCTCATACCGTCCACTTTCTAATGCTGATCTCCAGATATGTCGATCTGTAACCTGTAACAAAATTCAAACTTACTAACCATGAAAAATGGAATATATTGTTTCTGAGAGGTATGAAGTTCAATATGCATATAAAATCAATTCATGGATATTTTAGAAATGATTATGAATCAAAAAGGTATCTAAAAATAAGGTTACTAAGTGGCCAAACTGGAATTCATATTCTTCATAGATGAAAACCATAATGCCTTACTTTCTGTATAAATAAATCATAAACAGTTCTAAGATTGGTCACTTGATAGCAGCAAAAAAGTGACAGATGATGGCAAAGGCATGAACAGAATACATTATCAGCCATGAATTACAGATTTTAAAAAGGTAACAAAGAAACCAACAAACCAACCAGACTCAGCAGAGAAGGCAGGGGCTAGTCAAGGAAGAAGAAAATATCCTTACGCATTTCAACATCTGATGAAAATATCGGAAAAAATATTTTTATGCAGGGGAATAAACTTAAGTTTTCATAAAAAATTTATCATTCTCTGGTGTTTATTCAAAACACATATGCCTTGTCTATGCCATATAATTAACAAATATGACCAAAATTCTGGACCAAGTAGATTAGACAAACTAAAAATGGGAACAAGTACAAACCTTGATGGCTCCTAATGTTCCTTGGTAGATTCTATCTTCAATATCTAAAAGAAAATCTCTCAGCCTTAGTTCAAGTTGCTTTTCTGCACACATCTGAGATGGATCATATGCATTGGAAGATCTTCCCCGACTATATGTTGGTTTGCTATCAGGCTGAGGTTTGTCTGAAATAGTAATCAAATACTTTTATTATGATTTTCTTATTAAAAACTACAATTACTCCATGTGGCTGTTATGATCTTGAAATAACAGATATAAAAGTGCTTTGTAAATCCTCAAGTGCCACAAATGAATGAATGAATGAATGAATATCATTTATCTTATAAAGCCCTTGTACAGCTACTCAGGAGGCTGAGGCAGGATTGCTTGAGCCCAGGAGTTTGAATCTGCAGTGAACTATGGTTATGCCACTGCAATCCAGCCTGGGCAACAGAGCGAGACCCTGTCTCTAAATAAATAAATAAAGCCCTTGTATCCAGAATATATAAAGAACTCTTACAGCACAATAAAAAGACAACCCAATTTAAAAATGGGCAAAGGATCTGAATAGATATTTAAGGAAGACAGACAAATGGCCAATGAGCACATGAAAAGATGCTCAACATTGGCGGGGGGTAGTGGCTCATGCCTGTAATCCCAGCACTTTGGGAGACCAAGGCGGGTGGATTACCTGAGGTCAGGAGTTTGAGACCAGCCTGGCCAACATGGTGAAACCCTATCTCTACTAAAAATACAAAAAATTAGCTGGGTGTGGTGGCGGGCGCCTGTTATCCCAGCTACTTGGGAGGCTGAGACAGGAGATGCACTAGAACCCAGGAGGCAGAGATTGCAGTGAGCCCAACAGCCTGGGCAACAAAAGCGAAATTCTGTCTCAAACAAAAAACAAAAAAAAACCCCAATAATTGTGATCTATAGTTTTTAATCCTGAAAAAAACTGAAGTGGTCATGGTAACATGCCCCTAAATTTAAGCAATTCTTTTTAAAATTTTGATTTAATTTAAAACGTTTTTAGCTCTATTTTCTCTCCCACAGGAGACAAGTAAGCAATTCTTTACCTAGAGAATCTAATTTATTAATATAAAAACTCACATCTAAAAATGCCTTACTGCTTTTTCTTATTTGTCATCAGTGGACGGACCATCAAGCAGGAAATGCTGCTATCCGACCTGCCCTTGCAGCCAAGCTCCAAAGAAGTGACCATTAGTGGAACTTCTCCCTAGACTCTCAGCCAAAACCCTTAATGAGTAACCTCACTCACCATAATCTGTCCAAAACTGATGGCAGCCTTAGAGTCTATTCTTGGGTTTCAGAGTCTACTGACCAAGGAATAAGGAGATCAGGGAGAATATGTATTTTGTTATACCATAGATGTGTTCCTCATAATTCAAATACAATCCAGTGGAATTTAGAGAATCTTATTTCTATACAGAAATACATTCCCAAACTCTAACTTGCAAACTAAAAGGACAGCCTAAATCAAAGATAAGGTGTTGTAAATGTATTTCTAATAGGTTGCAAAAACGCTTAATCCTGAATGACCAGAGATTAGGGGGAGGGAAAAAAAGTAAAAACAATTTTCATTGAAAATTTACCTGAAAAATGAAATTTCTCTTCAGAAAAACGGGCTAGCTGTGCACATATTCTGCTTTTCTCTTGTAACAAAGTTTCTTTTAAGGCACTTTCTCTATGTCCTCTAGAATTAAGAGCTTCAATAAGCTGGTCTAGCTGTTCACAAGAACTGTAAAAGCACCACCGATTTGGCTTATGCACTGGTTTTGGCAGCTGCACAGAATGGTCACGTGGACCTTGGTCAATGTTGGAGGTAGATTCAGACATCAAAGGCTCTCCAGTTTTAGTGGATACCTGAGGATCTTGAGACTGTACATTATTCTGAAATGATGAAGGTCTAGGCAACAGCATGTCTTCAGTAAGACCAGAATAATCCTCTTCAATAAAGAGTCCAGGAATAGAAGGGAAAATCCAGTATCGTCTATACATGCGGTCGCGACCCAAGGGAAAGATATTGGTACAGGCTATGGCACTTTGGATTTTTTCTAAGAGCTCTTTCTCTTTTCGTTGGTGTTCCTGTTTTAATGCTTCTTCCTCATCAGCAGTAAGAGGCTCTCTTGTTACACAGTTGATCTGTTCTTGCCTTGTAAATTCTTTAAATCCATTTTGTCCTCTTTTCCCTGTAATTAAAATAAAATGTTTCATCATCATCATATTTCAAGTTTCCATTAGAAAAATATGAGATACAAAGTTACCCCAAGTTATTAGGTGTTATGAACTAAACTGTATCCCCTCTCCACAACCCCAAGTTCATATGTTGAAGCCCTAACCTCCAATGTGACTGTATTTGGAGACAGAACCTTTAAGGAGGTAATTAAGGTCATGAAGGTGGGGACCTAATCCAACATGATTGGTGTTCTTAGACACCAGAGATCTTGTTATCTGACATGCACAGAGAAAAAGCCATGTAAGGATATAGCAAGAAGGCACTGTCTGCAAGCCAAGAAAAAGCCTTTCAGACACCAACCCTGCTTGATCTTGGACTTCCAGACTCCAGAACTGTGAGAAAAAAAATTTCTGAAGTTTCTGTTGTTTAACCCACCCCAGTCTGTGGTATTTCGTTATGGCAGCCCAAGCAGACTAATACACTATGTTAATAAGAAATCAATATACTTAAATCTAAAGGGGCATGCAAAATCTGTCATTTCCATACTGGAGAGTGCTAGTAGAGTATGTTAGTTCTCCTCCAGTAGTCATCCCAGTCCTTCCTCTAAGGGAGGAATAACAGCAAACTACTTCTGGAGAAGACTAGCTTATAAATATTTGTCTTTGTGGATCTTATGGTCTTCACAGCTATTCAATTCCACTCTTGTGGCCCAAAAGCAATCACAGGCAACATGCAGACAATGAGCATGGCTGTGGTTCAATGTAACTATTTATGGACAGTGAAATCTGAATTTCATATAATTTTCACTTATCACAAAGTATCATTCTTCTTTTTTCCAGCCATTTAAATTGTAAAAATCCGGCTGGCGCGGTGGCCCATGCCTGTAATCCCAGAACTTTGGGAGGCCGAGGTGGGCGGATCACCTGACATCAGGAGTTCTTAACCAGCCTGGCCAACATGGTGAAATCCCGTCTCCACTAAAAATACAAAAATTAGCTGGGCATGGTAGCAAGCACCTGTAATCCCAGCTACTCAGGAGGCTGAGGCATGAGAATCGCTTGAACCCAGGAGGGGGAGGTTGCAGTGGGCCAAGATCACGCCACTGTACTCCACCCTGGGGGATAGAGTGAGACTCTGTCTCCAAAAAAAAAAAAAAAGGGAAAATTCCTTTTTAGCTTAGCTTATGAGTTATACAAAAACAGGGCAGGGCCAGGCACAGTGGCTTACATCTGTAATCCCAACACTTTGGGAGGCCGAGGTGGCTGGATCACTTGAGGCCAGGAGTTTGAAACCAGCCTGGCCAACATGGCAAAACCCATCATTACTAAAAATACAAAAATCAGCCAGGTGTGGTGGTGTGCACCTGTAATCCCAGCTACTCGGGAGGCTGAGGTAGGAGAATCACTTGAACCCAGAAGGTGGAAGTTGCAGTGAGCCGAGATGGCGCCACTGCACATCCCAGCCTGGGTGACAGAGCGAGACTCCACCTCAAAAAACATTAACAAAAAAAATGGGGCCGGCCAGATTTGGCATACAAACTGTTATTTACTAACCACTGGTTGAAGGTAACAGAACCACTAGTTTTTAGCTGGGCACTTAGCAACCCAAAAGAAGGACAACATTTCCCATAGTAGGCACAACTAAATGAAAAACTTTTGTTCAAAGAGATGGGATCAGAAGCACTGTGTGTACCCTCTGGACTGTGCTTCCCTTTCCTCCTTCCCATTTCCACCTAGCTAGAATGCAGACATGGTGATAAATCATTTTGGAACATGAGAATGGCAGCAAAACCCTAAGGATGGCAGTACCAACAAGATAGAAAGAGCTTGGACCCCTGATAATCTGCCTTGACTTTGACAGTATGTTGGAATTAAATTTCTCTGTTGTTTCAGTTACTGTCAAATTGCTTTGATAGTTCGGAAGTATTTTTTCGTTCTATTTCTTTTGCTTGAAAGAGTTTGTGTAAGATTGGAATTATCTGCTTTTTAAAAAATTTGGCAGAATTCACCTATAAAGTTGTCTAGGACTGATGTTTTCTCTGCAGAAGGATTTTAGTACTGATTCAAGTTCTTTAATGGTTTAAGACCATCTACATTAACAAATTTCTTCACAGATCCATTTTGATAATTTGTATTTTCTAGGATTTTATTTTTGCATACATTTTCAAATTCATCAAAAATTGTGTATATCTCATCTTTAAATTTCTACTCTATCCATAGTTATGTTGCTCCCCTTTCAGTCTTAACTTTATTATGATTGCCCTCTTTATAAAAATCAATTTCAACAAAGGTTTGTCTAGTTTGTCTTTCTCAGACAAACACACTTTTGGATTTGTTGTTGTTCTTTACTATATTTTTATTTTATTTTTTTGAGAAAGGACCTTGCTCTGTTGCCCAGGCTGGAGTGCAGTGGCGCAATCAGGGCGCACTGCAGCCTTGATCTCCCAGGCTCAAGTGACCCTCCCACCTTAGCCTACTGAGTAGCTGGGACTACAGGTGCATGCCACCATGCCCAGCTTGCTTTCTGGGTACTTTTTGTGGCGATGGGGTTTCACCAAGGCTGATTTTGAACTCCTGGGCTTAAGCAATCCACCTACCTTGGCCTCTCAGAGTGCTGGGATTACAGGCATGAGCCACTGCACCTGGCCCTACTATATTTTTATTTTCTATTAATTTCTACTCTAATGTATTATTTCCTTCAGATTTGGGGGGATTATTCTTTTTCCCCCACCATCTTCTTAAATAAATGTCTAGCTCAGCTTGTGTTTCTTCTTTTCTAATATGTATTAAAGCTATACATTTTCCCCTAAGTAGAGGGGCTGTATTTAACACATGTTAATATTCAGTAATGATTAGTTTGATTCGTTTTAAATATTTTTTAGTTTCCATTATGGTTTCTCTTTTGACCCAATATTTAGAAAGTATGTTTTAAAAGCTCTGATCATATTAGGTTTGCTTTAGATGTTGAAATCAATTGCATTGTAATCAGACAATACAGCTTCCATGATACAGGAAATTTTCTATCTACTTAGAGTAACCATTTAAAAAAAATACAGAAAAAAAGATCCCATGCAAATTATAGGCACAGAATTAATTAAGGATTTCTTTTGATAGTCATTAAATAAGGTCATTAAATAAATACACAAGAAATTTGTATTAACAACTTTTAAAAGATGTATTTGCTTTGATCTAGCAATTTATGAAATAATTTTAAGGCAGGAGAGATTACCATTTTCATCAACATGATACAAATTATGAGCATTATTGATCTTTATATCTCTAGCACATAGGAGGCATCCAATGCATGCTGAATGAGTACATTATAGAATACAAATTTCTATTTGGCCCAAAAAAGTAGTAAATGTAAAAATTCAATGAAGCTTGATGACTAACCAAAAGTTGAAATTATGAGAAACTGTCCTATTAACGACATAGGAATATTGTATCTTCTTTCTAAAGTATAGATGGTGTGTAAATAATGACCCAATCATAAATGTACTAATAGGACTTCATAACACATTTTTACAACTCATCACAGCTATGAGGTGGGCATTTAAAAAAACAAACACAGCCTGGAATCACAAATGAAAGCAATCAATATATTTCAGAGGAGCTGAATTAATAAAGTGCTTTATTGGTTAAAAACAAATACACAAGAATGCCCTAAAGAAATTTCAGTATTACCCCTTCTGCCTCTTTTATGTGATCCTGGGTCATCTTCATCTTCAGTGACCATATCTTGATCTAATTCCTTTTGCTCTGTGTCTTTGCTCTCAATGCTAGTATCAAAATCTTCCCTTTCTTCCTCCCTTTAGGATAAAAACAAAGATGACATTTACTAATGAATATATAATTCCATTTATGAAATATTTATTGCTTGCTTATGAAGTACCAGGCATTATAGGCTTAGGAAGTAGTGAACAACATGACACAGTTTTGGTCTTGCAGAGAAAACAGATAATTACACAAATCATTTAAAAAATATGTAATAAGTACTAAAACAAGAGAAGTTCAAGGTACTATGAAAACATTTCAAGGAGAATGAAACTGACTCTTAGGGATCAAAAAGGCTGGCTTGAAGAAGTGATATTTTACAATGTGAGACCAGGGAGATGGGGAGGAGTGTGTGCTACAGAGGAATAACATACACAATGGCACAGAGCTCAAGAGAAATGGGAGGAGCTTATAATTTTGAGAAAAGTGTAAAGGAGAAAGCAGTAATCCAAGAGGTAGATGAGAGAAAAAGGCAGGGTGAGATTAGGCTGGGCCTTGTAAGGCCTTATCCAAAAAACAATAGGAAAAAACCAGAAGAATTTAGAAAAGGGAAATGATATTAGAAAGTGCTGTAGCCACTGTGTGAAAAATTACCTGGGAAAGAAAGTAGATGAGGGGAGATCAGTAAAGAAGCCAGTAATAATAGTAACAGATCAGTAGTGGTCTAGGTGGCTGGCTAGGAAGTGATGGTGGCTTAGAGTAGAAGGAGAGAAGATGATAAATAGTGGAGGAGAGAAATTCAGAAATAGTAAACAGGCAGAATGAACACAATATAGTTGTTTAATTCATTATATTATCCAAATTAAAACTAAAATTATATGAACCTTGAAATAAATTACACCATTATGTTCTAAATCCACAGTTGGGTTTTGCAAGTTCTAATGTAAGGACAGCCAAGGAAAATGTAAATGAGTGGGGCTGAATAAATATTTAAAAAATATGAAGATGTGAAATCCATAGTGTTACTTTTCTTTTTTAAAAAATTGAGCTTACATACCATAACAATCACCATTTTAAAGTGTACAATTTAGTGGTCTTTAGTGTATTCACAAGGTTATGCAATCATTACCACTGTCAATTCCAGAACACCTTCATCATACCAAAAGGAAACACCATATCCATTAGTAGTCATTTCCCATTTCCTCTTTCCTGCTGCCCCTGGCAACCAACATCTACTCTCTACTGATTTGCTTATTCTGGACATTTCATGTAAATGGAGTCATACAACATGTGATCTTTTGTCACTAGCTGCTTTTTTTTTTTTTTTGAGACAGAATCTCACTCTGCTGCCCAGGCTGGAGCACAATTTCGGCTCATTGCAACCTCCACCTCCAGGGCTCAAGCAATTCTCCTGCCTCTACAGGTATGTGCCACCATGCCTGGCTAATTTTTTGTATTTTTAGTAGAGATGGGGTTTCACCATGTTAGCCAGGTTGGTCTCAAACTCCTGACCTCAGGTGATCCGGCCGCCTCAGCCTCCCAGAGTGCTGGGATTACAGGCGTGAGCCACCGCAATTGGTCGTGAGTAGCTTCTTTAGCATATATTTTCAAAGTTCATCCACATGATAGCCTGTATTAGAACTCCATTCCTTTTTATTGTTGAACAATATTCTCCTGTATGGACATACCACGGAAGAGATATACCTTTGTTTATCCATTCATCAATTGATGGACATTTGGGTTGTTATCACTTCTGGCTATTAAGAATAATGCTGCTATGAACATTTGTGTATACATTTTTGGATGAAGGTATGCTTTTAATTCTCTTAGGTATATATCTAGGAGTGCAACTACTGGGTCATACAGTAACAAATGGTTTAATTGTCGGGTCATACAGTAACAAATGGTTTAATTGTTTGAAGAACTGCCAAACTGTTTTCCAAAGTAACTGCATCATTTACATTCCCACAAGCAATGTATGAGAGTCCTGATTTCTCAACTCCTCATCCAAACTTGTTATTGTTTGTCAATTTGATTATAGCCAGCCTACTGGGTGTGAAGTGGTATCTTACTGTGGTTTTGATGTACATTTCCCAGATGATTAATGACGTTGAGCATCTTCTCATGTACTTATTGCATATCTTCTTTGGAGAAATGTCTATTCAAATCCATTGCTCACTTTTTAATTGGGTTGTTTTTAAGATTTTTTTTCTTTTAATTATTTCTTCTTTATTTTTTGACATTTAAAAAATTAACTCCCTATTCTGAATCTTTCAATTTTTTATTGTTGAGTTGTAAGAATTCTTTCATATTCTGGATACAAGTCCCTTATCAGATATATGATTTGCAAATATTTTCTTCTACTGCGAGTTTGTGACCTAAGATCTTAAGGCTTATTAATGGGTATTTTTATACACAAGTATTAAAAAGTCAAAGTCAATATACTAATTTTGGAATATTGAGTTTTTTCAGAACTTTCCTTTGCAGATTTCATTAAAAAGGAAAAAAGATGATTTCTGTCAAATTCCTACTTGTTTTCATAGACAATCCTATCTCAAATATTCTAAAATGCAATAAAATACTTGGGTATCTCTAAATTACTTAAGGTGCTGTCATCCTCTCCCTATATCATCTACCAAAAAACATCCAATCTCAACCCTGTTCCTCTATACAGCACAGAATAACTCTGTGAAATACAGTGTACACCTGTGATATTGGTGGAGGGGACAGATAAATATATTGGTTAAAAATAGCCTATTGAGTGTTTTTCTGGGAAATTATCATGTACCTATAATAAAAAGACAACTTTTCTAAAAATGTGAAAGCATTTTTAGAGTTTAAGGTGTCTGGTTTTTATTCTTTATGTATGGTAAAGCAGATGAACAGTGTGATTCAAACCATACCCAATAGATATATCTGCCGTTGAATTTCTTTGCTCATCTTCTTTCAGTTTTTCTTGTTTCTCTTTCATTTTTTGTTCTTGCTCCTTAAGTTTTTCTTCCTTCCTTTTACGAATTCTAAAAGTTAAAATGAAATATGGTAGTCTATCTGATGCACATATACATTTCACTTTTAGCATCTTGTCTTTAATCAAATCATGGAAAGTACTTCAAACATTATTATAAAACTATAATGTAGTAATCATTCATAAGCTTTTTTTTTTTTTTTTTGAGACAGAGTTTCACTCTTCTGCCCAGGCTGATCCTGCTTCCCAGGATCAAGTGATTCTCGTGCCTCAACCTCCTGAGTAGCTGGGATTACAGGCATGCACCACCACGCCCGGTTACTTTTTGTATTTTTAGTAGAGATGGGATTTGGCCATGTTGGCCAGGCTAGTCTCGAACTCCTGACCTCAAGTAATCCACCCTCCCAAAGTGCTGGGATTGCAGGCGTGAGCCACCACACCTGGCCTCATTCACAAGCTCTTAGTAAAGCCATCAAACATCAGTATAATGAATGCCACATTATAGCACCATGTGAAATATGGTTTTAAATGCAAAGAAATAAACAGCTTTCATTAACACAACTATTACAATTATCTCTTACCTGGCAGCTGCTTCTTCCCTCTCTTTTCGATGTTGTTCTGCTTTTAATTCCCGGAACTCCTGCTTTGCCTGTCGTAATATATCAACATAATCTTCAATAAAATCCCTAGTTGAAACTAGGGTCAGTAGCTTTCCACAGAGAGCATGGAGTATCTTCATTTTTTCTCCTGTCAAAAATTGGTAAATACTTCTGTATTATAAATCGCAGCAAATGAACTGTGTTTGAACTTTTTAAATTTGTGGCTCAATGTGAAAATGCCTAATAAAGAATATGGAGTAGTCTCTCAAACATGTCAATGACATGTCTTCAGGAAAAAGCAATTATGGGCCAGGCGCAGTGGCTCACACCTGTAATCCCAGCACTTTGGGAGGCCGAGGCGGGCAGATCACCTGAGGTCAGGAGTTCGAGACCAGCCTGGCCAACATGGTGAAACCCCAACTCTACTAAAAATACAAAAATAGCTGGATGTGGTGGTATGTGCCTGTAGTCCCAGCTGCTTGGGAGGCTGAGGTTGGAGAATTGCTTGAACCCGGGAGGCGGAGGTTGCGTTGCGCCAAGATCGCACCACTGCACTCCAACCTGGGCAACTGAGTGAGACTCTGTCTCAAAAAAAAAAAAAAAAAAAAAAAAAAAAGGCAACTTTGAATCCAATTTGCAGCTATTGATATATGAGGCATTTCAAATGTCTATCTTGTATACTAGTTAAGTAAACATGAGAAATTTTGTAATTACAAATTGGTTTTCAAGTTTTTTTTTGTTTGTTTTTGTTTTTTTGAGACGGAGTCTCGCTCTGACGCCCAGGCTGGAGTGCAGTGGCGCGATCTCGGCTCACTGCAAGCTCCGCCTTCCGGGTTCACGCCATTCTCCTGCCTCAGCCTCCCGAGTAGCTGGGACTACAGGCGCCCGCCACCACGCCTAGCTAATTTTTTTGTATTTTCAGTAGAGACGGGGTTTCACTGTGTTAGCCAGGGTGGTCTCGATCTCCTGACCTTCTGATCTGCCCGCCTCAGCCTCCCAAAGTACTGGGATTACAGGCGTGAGCCACCGCGCCTGGCCAAAAAAAAATATGGAACGCTTCACGAATTTGCATGTCATGTTTTATTTTACTTATTTGAGACGGAGTCTTGCTGTGTCGCCCAGGCTGGAGTACAGTGGCACCATCTGGGCTCACAGCAACCTCTGCCTCCTGGGTTCAAGCGATTCTCCTGCCTCTGCCTCCGAGTAGCTGGGACTACAGGTGCACAGCACCACACCCAGCTAATTTTTGTATTTTTAGTAAAGATGGTGTTTCACCATGTTGGCCAGGCTGGTCTCGAACTCCTGACCTCAGGTGATCTGCCCACCTTGGCCTCCCAAGGTGCTGGGATTACAGGCATGAGCCACTGTTCCCAGCCCTCAAGTTTTAACTTTTTGGCTGAGTAACTGAAGTTCAAATCAATACTAAATTATAATCACATGAATTAAAAAAAGACAATGGTAAATTACTATTTCTAAAAGACTGCACAAAAAAACCACCATAAATTATAAAGACTGCAAATGTTAGGAAGTAAGGTATTCTACTTTACTGTATGTTCTCTAAAGTATACTAAATTAAACTCTTTACTTGTACATGCAATTTTTTAAAAAAAGGAAGTGAAAAATAGCTTCATCTTAACCTCATATACTGTTTCTCATACCTCAAACACTTATTCAAGTGAATGGCAGGATTTAGCAGCCATTTAGATTTAAACTTCTGATACACTAGTAAATACAAGAGAAAGCTAATTTTCTAGCTAATTCTCACCCTTTTAAACTCAGTAGATGTAGTAGACTAATCATACGTTTAAAAATATTAGAAAATCCAAATAAAAAAGACAATCATAAATAAAGTTAATATGAATAATAACAATAGTTTGCTTTCTCTTTTTCTCTTTTAATACTGATTTATTGTAAAATTTCTCATCAGCTCCTTAGTTTTCTGGGCATAAGAGGGAGGAAGTGGGCAGGTTATGCAAATTCCAACTTGCAAAGCTTACCTGGTGTCAAATCATACACTGAGGTGCTTGACAGTTTCTTCACTAGACTGGGATTGCTCAAACGAAGCTCCATACAAGCATCATCTGTAGCATCAAATCCTCCTCGTTTTTGATATCTATACTTTGCATTTGCTGATGTTACATCAGCACCTGAAGCTAAGATGTGCAGTCTGAGGATTTCTGAAAGAGTGCAGCTATCAAGATCCAAACTTTTCAAACTGCAGCCTATAGTTGTTAAAAATGAAATAGTCATTTAGAATATAAACAATAAATACTCAGCAATGTAAATGTGCCTTTATAAAATTAAAAATAAAAAGCCAAACAAAAAAAAAACAAAACCCACACATACCCTGGTGTAACTGTGGCCATGCAGCTGCCAAAGATGCAACTGCAGACAGTGCAGATTTTGTGGGGTCTGCATCTTCATCCAAAGCCTCTGTTAAATCTTTAAGGAAATAAATACTTTATTCTAGTGCAAATCAAAGCTTGAATATTTGGGAATAATGCCCGTTTTAAATGATGAAAGAAACAGCAAACGCCTTAACATTCGGAACCTCAAAAGAACAAACACTAGGTACAAGCAATATTCACATTCTGCTTCATCACCACCTACAGCTATAAATCCTAAACCAAGCACTACACACTGACATTTCTGTAAATTAACAGAAAAGACAATTTCCAAATTACCAATGAGACGCACATAAACATTCCCCCAAAAGATAAAATGCACTTTAGAATTAAAAACAAATCTCCTCACTCAATATAACCTTAGAAAAGTCTACCTTGAAAATTGGAATCTATTTAAAGATACTCCAATCTTTTATGTGTGTTTTTTTTTTTTTTTTTTTTGAGATGTAGTCTTGCTCTGTCACCCAGGCTGGAGTGCAGTGGCACGATCTCGGCTCACTGCAACCTCCACCTCCCGGGTTCAAGCAATTCTCCTGTCTCAGCCTCCCGAGTAGCTGGGACTACAGGCACCTGCCACCACGCCCGGCTAATTTTTGTATTTTTAGTAGAGACGGGTTTTCACCTTGTTGGTCAGGCTGGTCTCGAACTCCTGACCTCAGGTGATCCACCCACCTCAGCCTCCCAAAGTGCTGGGATTACAGGCGTGAACCATGGTGACCAGCCCTTTTATGGATATTTTAAGATTAAGTCATAACAAAGTATAGGTTGTAGCCATCACAAAATCATCACAGAAAATGAGCTAAAAAAAAGTTAAAGATGGCACTACTGTAATTTAACTATTGAAATATCTTCATTAAAATTTCACATTTTTATTTGAAAAATTTTCCAGGCCAAGTGCGGTGGCTCATGCCTGTAATCTCAGCACTTTGGGAGGCTGAGGTAGGCGGATCACGAGGTCAAGAGATTGAGAACATCTTGGCCAACATGGTGAAACCCCGTCTCTACTAAAAATACAAAAATTAGCTGGGTGTGGTGGCGCATGCCTGTAGTCCCAGCTACTCGGGAGGCTGAGGCAGGAGAATCACTTGAACCTGGGAGGCAGAGGGTGCAGTGAGCCAAGATTGTGCCACTGCACTCCAGCCTGGTGACAGAGCAAGACTCTGTCTCAAAAAAAAAAAAAAAAAGAAAAGAAAACTTCCCAATCCAAAAACCAGTGGGGGCCGGGCGCGGTGGCTCATGCCTGTAATCCCAGCACTTTGGGAGGCTGAGGCGGGCAGATCACTTGAGGTCAGAGTTTGAGACCAACCTGGCCAACATGGTGAAACCCCGTCTCTTCTAAAGTACAAAAATTAGCTGGGCGTGGTGGCACATGTCTGTAATCCCAGCTACTTGGGAGGCTGAGGCATGAGAATCACTTGAACCTGGGAGGCACAGGTTTCAGTGAGCCGAGATCACACCACTGCACTCCAGCCTGGGCGACAGAGTTAGACTCCGTCTCAAAAAAACAAAACAAAACAAAACAAAAACACAATAGGAAGATTTCCCTGAATTTTCTAAATAAACTGCTTTAGCTTTAAAACAGTGCTTAGCTTACAAATAGAACTAAACAGCAAATCTACTGGTACAAATGTATGTAAAGCATTATCATATCCAATTATTCCTAATTATAATACATAGATTGATCAAAATGTCAAGCTATGAAAAACCCTTCTGTTATATCATAGTACAGTGTACACAGATTCAGACTAAGAGTCAGATAATGTATATTCTAGTATTAGCTATGCTAGTGCCTAGTAATGTGCCATTGAGACAAGTCACTTAATCTGGGGTTCATTTTTGTTTTTTTTTTTTGAAGATGGAGTCTCACTCTGTCACCCAGGCTGGAGTGCAGTGGCGCAGTCTTGGCTCACTGCAACCTCCGCCTCCCAGGTTTAAGCAATTCTCTGCCTCAGCCTCCCAGGTAGCTGGGATTACAGGCACCCGCCACCACGCCTGGCTAATTTTTGTATTTTTAGTAGAGACAGGGTTTCACCATCTTGGCCAGGCTGACCTTGTGATCCACCCACCTCGGCCTCCCATATTGCTTGGATTACAAGCGTGAACCACCATGCTCAGCCTCATTTTTCTTTTTCTTTTTGAGACAGGGTTTGAATCTGTTGCCCAGGCTGGAGTGCAGTGCTGCAATCTCAGCTCACTACAACCTCTGCCTTCCGGGCTCAAGCCATCCTCCCACCTCGGCCTCCCCAGTAGCTGGGACTACAGGCGCATGCCACCATGCCCACCTAGTTTTTGTATTTTTTGTAGAGGCGGGGTTTTGCCACATTGCCCAGGCTGGTCTCACATTCCTGAGCTCAACTGATCCATCTGCCCTGGCTTCCCGAAGTGCCAGGATTACAGGTGTGAGCCACCATGCCCGGCCCATTTTCTTAAAGGAATGACTCTGGATCAGCAGCTTTCAAATTCTTCCAAAAAAAAAAATTTTTTTTCTTGAAAACTCAATATAAAAGAGATAAAAGATGCTCCTCCTAAAGTGAGATATGGAGATGAGAATTCTGCCTTTTCATCTTTCCAACTCTCCTGCAGTGGCACTGAAGAATTTCTGAACAACTTGTAGGGTGCCTTGGGTTAGAGTTTGAAAATCACTAGGCTAATCTTCTGTGGTTCTTTAGCCTTCTACTATATGACTCCCCTACCAAAGTTCAAAGCCTGACAAAATTAACCTTAGAGAACAGTCCCTTACTAAAGGAAAAAGGCAGCTCTGGGATCGTATCTGATTACAATCATCGACAATTTCATGGCATTTAAAGCATACATAGGGCCACACAGGAGAAGCTATCTATAAAATTTGCATATATGCCAAAAGTCATTCCTACCAGACCTAATCTAGCCCAAATGACAGAAATCATATTCTTCTGTTGCAGAAAAATACTAGACCTAAAATTTCATCAATGTTCATTTTACATATAAAGCCAAACAAATTTAATTAATGAGCACTCCAAAATTAACAACAGTCCTAGATACAAAGTTGTAAAAGGTGTTGGCTCTCATCCTGCAGCAATCACCACATTCAACCTATACCATCTATAGAAAGTTATAATTTCCTAAGACAAAGGCTATAAAAAGGCCTTTAGGAAATGAAAAACCAATGAAATGTATTTTTAATTGTGTTAAATAAAGTAATATGCTAAAATATATTCTTTAACTCTTTATCATATGTCATTCTTAAGAAACTGTAAATATCATTCTAGGATTTGCTTAGTGATAGTCACTTGGGTACATCACAACGAAGAGAATATAGTTGAATTATATCCAGTATTTTATGACTACCTGCAACAGATATATTTATTGTCATGATAATCTAGAATTAGGTGCATACAATTCCAACACTAGACAATGATCCAACAAATACACAAAACTGTTCTATATAAAGAGGATGCTCTTGTTCCCATACTTTGAAGGGCTTTTTAGTTCATGATATAAGACTAAAGAGAGGAACTGATGTATTAAATGTAAGATTTTTTAAATTGGTGGTCAAAATCTCTCAGGTTTGATATAAAAACAGGGAGACCAAGGGCCAAAGAAATTAGATCTTCTCAAAGACAAGTAATTTTACAGGCAATGCCAGAGAAACAAATATTCAAAATTTCAACTTCTTTACCGTATTATGAAACAACATAGCATAATTGTAATGAGTATCTAGATCAGATTGCTTGAACTTGTATCCCATCAATTCCTTATTAGCCATGTTTCTTCAAACTAAGCCTCAGTTTCTTTATATGTAAAATGCAGAAAATAATATCTACCTCAAAAGAGTAGTATGAGAATTTAATGAAACAATGCGTAGTCTCTTACATCACTTATTAGCTATGTGATCTTCAGTAACTATGTAAAATGTGGCCAATAATAAATAACAGGAAAGTGAGAAAAGAGTGAAAAATGCCAGACTTATTTTTTTTCCTCCCTAACATTTAAATAAATATTTTCTTTTTTTTTTTTTTCCCTTTGAAACAGGGTCTCACTCTGTCCCAGGATGGCATGCAGTGGCACGATCACAGATCACTGCAGCCTCAAACTCCCAGGGTCAAACAATCCTCCCACTTCAGCCTCCCAAGTAGAGCTGGGGCTATAGGCTGCACCACTACACCTGGCTAATTTTGATTTATTTATTTGTTTATTTATTTATTTGAGACACAGAGTCTCTCTCTATTGCCTAGGCTGGAGTGCAGTGTCGTGATCTCGGATCACTGCAACCTCTGCCTCCTGGGTTCAAGGGATTATGGTGCCTTAGCTTCCCAAGTAGCTGGGATTACAGGCATGCGCCACCATGCCTGGCTAATTTTTGTATTTTTAGTAGAGATGGGGTTTCACCATGTTGGTCAGGCTGGTCTTGAACTCCTGACCTTAAGTGATCTGCCCACCTCAGCCTCCCAAAATGTTGGGATTACAGGCATGAGCCACCACACCCAGCCTTGTTTTATTTTTTGTAGAGACAGGGGTCTCACTATGTCGCCCAGGCTAAATATTTTCAAACAGAGCATTAAAACTTTTATTTAGTGGCCAATACTTACTTAGAGAGATACATCTTATATTAATACATAGTTCTATATAGGGAATACTTATTTAAAAAACTCATAGATCAATAATGAAAGTGTAATGGCACCTGGGTGCGGTGTCTCAAGCTTGTAATCCCAGCACTTTGGGAGGCCGAGGCGGGCAGACCCTGAGGTCGGGAGTTCGAGACCAGCCTCACCAACATGGAGAAACCCTGTCTCTACTAAAAATACAATATTAGCTGGGCATGGTGGCGCATACCTGTAATCCCAGCTACTCAGGAGGCTGAGACAGGAGAATCGCTTGAACCCGGGAGGCGGAGGTTACAGTGAGTCAAGATTGTGCCATTGCACTCCAGCCTGGGCAACAAGAGCGAAACTCTGTCTCAAAAAAGAAAAGAAAAGAGAAGAGAAAAGAGAAGAGAAGAGAGTAGTAATGGCAATTCAAACACCAACCATTGCTTAATATATATTTTTCCTTTATACTGATTTTCCCATACTATTTCCTTTTTACCGTACTTTTGTTTTCCACCATGACTTCCAAAACTACAAAATTCAAATCTGGAATTAAATACAGCTTTATGTCTTGTATTGTTAGAATTTGATCAATAACCCTATAATGCTGTTGACCACTAATAAATATAATAGCTAAAAGAATTATCATTTAATTGACTAAATTATCTGAGGTGACAATAGGGGTCATATTGCTTAAAATGGTCTTAATAAGGGACCTATGGTGGTTAGCACTCAAGCTAGATATAAATATATTTTTGCTTGAACTCAGGCTGTAAAATCAAAAGGCAACAAACATCAATGCACACTCATCAATATCCTGTTGCTTCAGAGACCAGGCATGAAGGAAGATGATCCTGAATTATCTAAGGTCAACAAAACTATCTGACTGGAGGAATGTCCCATCTTTCTGTACCAATATTCTGATATCAAGATGTCTCCTAACAGTTCTGTTTTACTGTGAATTTTTATGCAACACACTCAAGTATTGTTTAATCAAGTTTCTGGTCCTAAATCTCATATATGGCAAAGCTCAAGGTATTATTCAGGAGGCCAAATCAATCTCTTATTAGAAATGCTTAACATTTCCTATGACTGAGGTAAATCCTAAACAAAATAGTGAACATACTGTTTTAAAAATATGAAAAGGTTTGCCTCAAGAATTATTCCTACATTAACACGTACCATACACTGACTCCAGATATTTAAGCGTGCAGAACTTAAAGGGCAAATTATCTAGTTCAAACTCAGAAGTAAAATTTTATTTAACTCTGATGTAAAAACTGTCAGATCTAAAATGAAATCAGCAGTAGTATTTTCATTTTAAAGTATTAATTACAATTAAAGTATTTCCTGGTCAGGCGCAGTGGTTCACGCCTGTAATCCCAGCACTTTGGGAGGCCAAGGCGGGTGGATCACCTGAGGTCAGAAGTTCGAGACCAGCCTGGCCAACACAGTGAAACCCCGTCTCTATTTTAAAAATACAAAAATTAGCTGGGCATGGTGGCGGGCGTCTGTATCCCAGCTACTCAGGAGGCTGAGGCAGGAGAATTGCTCGAACCTGGGAGGTGGAGGTTGTGGTGAGCCAAGATCACGCCAACGCACTCCAGCCTGGCAACAGAGCGAAACTCCATCTCAAAAAAAAAAAAGTATTTCCTTAGTTGAGGGCCAAAAAATACCCCAAAAAAACAAAGAAACAGTGCTAGAGTGCTAGTTAGCAGAATCTCTTGGAATTACAGATACTGGTCAATGAAATCTGTAATGCTCCTAAATCATAGGAAAAGTCTAAAGGAATAAAAGCAAGATAGACTGAGGGAAAATATCTTTAAGGTTGTCAGACACAGGTTATATCAAAACAAAATTTTTGTAACATAATCCATTTGTTGTTAGCATATGATTCAACATCAGGTAACCTGAACAACTATATTTTATAAGCATAAAAGCCAATTTAACTTAAAATTGGCCCTCAAAAATTAGTTTCGCTACAAAACTACTATGGTTCAATCAGCAATAATGTTGAACTCTGACCTTTGGTGTCAGCATCAGTTAGTTGCTCTTTGGCTACTTCCTCTTCTTCTTCAGCTATTGCCTGGAAGATTGCAGTCAGGAAGAAAAAAAGCAATTCACACAGTGGGCCTTCACTGTCATTTCCTACAAGAGCTTCCTCTAATACTTCTGTGAATAAAATGTTTAAAATGAATTTAAAGTTCTGTTCATGTACTGAAAAAACAACTCCACTGGAATAAACATGTAATCAACAATAGTATGTGCAACTATTTTCTTAAGCATCAATTTATGAAAGTATAACCAAGTATTATCCAAGCCAAAATAAGAATTTATAATGATTACAATAAAATACAATAAAATCGTAAGCCAAAGTCACCTCATTCAAGTAAGTCAAAATAGCCTCAATAGATCAACATATTTCATTTAAATTTAAATTTAAGGCACAAATTAAGGCACATTTTAAAAATTACAATTTTATTCTAATCTGAACAATGCAAATATTTGTTATTGTGCCACTGTTCCTGAGGGCTATGTATGTGCAAATAGGGCATAGAAGAGGTCATTATCCGCATTAGGTTTTAATCCTAATATTATGTCTAAGTCATAAATAAATGTTTTTTATCTAATTCATCTCACCTAAACCAGCACTGTTTAGACCTCCTTGATCTATAAGACACAATGATTCTTGCTTCATCCACCTCATAAGGAGAAATAAAAGAATTTGAAAGCCCTCCTAAAGAATATACTTTTATTAAAATAAGAGTGGCATTATAGGACAGACGCAGTGGCTCACGCCTGTAATCCCAGCACTTTGCGAGGCCAAGGTGGGTGGATCACGAGGTCAGGAGATTGAGACCATCCTGGCTAACATGGTGAAACCTCATCTCTACTAAAAATACAAAAAAATTGGGCCAGGTGTGGTGGCTCACGCCTGTAATCCCAGCACTTTGGGAGGCCGAGGCGGGCAGATCACAAGGTCAGGAGTTCAAGACTAGCCTGGCCAAAATGGTGAAACCCTGTCTCCACTAAAAATACAAAAATTAGCTGGGCTTGGTGATGGGTGCCTGTAATTGCAGCTACTTGGGAGGCTGAGGCAGTGAATTGCTTGAACCCCGGAGGTGGAGGTTGCAGTGAGCCAAGATCACGCCACTGCACTCCAGCCTGGGCGACAGAGCGAGACTCCGTCTCAAAAAGAAAAAAAAGAAAAAAAGAAAAAAAAAAGAAAAAAATTAGCTGGGCATGGTGGCGGGTGCCTGTAGTCCCAGCTACTTGGGAGGCTGAGGCAGGAGAATCGCTTGAACCCTGGAGGTGGAGCTTGCAGTGAGCCGAGATTGCGCCACTGCACTCTAGCCTAGGTGACAGAGCAAGACTGTCTCAAGAAAAAAAAAAATGAGTGGCATTATAATTCTCTATTTCAAAGTCTCTACATGGATTTTAAGAAAATTATTTTACCATGTGACAGCCAAAAATTCAAAATTTGATCCAAATCTTTCCTTATACTATACTCATTATAAATGTTTATACAAAGTAAAAGTATATAAGTACACAGGCCAAAGAGAATTACAAATAAAGGTAGGCAATAACCTGTCTGCAAACACCCATATACCACTCCCTGCTCAAGAAGTGGAGTCTATTCCACAATCCTGTTGAATCCCACGGTGGCCTCTCACTGCTCTGACCAATGGAATGTGGCAGAAGTAAGGCTGTGCCAATTCCAGGCCTAGGCTTTAAGAGGGCTAGCAGTTTCTGCTTCCTGCTTCTTAGAGCCCCCAGGTGCCACATAATAAGTATGAGATACTCTGATGAAATGAAAGGCCACATGAAGAGGACCGAGGCACCAGACCTGTGTGAGAAGAAGCCATTTTGAACATCTAGCCAGACCAGAGAGATCCCAACTCCAGTGCCCCCACAGAACTTTACAAGGTGGCTTGTTTTTTTAAAGCCACTAATTTTAGGATGAACTATAATGTAGCAATAGATAACTAAAGCACTTGCCTAGGGTTACTCCATCAGGAAACTCATCTTGAAGATCAAAAAGTTCCCCAAATGCATTAAGGAACTCCAAAACCATCAGAGCATCACCAAAGATTTCAGGAGGTAGTCTAGTTTTCACTGGTGTTGGTTCTGGAAGTTCCTGAAATATTGAACAATTTATATAACTATTTGAACCAAGAGCAGGAAAACTTAAAAGGCAGAGATGACATACTTTTTACCTAACTATTAAGAAGTATTATTTGTAAGCTACTGGTTCTCAACCCTTGCTGTTTATCACAATCACCTTTGAAACTTCTAAAATTATAGATGTCCTGAACTTGTTCCAACTTTACTAAATCACAGTTCCTGACAAGGGACCGGGAGAAAGGAACATTTTCTTCCTTATACTAAGAACATAACTTTAGGCTGAGTGTATTTCTGACTATATTTCCTAGTAAGAGTCTCTTAACCCACATTCTGAAGTCAAATCAGCTGTGAAATACTACCTTCAATGTAGTAGCTCCTTATGATTTGGAACATAATTAATCTACCATCTACTAATTTTGATTTACTGAAATTATTCTTTATAAGCCAAGTTGAATGAGTTTGATTTGGACACTTTGGCCATTTCTGGAAATAGGCAGAATCCTTACCTAGCAATCAAGCTAAATGCATGCCTGGCTACAGTGGTTTTTGGATTATTAAGGATCACACAAACTGACCTATTATTTCTACAGAATAAGAATCATTATCAAAGCTGATTATAAAACACTAACAATGCTACCTTGGAATTCTAAGTGTGAACATTTGCTTAACTAGCTATTTCCTCTCGGTTAAATATAAAGAGAAGAGGCTGCTATTAAATAAGAATGATTTCATCAGCAAAGCCACATAGGACATGTAAAACCTATGTGTGCTAAACATCACATAACATGTTTATACCTTAAGGTCATCACATTCCATATCTTCTCTAGGTTTACTCCACTGTTTTAAGTATTCCACATACTTTCGCTTTTCTTCACGTAACTTCTCTCTTTCCTAGAAATTTTTAAAAGTTAATAACAATTCATGTAAGAAATTTATATGGCAGCATCGGCATCTCCTGAGAACTTGTTAGAAATGCAAATACTTGGACCTTACCCCATACCTACTGAAGCAGTAACTCTGAGGTTAGGACTTAGCAACTGGTGTTCTAGCAAGCCCTTCTGGTGGTTTTTAATACACGCTAAAGTTTTAGAACCACTGATCAAAATAATACCTATCAAAATAATACTATAAAGACTGAAAATGGGCCGAGTGCAGTGGCTCACACATGTAATCCCAGCACTTTGGGAGTCAGAGTCAGGTGGATTACTTGACGTCAGAAGTTTGAGACCAGCCTGGCCAAAATGGCGAAACTCCATCTCTACTAAAAATACAAACACATATACATATACATACACACACACACACACACACACACACATATATGCATGCTGAGCGTGGTGGCATGCACCTGTTGTTCCAGCTACTCAGGAGGCTGAGGCAGAAGAAGCCTTGAACCCGGGAGGAGAGGGTTGGGGTGAACTGAGATCACACCACTGCACTCCCGCCTGGGCAGCTCTTGAATAAATATTAATTTAATCTGACTTGATCTATAGCTTTCCCTCTACTTCCTATCAATAAGATCCTAGCAAAATAAATTATTAGACTGCCTAAAATGAAACTTCCCCTTATGTTTGTAATAAATTTGTCATTTTCAAGATTCATTTGAATCTGATAACAGCCTAGAGATACAAAGAGGGAACAATAATTAAAAGCAACAATATTAGAATAGATGGACTTATTTCTTATAATTCAGGCTATTTCTCTTACTCGGTCTTTTGAAACCCTTACTTTTTGATTCTGGTGTTTGAAATTGCAAGATAAATATTAACTGCTAAATGTCTCTAATAAAACAGTGTAAATCAAATATTTTACTATTTTTTCCAGTAAGTATACTTAATATGTTATTATTCTCTTCTTTGAAATTTAGTAAGAACAGAGGTTAACAGATGTGCACTTATCAAATTTTCAACATAAAACGCCTAGATAGTTACGGAACTTGCTGTAACTTGAATAGTCTGCTTAAATAAATTATCCACCCCCAACCTCAGAAATAATTCTTATAGGATCAAATAAGGTTAACATTCTAATTCATTGTTGCTAACAGTGTAAATAAGCACATGCTTGGGAAATACTTAGTTATGTGTATGTATAGAAAGTTTTAAAAATATTCTTAATCTTTGATTTATTCTACTTCTACAAATTTATCCTGGGACATAGTCCAAAAAAAAAGACTTTATTCAGAAATTTGAACACAGCAGTATTATTTAAAGCACTTAGCTATGACTATTTAATGAGTTATGCAGTCATTAAAAATTCCACTTAAGATTATTTAATAACATGAAAGAATGTTTATGATCATGTTAGATAAAAAAAGCATATAAAACTTTAAATGGTGAGTGATCTGTTTTTTTAAGGCAGAGGATAAAGACTAGAAATAAACAAATCAAAGTGTTAATTCTCTCTGGCCAGGTGCGGTGGCTCATGCCTGTAATCCTAGCACTTTGGGAGGTCGAGGCGGGCAGATCACTTGAGGTCAGGAGTTTGAGACCAGCCTGGCCAACATGGTGAAACCCATCTCTACTAAAAATACAAAAATTAGCCAGGCGTGGTGGTGGGCACTTCTAGTCCCAGCCACTCGGGAGGCTGAGGCAGGAGAATTGCTTGAATCTGGGAGGCAGAGGTTGCAGTGAACCCAGATCAAGCCACTGCACTTCAGCCTGAGCAACAGAGTGACACTCCATCTCAAAAAAAAAAGTGTTAATTCTATCTCTAATGTTACCATCAGATTTCTGGTGATTTTTCTGTCCTCTATGTTTTCTGGAGTAAACTTATATTAGACTTCCTGCACCACCTTCATGGCCTATTTGACAAACATCTGGTTTCCGTTCCAAGACGGCCGGTCCAGTCTGCAGCTCCCAGCGTGATCAATGCAGAAGACGGTGATTTCTGCATTTCCAACTGAGGTACCTGGTTCATCTCATTGGGACTGGTGCCCATGGAGGGCGAGCCGAAGCAGGGCGAGCCAAAGCAGGGCGGGCCGAAGCAGGGCGGGCATCGCCTCACCCGGGAAGTGCAAGGGGTCAGGGGATTTTCCTTTCCTAGCCAAGGGGAGCCTTGACAGACTGCACCTGGAAAATCGGGACACTCCTGCCCAAATACTGCGCTTTTCCAACAGTCTTAACAAACAGCACACCAGCAGATTATATCCCGTGCCTGGCTCAGCGGGTCCCATGCCCACAAAGCCTTGCTCACTGCTAGTGCAGCAGTCTGAGATCGACCTGCGAGGCAGTAGCCTGGCAGGGGGAGGGGGCGTCCGCCACTGCTGAGGGGCGTGTCCGCCATTGCTGAGGCTTGAGTAGGTAAACAAAGCTGCTGGGAAAGCTCAAACTGGGCGGAGCCCACCGCAGCTCTGAAAGGCCTGCTGCGTCTGTAGACCACACCGCTGGGGGCAGGGTGTAGCTGAACAAAAGACAGCAGAAATTTCTACAGACTTAAACATCCCTGTCTGGCAGCTCCTAGCATGGTTTTTGAACTCTGAGAACAGAGAGACTGTCTCCTCAAGTGGGTCCCTGACCCCTGTGCAGCCTAACTGGGAGACACCTCCCAGTAGGGGCCAACTGACACATCATATGGGTAGGTGCCCCTCTGGGACAAAGCTTCCAAAGGAAGGATAAGGCAGCAATATGTGCTGTTCTGCAATATTTGCTGTTCTGCAGGCTCCACTGGTGATACCCAGGCAACCTCATCAAAAAATGAGCGAAGGACATGAACAGACACTTCTCAAAAGAAGACATTTATGCAGCCAAAAGACACATGAAAAAATGCTCATCACTGGTCATCAGAGAAATGCAAATCAAAACCATAATGAGATACCATCTCACAGCAGTTAGAATGGCAATCATTAAAAAGTCAGGAAACAACAGATGCTGGAGAAGATGTGGAGAAATAGGAATGCTTTTACACCGTTGGCTGGAGTGTAAACTAGTTCAACCATTGTGGAAGACAGTGTGGCGATTCCTCAAGGATCTAGAACCAGAAGTACCATTTGACCCAGCGATCCCATTACTGGGTATATACCCAAAGGATTATAAATCATTCTACTATAAAGTCACATGCACACATATGTTTATTGTGGCACTATTCACAATAGCAAAGACTTGGAACCAACTCAAATGTCCATCAATGATAGACTGAATTAAGAAAATGTGGTGCATATACACCATGGAATACTATGCAGCCACAAAAAAGGATGAGTTCATGTCCTTTGCAGGGACATGAATGAAGCTGGAAACCATCATTCTCAGCAAACTATCACAAGGACAGAAAACCAAACACCGCATGTTCTCACTCATAGGTGGGACTTGAACAATGAGAACACTTGGACACAGGATGGGGAATATCATACACCAGGGCCTGTTGTGGGGTGGGGGGAGGGGGGAGGGATAGCATTAAGAGAAATACCTAATGTAAATGATGAGTTAATGGGTGCAGCAAATGAACATGGCACATGTATACCTATGTAACAAACCTGCACATTGTGCACAGGTACCCTAGAACTTAAAGTATAATTAAAAAACAAAATTCAAGGGAGACGATAGACAACTAAAATGAGCACAGAGCATGTAATATGATCCTCTAAGGCTACTTGTGAATATCCCAAGAAATCTCTGAAAATGGCTGACTTTGGAGGAAACCAGCTATAGAATTCTCTAAGGAATATGTATCACTGGAAACCACAATCAAAGATTTGCTGAAACACTATTATTACACCTTATTTTTCAAGTAGGATAAGAACATTATTCATTTTTTTTTTTTGAGACGGAGTCTTGTTCTGTTGCCCAGGCTGGCGTGCAGTGGCGTGATCTTGGCTCACTGTAACCTCCACCTCCCATGTTCAAGCGATTCTCCTGCCTCAGCCTCCTTCGTAGTTGGGATTACAGGCGCATACTACCATGCCCGGCTAAGTTTTGTATTTTTAGTAGAGATGGGGTTTCACCGTCCTGGCCAGGCTGGTCTCGAACTCCTGACCTCATGATCTGCCTGCCTTGGCCTCCCAAAGTGCTGGGATTACAGGTGTGAGCCACTGCACCCGGCCTATTTTATTTTTCAAACTGCGTATTTTACCTCTTAAAGGTTTACATATAAACTTTTACATATATCATCTTCCCTAAATTTGGAAATCTAAACAATGAAATCATTTAGAACTGCATTCTAAAAGAGGTTTTAAGTGATGCGTAAAGGCATGTTAAATTTTCCAAAGCAAAAGGGAGATAAACCAATCAACTTTCTATGCACATTCATAAATGTGAATGAAAGTAGTAAAAGCATTTAAAAATCAACCATGGATGTAGATATGTAAAGTAGTATTACTATATGTAGAGAGTATAGCTAATATACTCAAATGAATACCTTTTCTCTTTCTACTTTAAGCCTCTCTTTTTCTTCTTTTTTCTTTAGTCTCTCTTCTTCAACAATTTTTTTCAATTCTTCCCTCTTTTTCTCTTTATCTTCTTTTTCTTTTTTCTTCGCTTCTAGGGCATCTGCTTTTTCTCTTTTTAATTTAGCCTTTTCAAAAGCTGTGAAGAAAAATCAAACTTAGAACTATATATATAGACAAAATAACACTTGGCAATTTTTTTGATGTAACAACAGAATCCTTGAAATAATTTAAAGTTAAATGAGATTAGTAGAGACTCTTAAAATTCCTACAGGGAGCCAGCAGATTATTAAAACAGGAAAAGCAAATTGGCTAAGTTTATGACAAACTACAGTACTGGGACAAACATATCTGTGCCTTTGAAAGCCCTAATACCCAAAGTGTGATCTGAAGACCAGCAGCAAGGTTATCATCACCTTGTTAAAAAATGCAGAATCTCATTCCCCCACCAGACCTACTAATTTAGAATCTTCATCATTTTGACAAGATCCCCAAGTGATTCATATGTACATTCAAGTTTGGGAAGCAATGTTTTAAAAGGCTGTGTGAATCAAACAAAATAGCCCCAGTTTGTAAGCCCTGGAAACTCAAACTTCTGCTTAATCTAGCACTAAGCAATTTAATAGGGAATATGCAAGACCATGAAATTTAAAGAGATGAAGCGGTCTTATTTATAAAACAAGCAAACAAACAAATAAACAATAGTTATCTGATAGAAAAAATAACTGCACTTCAAAACAATTAACCAGAAACATGCCATTTCGGAAACATCCCCCACTCAGGCACAGAGAAATATTCTTTCTTATTCCTAATTAGCTTTTGGAAACAATGTTAAAACTCACCCAGTGACTTCATTTCTTCTTGTTTCAAAAGTTTATCTCTTTCTTTAGTAGCTTTGCTCCTATAACTTGCAAGAGTCTGTTTATTAGCAACATTGTCCTCCTAAAAAACAAACCAAAATAGTATGCCTGGTTCTTATAGTAAGAATAAAAAGCAAAAAATTTAAAACTCTCACCAATTACACTTTCTTTATACTAAAATGATTTTTTTATTTTTTTGAGACAAAGTCTCGCTCTATCCCCCAGGCTGGAGTGCAGTGGTGTGATCTCGGCTCACTGCAACCTCTGCCTCCTGGGCTCAAGTGATTCTTCTCCCTCAGCCTCTCGAGTAGCTGGGATTACAGGCATGTGCCACCACACCTGGCTAATTTTTTTTTGTATTTTTAGTAGATACAGGGTTTTGCCATGTTGGCCAGGCTGGTCTTGAACTCCTGACCTCAAGTGGGCTACTCACCTCAGCCTCCCAAAGTACTGGGATTACAGGTGTGAGCCACTGTGCCCAGTCTAAAATGAGTTTTTATTCTAAAGTATAATTGGGCCGGGCACAGTGGCTCATGCCTGTGATCCTAGCATTTTGGGAAGCCACGGCGGGTAGAATACTTGAGGTCGGGCGTTTGAGAGCAGCCTGGCCAACATGGTGAAACCCCATCTCTATTAAAAATGCAAAAATTAGCTGGGCGTGGTGGCATGCACCGGCAGCCCCAGCTACTCAGGAGGCTGAGGCAGAACTGCTTGAACCCAGGAGGTGGAGGTTGCAGTGAGCCAAGATCGTGCCACTGCACTCCAGCATGGGTGACAGAGTGAGACTCCATCTCAAAAAAAAAAAAAAAAGTGTTACTGAACTGTTAATAACTCTAATCTTAGTAATAAACAGAACATGAGTTAACTCTGTAGCTCTATAAATTATTACAAGAATATCTCAGGAAAAACTGGTAATATATAGAAAGATCCTTAAAAATGCATTAGAAAAACAAACTCTCAGCTTACTTTATAAACTAGATGGTGTAAATATCAAATATAAAAGATGCAGAAAAAAGACATACCAGAAAAATTCTTGTGGCCAATGTCAAATTTTATTTTTATTTTATTTCTTCTAAGAATGTCTCTAACCTAATTAATTTGTGTAGTTTTTTGTTTTGTTTTGTTTTGTTTTTAAGATGGAGTCTTGGCTTTGTTGTCCAGGCTAAAGTGCAATGTGGCATGATCTGGGCTCACAGCAACCTCAGCCTCTGTCTGCCTCCCGGGTTTGAGCAATTCTCGTGCCTCAGGCTCCTGTATTTTTAGTAGAGACAGAGTTTTGCCATGTTGTCCAGGCTAGTCTAGAACTCCAAGACTCAAATGTCCACCCACCTCAGCCTCCCAAAGTACTGGGATTACAGGCAAGAGCCACTGTGCCCGGCTGCATTATTGCTTTTTTAAAGCCCCCTATAGCTTCTTCCTGTCAGAATTTATTGCTCTTTATTCTACACTTCAATCCCATAGTTTATTCCCTGCTTTACATTTCAGTAATTGCTTATGTGCTTGCTTCCACTTTGGTATAGAATCCTTGTGGTATGAAAGTCATATCTAATTCACACCTGAAACTTCTACAAGCCTCATTGCTGAGCAGTTATCAACATATAGTACACACTTACATACTTTTTGGTGAGGTAATGAGTTTCTTCCTCTAGGCTATGGATGTGAGGGGAGACAAACATACTTCTTGATTCTGAATACTGTTTTACTAACAGTGAAAATGTAGTTTTAATCAATTCTGTACTTACTTGACTAATATGTATTCGTTTGGGAGGTCTCCCTCTTCGTCTGTTAGCAGGACTGAAGATAAATGTGGGTGGATCATCAGGGAAGAAATAAGAAAAATCTTGTTCTGCTATTTTATACGTTGAAAGAGATGATGCCTTAATAAAACAAAGACATAGGGTACAATAATAACACATTAGTAAACAACATACAGATATGCCCTAACATGTCATATGGCCACTATTAATGCTGTTAAAAGATCAGGATAGGCTGGGCACAGTGGCTCATGCCTGTAATCCCAGCACTTTGGGAGGCCGAGGCGGGCGGATCATGAGGTCAAGAGATCGAGACCATCCTGCCCAATATGGTGAAACCCCATCTCTACTAAAAATACAAAAATTAGCTGGGTGTGGTGGCACACGTCTGTAGTCCCAGGTACTCGGGAGGCTGAGGCAGGAGAATCACTTGAATCTGGGAGGTGGAGGTTACAGTGAGCAGAGATCGTGCCACTGCACTCCAGCCTGGTGACAGAGTAAGACTCCATCTCAGGAAAAAAAAAAAAAAAAAAGATAAGGATAAAAACATTAGAATTTTATGCATTATTGTGTAGTAAAATACATTTTAGTTGGTTTAACCAATCCTTTTTCCACTATATAATTAATTAGCCTTACCAAAAAGAAAACCACAATTCAAAGATTACAATAAAATACCTCAAGAATGGTTGTACAGTTTCTTGTATTTCAAAATTACATATATATTATACAATAATTTGTTTTGCTTTGACAAATTTTGTGAGATTTTCTACATAAATGAATCAATCTATGTAAATGAATAATCAATCCATATATTTAACATTAAAAATCTACTGTATTAACCTGATAAATTTTTCTTAACCATTTGCCAACTGCTGAACATTTATTTAGATTTTCCTCCCAGGGTAGAGTAATAACTTAACTACTTAATATATCAAATTTCCCATTACATCCCTCTAGTCTTGATAAAAGCAGAAATACTTGCAAATTCCTATAAAGTTTAAACAAAGAATTTAAGTTCAGAAGTCAAACTCATTCTTGCCAGAAATGGTGTGGTTCTAGAATAATTATTAAATCCAAGAGTTTATCTCCTTTTACCTTGTATCTAGAATTTGTTTGCCTTTTAAAGTTTTTTTAATTTTATTTACGTATTTATTTATTTTGAGACAGAATCTTGCTCTGTCATCCTGGCTGAAGTGTAGTGGCATGATCTCGGCTCACTGCAACTTCTGCCTCCTAGGTTCAAGTGATTCTCCTGCCTCAGTCTCCGGAGTAGCTGAGATTACAGGTGCGTGCCACCACATCTGGCTAATTTTTGTATTTTTAGTAGAGACAGGGTCTCACCATGTTGGCCAGGCTGGTCTCGAACTCCTGACCTCAAGTGATCTGCCCGCCTTGGCCTCCCAAAGTGCTGGGATTATAGGCATAAGCCACTGCGCCCAGTCTTGCTTACCTTTTATCCATGTGCAACCCTAGACTTTTTGTTATTTTTGACCTAATGGCCAAGATCATCATTCTTCCTCTCAAACAAGTGAACAAAAGCAAGTGCCATTTACTGAAATACCTTTCAGGAAATGTGTGAGAAAATAATGACACAAAATACAAAAAGTTAACAAAACAGAAAAGGGTATTTTGTGTATAATTATTTTTGTAGGTAGAGCACAGCTTTAAACACCTGGAATTCCACCAGTTCTGGCCATGATAATAAATCAAGAATCTATCAAAATTTCCCATTAAAGAAGATTTCATTAAAATAATCATATTCCATCCCATATAACCTCAGAATTATGTGGGGTAACAGGATTATCTACAGAATAGAATTATGTAATTGTCTACAGAATTGCACCTTAAATATGAAATAAAGCACATGGGTGGTTTCTTCTCAAATATCACACTCATAAAGGCCAAAATACGTTTTAGTACATTAATTGCCAAAGTTCCTTATTCATACACACAATACACAAAACCCACATCTTTGTGTACTTGTAGGTACTCCTAACAGCAGTCTATGCTCACCAAAACTGGTTATCAAACTTTGTGTGCTTGCTCACAAAGGGCTGTGCTGATATAATTTGGCTCTGTGTCCTCATCCAGATCTCATGTGGAATTGTACTCCCCAGTGTTAAAGGGCAGGCCTGGTAGGAGGTGACTGAATCATGGAGCAGGCTTCCCCCTTGCTGTTCATGAGATCTGGTTGTTTGAATGTAGCACCTCCCACTTCACGCTGTCTCCTGCCAGCCATGTGAAGATGTGCTTGCTTTCCGCCATGATTGTAGGTTTCCTGAGGCCTCCCCAGAAGCAGAAGACTGTACAGCCCACAAAACTGTGAGCCGATTAAACCTCTTTTCTTTATGAATTACCCAGTCTCAGGTATGTCTTTATAGCAGTGTGAGAATGGATTAATACACCAGCATATCCATTAATAATCTTCTATTACACTCTAAGTGAAAAATGTTTATTGTGACCTTAATTCCCATTTATTTATTAAGTTGAGCTTCTTTCCATGTTCATTGACTTTTTCCTTGGTGAAATATTTGCTGATGTCTTTCATCACCATTTTCCAGTTGGGTCATCTTTGCTCATTGATGTGTAAGAAATCTTTGCAAATTAGAGGAATTGGCCAACTGGGTGTTTACAATATACATATACAACTATTCACATATATCGATTGCCTACCACGTGTCAGGCACTGTTCTAGCCATTTATTGCAAGTATCTAAATCATTAAAACTTTTTGTAAGCATCATTTAATATGGCTGCCTGATAATGCTATAGACAGAGCATAATTGAATCTTATCAAGGCAGATACATAAATATGCTCACATTTTTAAAAAATTATTTTTCAGATGACGCTATCTTACGTTTTCAAGTTTTTATATTTCATCCACGGTGAATTTTAGTCATATCTATTTGACCATTTTCCTACTGGGGTGCTTATGTTTCTCTAGTTAATTTGCGTTCTTCATTGTATTTACTCAAGGTATTTTTCCCCCAGCGCTTGCCCTTGAAATCTACACATGACTTTTTTTTTTTTTTTCCCTTAGACGGAGTCTCCTGTTGCCCAGGCTGGAGTGCAGTGGCGCAATCTTGGCTCACTTATTCATGACATTTTAAAACCTATGTTTATGCTCAATCTCATCCTTGGTATTTTTTTTTCTATTTCTCCTAAGTACCTCATCATGTTTAACATTAAAATTTGTTTCATTTCTTTTGAGTTAGATTTAACTTTATTATTCCAATAGTTAACCAAGTGTCCATTTTTATTTATCAGTCTTGCCTCTAGAGACCTGAAATGTTAACTTTTCGCATAAACTCATTCTTTTTTTTAAAGTTTCTCTTCTTTTTAAACATTTATATACAGTGAAATGCACAAATCTAACACATGCAGGAGCTGATTTGTGACAAATGCATACATCTCTCTAACCCATGCTACTGCCTTTTTAAACTTTTATTTTAAGTTCAGGGGTGCATTTGCAGGTTTGTTACATAGTTAACGTGTCATGGGGGTTCTGTTGTGCAGATTACTTTATCACCCAGGTTTTAAGCACGTGCCCATTAGTTATTTTTTCCCATCCTCTCCCTCCTCCCACCTTCTGATAGGCTGAAATCCCAGGCTCAAGTGATCCTCCCACCTCAGCCTTCGGAGTAGCTGGGACCACAGGCATGAGGCTCCATTCTATTGCTTTTTTCACTTAGTGTGTCTTTATCCCAATAAAAGTTGAATATTTTGCATTTTAAAAAATTACTTTGAGTTTTACCATTTAACTTTTTATTTAGTGTGCAATGTGAAATCTCTAAAACTTGACTTTTTCCTCTCTTAATGGTTATAGACAAAATATAATCTGTCTGCTTAGTATTAGCATGATACTTTTTATTTTTATTTATTATTATTATTATATTATTTTGAGACAGGGTCTCACTCTGTTGTCCAGGCTGGAGTGCAGTGATACAATCACAGCTCACAGCAGCCTTGACCTCTCCAGGCTCAGGTGATCCTTTTACCTCAGCTTCCTAAGTAGCTGGGACTACAGTTACCCACCACCACACCCAGCTAATTTTTCTAATTTTTGTAGATACAGGGTTTGCCATGTTTCCCAGGCTGGTCTCCAGGCTGGTCTCCTGGGCTCAAGCAGTATGTACACTTTGGCCTCGTGAAGTGCAAGGATTACAGGAGTAAGTCACGGTGCCCAGCCAATGCTCTTTTTATTATACATTGTTCTCTTATCTAGTAGGCTCTGTTTAGCATTGTTCTTTGAATCTGTCTATTCTTTGTAAGCGAGAACCACACTATAGGTATTAGGAAGCTATAGTTGCCCCACCTGATAACTTTTCTTTTTCCAAATTTTCTATTTTCACCTGTCCTTGTTGATCTTTTTTGTAAGTGGCAGTAACTGAACCACCTAGCGATTCCAGCAATTTTAGAAATAGTAATTAATCCAATATTTTTCAGAAGTACTAAAAATTGGCTCCAGATTAAAAGAGAGCAATCTTTAATCATCTTTGAAATAACATTTCAGCAATGTTATAACTTTATAACACTACCCATTTTGTTTTCTGTCTTCCAACAAATAATTTCATTATTTGATTACCTTTATTTTAATGACTCCATCTTGTGGTTCACAGTGTTGCTTCAGAAAAAGCTTTAGTTTATCACGAGAAAATAGGTGTTTTCTCCGGCTACAGGAGGCAAGGAAGTCAAAGAGGGGTAGTGTTAGCATCAAAGAGTTCAACCCCAACTCCATAATCTCTGTAAATTTGTAACCTGAATTTCAGAAAGCCTAGGAATCAAAGGACACACTTCATCTTCTAACAGTATTTATGTAGAAGTTACAAGAAACTTTTACAGAGGTATTTATTAGGAAGTTATAAGATCTACATGAGTGAATCTATTATAAAAAGTCTATTACAAAAACAGCAATATGCATTTGTTGTTTAGGGGCCACTGAGAAAACAAACTTCAAGAGCCGGGCGCAGTGGCTCACGCCTGTAATCCCAGCACTTTGCGAGGCCGAGGCGGGTGGATGACGAGGTCAGGAGATCAAGACAATCCTGGCTAACACGGTGAAACCCTGTCTCTACTAAAAATACAAAAAATTAGCAGGGTGTGGTGGCGCGTGCCTGTAGTCCCAGCTACTCGGGAGGCTGAGGCAGGAGAACAGCATGAACACAGGAGGCAGTGAGCCAAGATCACACCAGTGCACTCCAGCCTGGGCGACAGAGCAAGACTCTGTCTCAAAAAAAAAGAAAATAAACTTTAAGGAAAATATGCTATAGAGAGTAAATCAAATTTTATAAAATTAGATTACCCCTACAAGTATAACCATTAAAATTCTCTTAAAAATTAAAATCAGGCCAGGCACAGTGGCTCACACCTGTAATCCCAGCACTTTGGGAGGCTGAGGAGGGTGGATCACTTGAGGTCAGGAGTTCGAGACCAGCCTGGCCAACATGGTGAAACCCCATCTCTACTAAAAATACAAAAAAAATTAGCTGGGCGGTAGTGGCACATGCCTGTAATCCCAGCTACTCAGGAGGCTTAGGGTGGAGAATCGCTTGAGCCTGGGAGGCCGAGGGTGCAGTGAGCCGAGATCGTGCTGCTGCACTCTAGTCTCGGAGACAGAGTGAGACTCTGTCTCAAAAAAACAAAGCAAAACAAAACAAAAAAAATTAAAATCAGTAGACTACCAGAAATCGTATTAAGTGCTGCAAATCAATATTCAAGTGGATATTGTAAACAAAATTGAACATAGCTTGTATCAAATTTTAAAACATTTTGTATTTAAATCTCATGACAACCAGCAAATTAGTGGGATGAAAATTAAAAGAGGCTTAAAATTAATATTCTAAAACATACTGTTTTTTATTCTCCCTTGCCCCCCAATTAAAAACAACCACAAGAGTACCAAACACCACCACAAACAAAACAAAACCAATAGAAAAGAAATAGAAGTATTTTTGGGAAAAAGTAAATGTTTTAATTGAGTTCAATATATTCCTTTCAAGAAAAAGCCGTTAAAAGCTCCTATAAGTGAATAAACAATATATGATTTTTAAGTAGTGGCCTTCCCAAAAATGTATACAGTTAGCCCTCCATATCCTTAGATCAAAAGTATTTGGAGAAAATAAAAACTGCATCTGTACTAAACATGTGCAGACTTTTTTTGTTGTCAGTATTCCCTAAACAATACAGTATAACAATGATTTACACTTCATTTACATTGTATTAGGTATTATAAGTAATCTGGAGATGATTTAAAGTATATGGGAAGATGTGTGTAGGTTAAATGCAAATACTACACCATTTTATGAAACTTGAACATTCAAAGATTTCCCTCCCACACAGATAACCAAGGATGACTATATTCTTTTCCTAGACTTAAAGCTCCATGAGAACAAGGACTCTGCTACATCTCTGCAAGCTGGTAAAGAGAAGGTAATTACTTGTTGACTACTGAAGAAACTAGTCCTGAAGGACTTCATTAGTTTACATGGTAGCTACCAGCCACATATTGTTTATTTATAAATAAAATTAAAAACTCAGTTCCCTCATTCTTTCTAGCTACATTTCAAATGCTCAATAGTGACACATGGCTGTTGGACAGCATACATGTAACATTTCCATTATAAAAGAAAGTTCTACTTGTCAATGCTACTCTAGCATATCAAGTCTTCTTCTTTATTAGAGGAATATTACCATCTCTTTATTTAAAAAAAAGTATTGTACTATTTTTTGATGCTAACAAAGAGCTATAAGTCACTTAAGTCTTTTATTATGAAGTATAACTTTCTCACCTTGTAATTCTTTGGCTTACCAATTAGGAAGAAAATGAGCTAACCAAGGCTGTAACCATGGCCTAGCAGAATAATTATATTTAAAGTATAAGTCAAAAAGTAAATAGAAAAATGAAAAATATTAAATAGGGAATTACATTATGTAAATAACATATCCTGAACTAAAGGCAAAAGAAAAAAACTCAACTGTGAATAAGGAAAATATCTGTAGTCTCAACAATTGCTATTCATTAGCCCATAAACTAAACAAATTTTTAGAAGTTTGAATAATCAAACATTAGTTTTAGAATATTATTTTTGAATATAAAGTAAAATGTAGAATGCTCTAGAGATCTTAAACTAATGATGAGCCCCCCAAAACCAACCAACCAACAAACCACACACACCTCAATACAGCCACAGAAAGTGATATATCTATCTCAGGATTCTCTTAATACTTATATTATTATCACTTTCGTTTGGATACATGAATATATATGGAACAAAAGGGATGAGAACATAAGCAAAAATTATTTTACACTAAATGAAATACAAGACTGACTCCTAGGTGGCAGGTTGATAGCTGGCTGATATCATCTTGCTTTCAGATGACTAAGAGCCTAAACCCAACAGACAACAATAGGGATTTTCCTAAAATATATCTGTATAACCTAAAGCCAGTTCTTTTACGTATTAACTACTCACTAAAGCAACTTCTTACATTAACTTCTGTCTCCTTTGATTAGGCCTCAAACAGGAACTTTTTAAAGATACTCATTTTTTATGATTTAACTTTCTTAATGAATAGGAAAAAACTGATCAAATGTTTGTCTAATGAATACTACAAACGTGACGTTTATAAGCACCTTTATTAACATTAAAAATTGAGTTATCTCATGAAAAGTACTTCATAAATAGGACCCTTTTTAATTCTTTAGATAGAAGACTATTTGGGGTTAGTCATCTAAACAAATGGCTCAATAAGTCCATTAGGATTTTTTTTTTTTAATAGAGACAGGGTCTTGCCACGTAGTCCAGGCTGGTCCTGAACTCCTGGCCTCAAGTGATCCTCCTGGCTTGGCCTGTCAAAGTGCTAGGATTACAGACATGAGCTACTGCACCTGGCCTCCATCAGGATTCTTAGGATTTATTTTAATCAGTCTATGAACATATAAATGTACATTTATTTTTAAGAAGGAAAGCAATCACAGTACTTCCCATTTGTTCTACATCAGACCTTCTTAATCTAACATACATAATTATTCTACTTTAAACTACTATTGAGAAGATAGTGAGTTTTACCTGATTTGTGTTGCTTTAACAATAGCAGACTCATGTAATTCTTTTTTAGTGGGTTGCACTTTATACTTGAATAGTAAGGGATCAATTGCATCTTTTTTCTTCCTAAAAAGAAGAGGGAAAAGACACAAATCAGTTAATAATTTGGAAAATGAAATTTTAAATGAAAACCTAGTTTCTAAGAATATACTATAATAAAATCACATATTTCAAAATTTTTTTTTGTTTTTGAGATGGAGTCTCACTCTTGTTGCCCAGGCTGGAATGCAATGGTGCAGTCTCAGCTCACTGCAACCTCCGCCTCCTGGGTTCAAACTATTCTCCTGCCTCAACCTCTTAAGTAGCTGGGATACAGGCATGCACCACCATGCCCAGTTAATTTTGTATTTTTGGTAGAGGTAGCGTTTCACCATTGGTCAGGCTGGTCTCGAACTACTGACCTCAGGTGATCTGCCTACCTTGGCCTCCCAAAGTGCAGGGATTACAGGCATGAGACACTGTGCTTGGCCACATATTTCAAAATTTTAAAATTTTATTTTTTTTTTAAGAGACAGAGTCTCGCCTTGTCACCCAGGCTGGAGTGCAATGGAATCATCAAAGCTGAGTGCAGCCTCAAACTCCTGGCCCCCAGAGATCCTCCTACCTTGGCGTCCCAAAGTGTTGGCATTACAGGCATGAGCCACTGTACATGGCCATGCATTTTTACTTTAACTGGGGTTTTATAAGTTACTGATCCCTGCCTCCACCATTCTATTAGCCAAAACAGAAAAAAGCACTATTTTGTTTTAGGTAGGTATTTTAGCTACTCATTCACTACATTTTCTTTGGGTGAAGAAAGTAACTAGAGATGAAGCATAGACTACCCAGTTTAAAGAGTAAAAAATAAAAATAAAAAAAGTTCTTGGATTTGCTTTTAAACTTTATTTACAGCTATATAATCCAAGAATAAAAATGGAGACAATGTAGTTTAATTGACCAAGAGACTACACATTTAATCCCTACCCCCCACCAACTTCACATCTTTTCTTCCCTTTGAGGGTATTTATTTATTTATTCAATAGTTAAGAGCCCGCAATATGCCAGAAACTACTCTAAATAGTGAAGATTCAGCAGTCAACAAAATAGAAACAGTGACGAGATACAGGCAAACAAAAACACATACAACAGGAGAAGTGATAAGTGCTATGAAGAGAACAGAGTGCAGGGTGGGGGAGCCATTATTTTATACAGATAGTGATCTCTGATAAGTTGACCGAGTATGCCTTCAAAGAGGTTGATATTTAAGCAGAGATCTGGGGGGGGAGGGGAACAAAAAAAAGGGAGCAACTCATGAAAAACCTTGGGGAAATGAATTTTTTAAAAAAGAGAAAAAAAGTAAAAACCCTGAGGTGGAAGGAGGCATGCACAATTTAGACAAGTAGCAGAATGAATAAGGAAAATGAAAGAAGATTCAGAGATGTAGCAGCAGTGCCAGATTATGAGACTTTGGATATTGAGTAGTCACTAGAGGATTTTTAATAATAAGGTGATAATGACTTAACTTACACTTCAGAAGGGTCACTCTGGCTGCTATGTGGAAAAGACACTCTGGGGAAGACACTCTGGGGCAAGAGTGTAAACAGGAATACCAGTTAGAAAGCTACTGAGAACTGATTGCAGCATGGACTTAAATGGAAGTAGCAGCAATAGAGAGAAGAGGTAGGATTCTGAAAATGCCACCTCTGTGAATGTAAAGAGGATGTAAGTGGGGGTTATAGAGAAGAGCAGAAAATGATATGGTAAGATGATTAAGAGAAGCATTGGCAATGAGAATAAGATATAAAGTTACATAAATATAGCACACATAAAGCAGGGAAAGTGTTTAACACAAAAGGGATATGATACAATTAAACAAGTAAAACTAGAGTATTTACCTACAATAGCATTAAATTCTAAGTTGGAAGGCCAAGTATCTTTACACTAAGACTCAGTATATACATAAAGCAGTAGATGTATTTAAATATGCACCTGTACTATATGGAGTATCTAGTATTTTCTATTCTATTAAAGTTTATTACCAAGTTAATTTCACAACCTACGTGGGGCCATAACAACCTGTGGTATGAAAAGCACTGTTCCAAGAGGACAGATCAAATAGAGAATTCTAAATGTAAAGAAAGAAGCACTGCTGGCCGGGTGTGATGGCTCACACCTGTAATTGCAGCACTTTGTGAGGCCAAGGCTTGTGGATCACTTGAGCTGAGGAGTTTGAGACCAACCTTGGCAACATGGGGAAACCTACAAAACACACACACACACACACACACAAAACCTAGTTGGATATGATGGCATGTGTGTGTGGTCCCAGCTACTTTGGAGGCTGAGATGGGAGGACCACTTGAGCCTGACTGGAGGCTTCAGTGAGTTGTGATTGTGTCGCTGCACTCCAGCCTGGGTGACAGAGCAAGACCCTGTCTCAAAAAACAAACAGGCTGGGCACAGTGGCTCACGCCTGTAATCCCAGCACTTTGGGAGGCCGAGGCAGGTGGATCACCTGAGGTCAGGAGTTGGAGACCAGCCTGGCTAACATGGTGAAACCCCGTTTCTACTAAAAATACAAAAAGTTAGCCAGGTGTGGTGGTGAGTGCCCGTAATCCGAGCTACTCAGGAGGCTGAGGCAGGAGAATCGCTTGAACTGGGAGGCAGAGGTTGCAGTGAGCCGAGATTGTGCCATTGCATTCCAGCTTGGGCAACAAGAGCGAAACTCCGTCTTCAAAATAATAATAACAATATGATCAAATAAAAAACAAACGAAGCAACGACAAGAGTTCTCAGTAACAAAATTTCAGCCAGGTGTGGTGGCTCACACCTGTAATCCCAGCACCTTGGGAGGCTGAGGCAGGCAGATCATGAGGTCATTAGTTTAGTTTGCGACTAGCCTGGCCAACATGGTGAAACCTCGTCTCTACTGAAAATACAAAAATTAGCCGGCCTTGGTGGCCTGCGCCTGTAGCCCCAGCTACTTAGGAGGCTGAGGCAGGAGAACTGCTTGAACCCAGAAGGCAGAGGTTGCAGTGAGCCGAGGTCGCACCACTGTACTCCAGCCTGGGCAACAGAGCAAGAGTCTGTATCAAAAAAAAAAAAAAGAAAGAAAATTTATTGAAATAAAGACAAGGAAAAACAAGTGAGTTTTAATGAATTAGCAGCAGTTTAAGAACAAGAAAATTATGTTAATACTTTTTGAATAGGTCTCAACTTAGCAACTAACCACTACCATTTTATAAGAGCTTGATCAAGTATATTAAGTTGTACTTAAAATTATTACCAGTGGCTATATCTAATTATGTTATAAATTTATATTTTACTATGCATTATATATTAACATATAAATATATTTTATATAACCAATTAAATACACAAAAAATCTTATTTCCCCCACATTTTAGTGAATTATAAAATAATATACTAACAGGAGAGAAAACCAAGATGTGAGTAGCAATTCCTAAAAATTTAGATTCTGAGTATTCAGATATTGGTATACAGTCTAGAAAACTTGTATATGGACCTTTTTTGGGGGAGACAGGGTCTCACTCGGTGGTCCAGGCTGGAATACAGTGGCGCAATCACGGCTCACTGCTGCTTCAACCTCCCAGGCTCAAGTGATCCTCCTATCTCAATCTCCCGGGTAGCTGGGTCTGCAGGCATGTGCCACCCATGCCCGGCTAATTTTTTGTATTTTTTTTTTGTAGAGACAGGGTTTCTCCACATTGCCCAGGGCTGGTTTAGAACTCCAGGGCTCAAGCAATGCTCCCACCTCAAGCCTCCCAAAGTGCTGGGATTACAGGTGTGAGCCACCGTACCAGACCTTATCTTTTTTTTTTTGAGACAGTTTTGCTCTTGTTGCCCAGGATGGAGTGCAATGGTGCGGTCTCGGCTCACTGCAACCTCCGTTTCCTGGGTTCAAGAGATTCTCCTGCCTCAGCCTCCCGAGTAGCTGGGATTACAGGTGCCCGCCACCACACCTAGCTAATTTTATGTATTTTTAGTAGAGACAGGGTTTCACTATGTTGGCCAGGCTGGTCTCGAACTCCTGACCTCAGGTAATCCACCCACCTTGGCCTCCCAAAGTGCTGGGATTACAGGCGTGAGCCACTGCGCCTGGCCACAGACTATATCTTAATGGATTTAAGGCTGTAAAATGTGCGAGTTTATATGTGCAAACAATTATCTTTTACTTTTCTTGCCGTACCATGAAATTCATTTGTGAAGATAAATAGAAATTTTTTTCTAATCAGTGAAAATATTCTTACTGGGGCTTTGCTATCTATAATACTTATGCAAAATTCTATATAAAATAAAATCCTAATTGCATTCTTCCCAAAGAAGCACAATTACTGGAGACCAAGAAAAACTGCTTCTTATAATATGAATTCACCTACAAGATAGAAACTACAAGGATAATATTTTTAAAAAACTTACATTTTAATCATTTTTCTTGCTACCCAAAGCCTTGGCCTAAATAGTTTAATCAAGTTGAATTTAGTGATCTCAATTATGATGGTGACCCACCATTTTATTACCAACAAGTGTAGACCTGTGTTTAGTTCTACAACAAGCAAACATCAAATATTGTACTAATAAAATCAAAACACCATTCCGATTATTCATTCACAACAAAATTTCACAAATGTTTATTTCAATATGCCTAGTTATATATGTAAATTTTAATTCTACTTTGATTTTACCATAATGGGAGTTGTTTTTCCTAATATATTATGAACATTTGACAATAAAGTTATAAAAAATTAAACAATTTTCTGTATCAGCACCACAGAAATGACCAAAAAAACTTGTATACTTTCAACATAAAGGTTTCTTTTAAGAGAAATCATCAAATTGTGTTCACAACTATTCTACAATGACAACCCACTAAATGATTAGGCACAGGAGATATATATATGTATAAAAATTTAAAATGCTAATGTTATTTCTCACGCATTAAGTTTCCATCCATGGAACTACAAACAGCAAAACAATTAGGTCTGCTTCTTTAAAAATAACACTCAGATTTCATTTATCTTACTAACGATTAGTCAAGTTATAATGACGGCTAGACTATACTGCATCAAAGTACATATATTTTGAAGCTACATACATATTATTCCAGACCTTTTTTTTTTTTTTTTTTTTTTTTTGAGATAGTGTCTCGCTCTGTCACCCAGGCTGGAGTGCAATGGTGCAATCTCAGCTCACTGCAACCTTCGACTCCTGGGTTCAAGTGATTCTCCTGCCTCAGCCTCCCAAGTAGCTGGGACTACAGGCACGTGCCACCACGCCTGGCTAATTTTTTGTATTTTTAGTAGAGATGGGGTTTCACCGTGTTAGACAGGATGGGCTTGATCTCCTGACCTCGTGATCCACCCGCCCTGGCCTCCCAAAGTGCTGAGATTTATAGGCGTGAGCCACCACGCCCAGCCCCAGATGTTTCTAAAATAGTTTGCCCTTGTACTCCTGCAAATCACCATCAGGACAGGATAGGTAACCAAAAGTGTACTCATGTATTCATGTACTATTTTCAGGTCAGGCTAAAGGATTTTCTATAATGTACTTCAGCTTTTGTTATGTGTTTAGAGATGGTTCCATAAAACTTGATCCACTGTAAAAAACAGGCAGCAGCCTGATAGCTTTAAATCACAATAACAGATTATATTATTAGAAAGCATCATTCACATACTAATCTGAGCTGCTACAAATACCTTATTTGGTTTCTTTTATAAATTCTAAAAGCAACTACACAAACTCACCTATACCTGGCACATCTGGCTACTAAAATCAGATGGAAAACTAGTGACTGTCTGAGTCAGGACTGTCTATCAATTTAGTTCAGATTCCAGAGAATTTGTGATTGTAGATCAACTTCATTATTTGGCTGTTAACAGGGGAAACCTGTATCAAGTAATTACACACAATGTGATCTCACCAAATAGTAAGGATATTTACATATAAATTTTCTTTAAAAATCTATTAGTAATTTTTGAGTGAAAGGAACAATAGCGGACAATATAACATTACTGGGCCAATTCTTGAACGGCAAACATTAAGAGTAAAAAAAAAATTATTGAAAGCAGACACAATACTTATGTAAAATTTCAGAGAGAAAGACTAGGAGATAAAACCCTAATCCTCTTTACCTCAATCTTATATAACAAAATATTGTTTCTAAAATGCAGCCCAAACTCTTATCCAGTCCTATTAAATAATAGCCAAGAAGTCAATTTTTAAATAAAATTTACTTTTACTTATAAATATAAATCAATACACCCCCCCCCAAATATATCAAGATATTTTTAAAACTCTGGTGGTCAGAATATATTATTTAAAAACTCTGTAACTTAGGCTGGGCACAGTGGCTCATGCCTGTAATCTCGGCACTTTGAGAGGCTGAGGTGGGCAGATTACTTGAGGCCAAGAGTTTGAGACCAGCCTGGCCAACATGGCAAAACCCCATCTCTACTAAAAATACAAAAATTAGCTGGAGGTGTTGGCACACACCTGTAATCCCAGCTACTCAGGAGGCTGAGGCATGAGAATCTCTTGCGCCTGGGAGGCGGAGGTTGCAGTGAGCCAAGATTGCGCTGTTGCGCAACAGCCTGGCAACAGAGCCAGTCTGTCTCAAAACAAAACAAAACAAAACAAAACAACAACAAAAAAACACAACTCTGTAACTCAACAACAAAAAGACAAACAACCCAATTTAAAAATAGGCAAAGAACTTGAATGGGTATTTCTGCAAAAAAATATACAAATGGCCATAAGCACATGAAATGATACTCAACATCATTAGTCATTAGGGAAATGTAAATCAAAACCATGAGATACCATTTTACACCCGATAAGGATGACTATAATTTTTAAAAACCAGAGTATAACAACTGATGCCAAGTGTATGGTGAAACTGGAACCCTCTGATACTGCAGGTGAGAATGTAAAGTGGCACAGCTACTGGGAACAGCAGTTTGGCAGTTCCTCAAAAAGTTAAGCATAGATTACCATATGACCCAGCAATCCACTTCTAGGCATATACCCGCATGAATTTCTAACAGGGACTCAAGCAGATCCCTATATGCCAATATTCAATGCAGCATTATTTACAGTAACCAAAAGGTGGAAACAATCCAAATACCTATCAATAGATGAATGGATAAACAAAATGTGATATACACATACAATGGATTATTCAGCCATAAAAAGGAATAAAGTTCCTGATTGTGCTACAATACGGATGAACCCTGAAAACATGCTAAGTGAAATGAGCCAGATGCAAAAGGGCAAACATAACCTATTTCTACCTATACAAAATATCTAGAATAGAAAATTCAAAAAGACAAAGTAGATCAGAGGTTCCTAGGGGCTGGGAGGAGGGAGAAACACAAAGTTATAGCTTAATGGATACAAAATTTCTATTTCAAAGTAAATAGTGGTGATAGTTGTACAACACTGTGAATGTAATTGATGCCACTGAGTTGCACATTTAAAAATAGTTAAAAGGGCATTAAATATACATTTTTTAAATTACTAAACTTTATTGACACATAACTATCACCCAAAGTCAACAGTTTAGTGTTCACTCTCAGTGTTACATATTCTATGGGTTTTCACAAATGTATATAATGACAGGTATCCTCCTGTGGTTTGAAAACATTAAAGAAAAAAAATTCCAGAAATAAATAATTCATAAGTTTTAAATTGCATGTCGTCCTGTCCCATCCCACCCAGGACATGAATCTTCCATTTGTCTTACATATCCACACTGTATACACCGTGTATATGCCAAAGAGAAGCCGTAAAGTGCTTCCTTTAAGTGAAAAGGTAAAATTTCTGGACTTAATAAGGAATAAAAAATTGTATGCTGAGGTTGCTAAATTAATCTATGATAAGAATGAATCTTCGGCCGGGCGCAGTGGCTCAAGCCTGTAATACCAGCACTTTGGGAGGCCGAGGCGGGCGGATCACGAGGTCAGGAGATCGAGACCATCCTGGCTAATCCGGTGAAACCCCATCTCTACTAAAAATACAAAAAATTAGCCGGGCGTGGTGGCAGGCGCCTGTAGTCCCAGCCACTCGGGAGGCTGAGGCAGGAGAATGGCATGAACCCGGGAGGCGGAGCTTGCAGTGAGCTGAGATCACGCCACTGCACTCCGACCTGGGCGACAGAGCAAGACTCTGTCTCAAAAAAAAAAAAAAAAAAAAAAAAAAGAATGAATCTTCTATTCATGAAATTGTGAAGGAGGAAAATGAAATTCGTGCATAGGGTATATAGTTTGGTACTATCTGTGGTTTCAGGAATCCACTGAAGGTCTTGGAACATATCCCCCATGGATATGGGAGCACTACTGTATTGTACACAATAGTCTCAATGCCCCAGAAATCCTCTGTGCTCTGAGTATTCATCCCTCCTTCTCTAAAACCCCTGGCAACCACTTATCCTTTTACTGTCTCCATAGCTGTGCCTTTTCCAGAATGTCATAGTTGGAATCATAAGTATGTAGACTTTTCAGATTGTATAATGTATATAGGCATATACCCATGTGAGTTTAAATATATAGTACATTTATTTCAGTTAGTACATATGCATTTAAATTTCTTTTAGTACATGTGCATTTAAACTTTCTCCGTGTTTTTTCATGGTTTAATATCTAATTTCTTTTTAGTGCTGAATAATAGTCCATTGTCTTTATGTACCACAGTTTATCCACTCACCTACTGAAGGACATCTTAGTTGCTTCAATGTTTTGGAGGTTACAGATAATGCTACTATAAACATCCATGTGCAGGTTTTTGTGTGAATGTAAAGTTTCCAATTCATTTGAGTAAATACCAAAGCATGCAATTGCTACATCATATAAAAGTATGTTTGGTACTATAAGAAACTGCCAAACTGTCCTCTTAAGTGGCTATGCCATTTTTCACTTCCACCAGCAATAAATGGAGTTCCTGTTGCTCCACATGCTCACTAGCATTTGGTGTTGTCAGTGTTCTGGATTTTGGTCATTCTAATAAGTACATAGTCATATCTCATTGTTGTTTTAATTTACAATTCCCTAATGACATATGATGTTGAACATCTTTTCATATGCTTACTTGCCATCTATATGGCTTCTTTGGTGAGGTATCTGTTCAGATCTTTTGCCATTTTTTAATTGGGTTCCTCGTTTTTTTTTTTTTTTTTTTTTTTGAGACAGGGTCTGGCTTTGTCACCCAGGCCGGAGTGCAGTGGCTCAATCAGCTCACTGCAACTTCCACCTCCTAGGTTCAAGCCATCCTCCCACCTCAGCCTCCCGAGTAGCTGGGACTACAGGCACACACCACAATACCCGGCTGATTTTTTTGTGTGGTTTTTTGTAGAGATGGGGGTTTCACTATGTTGCCCAGGCTGGTCTCAAACTCCTGAGCTCAAGCAATCCACCCCCCTTGGCCTCCCGAAGTGTTGGGATTACAGGCGTGAGCCATGGTGCCCAGCCCTCATTGTCTTAATATTGAGATTTAAGAGTTATTTGTATATTTTGGATAACAATCCTTCATCAGATTATCTTTTGCAAAACACTCTGTGGCTTGACTTCTCATTCTCTTGACAAGGTCTTTTGCAGAGTAAAAGTGTTTATAATTTTAATCAAGTCCAGTTTATCAGTTACTTCTTTCATGGGTTATGCCTTTTGTGTTATATCTAAAAAATTATCACCATATCCAAGGTCATCTAGCTTTTCTTCTATCTTTTCTAGGGGTTTTACACTTAGGTCTACAAACCATTTTGAGTTAATTTTTGTAAAAAGTATAAAGTCTATGTCTAGATTTTTTTTTTTTACATGTAGATATCCAGGTTTTTCTAGCACTACTGATTGAAAAGACTATCTTTTCTCTACTGTTTTGCCTTTGCTGCTTTGTCAAAGGTCAGTTGATTACATTTATGTGGGTCTATTTCAGAAGTCTTTATTCTGATTCATTGATCGATCTGTCTATACTTTCACCAATACCACACTTTATGGATTAGTGTAGTTTCAGAGTAAGTCTTGAAGCTGGGTAGTGTCAGTTCTCTGACTTTGTTCTTCAATATTGTGTTGGCTATTCTGGGTCTCCCGTCTCTCCATATAAACTTTATAATCAGTTTGCTGATATCCACAAAATAACTTGCGGGGATTTTGATTGGGAATGCATTGAACCTACAAATTAAGTAGGGATAAACCTATAGATCAAGATGGGAAGAACTGACATCTTGACAACACTGCATATATCTTGTAGACATAATGAGCCATGTGATGCTGGGCAAATTTCCTAATTCCGAACTTCCATTTCTACTAAGTGATATAAGGATATGTCCATCTACCATTACAGAATGATTCTAAGAAACAAAACAATTTATGTGAGTGTTGTTATAAGCCTAACATGAAAAAATGTTAATGAATAAATGAATAAAAATAAATGAATAAATACTTGTTCCCTTCCCTTTTCTTTAAACAACCTACTAAAACATGAGAAAATCCAGATTATGTTTTGATGGCAGGGAAAATTACCTGGAAGTCAATTTATTACTCAAATTAGAGAACTTTTAAAAATTAGGGAATTAATTTAGAAATAATAAGGTCCAAAGACAGCTATGTTTCACCCTTCCTGTGGTATCTGATGATGTCTAGATATAGCAGTAGCAATCCACAAACAAGTACGTATTTTATGATATTGATGTATAGTGAAGGCTCAGATTCTTTAATCATAGACAAATTAGTTAAAAATAATTGTGAGCCAGGCAGGGTGGCTCACGCCTGTAATCCCAGCACTTTGGGAAGCCAAGGCGGGCAGATCACCTGAGGTTGGGAGTTCGCGACCAGCCTGACCAACATGGAGAAACCCCATTTCTATTAAAAATACAAAATTAGCCGGGTGTGGTGGTGCATGCCTGTAATCCCAGCTACTCCGGAGGCTGAGGCAGGAGAATCGCTTGAACCTGGAAGGCAGAGGTTGCAGTAAGCCAAGATCGCACCATTGCACTCCAGCCTGCCCAACAAGAGCAAAACCCCATCTCAAAATAAAAATAAAAATACCTGTGAATAGGCAGGGTGTGGTGGCTCACACCTGTAATCCCAGCACTTTGGGAGACCAAGGCGGGTGTATCACCTGAGGTCAGGAGTTTGAGACCAGCCTGTCCAACATGGCAAAACCCTGTCTCTACTAAAAATACAAACATTAGCTGGGTGTGGTGGCATGCACCTGTAATCCCAGCTACTTGGGAGGCTGAGGTGGAAGAATCACTTAAACCAGGGAGGTGGAGTTTGCAGTGAGCTGAGATTCACCACTGCATTCCAGCCTGGGTGACACAGTGAGACTCTGTCTCAAAAAAACAAAACAAAACAAAAAAATCCTGTGAATAAATAATTGACTAGACCAGGCATGGGGGCTCATGCCTGTAATCCCAACACTTTAGGAGGTTGAGGTGGGTGAATTACTCGAGCTTAGGAATACCAAACCAGCCTGAGCAACATGATGAAACTCCATCTGTACAAAAAATACAGAAAATTAGCTGGGCATGGGTGGTGTGCACCTGTAGTCCCAGTTACTAGGAAAGCTGGCTTGAGCCCAGGAGGTCGAGGCTGCAGTGAACTGAGATCACGCCATTGCACACTCCAGCCTGGGTGACAGGGTGAGACCCTGTCTCAAAAACAGAAACAAAAAACAAAAAATAATTCATCAGCTTATTCACTTTTCTCATATCAAGGGTCTATTCCAAGTATCCGTATACAAGGGATATGGCACAGTCTATTTAGTCAGGAAATTATGACTGATTGCTCCTATGGGCAAATTCAATCATACTTTGTAGTAAACTTCCTATAAATGTCACAAGTAGGATGCACCAATGGAAGTCTTCTTCAAAATGCTACCTTATAACAGGCAAAATATTTCCTAATTGAAATTTTGAATTAATGTGCTTTGTATTCAAAGTAACAAATTAGCCACAAAATATGCAGGTAGCTCATGTTCAAATCTAAAAAAGAAAGGGACATTCATGAGCTAAATAACAGCATGCTGACCCCCAGAATCTACACAGTCCTCATCTCAGATCACCTCACAGCACCTAAAAGAATTAGAAAAGTATATGAAAAGTTACTACATGGGGCTGGGCATGGTGGCTCACGCCTGTAATCCCAGCACTTTGGGAGGCTGATATGGGTAGATCAACTGAGGTCAGGAGTTCAAGACCTGCCTGGCCATCATGGTGAAACCCACTCTCTACTAAAAAATATAAAACCTAGCTGGGAGTGGTGGCACGCGCCTGTAGTCTCAGCTACTCAGGACGCTAAGGCGGGAGATCACTTGAATCCAGGAAGTAGAGGTTGCAGTGGGCCGAGACTGCGCCACTGCACTCCAGCCTGGGCGACAGAGTGAGACTCTGTCTCAAAAAAAAAAAAAGTTAGTACATGGGTCGGGTGCAGTGGTTCACACCTGTAATCCCAGCACTTTGGGAGGCCAAGGTGGGTGGATCACTTGAGGTCAGGAGTTCGAGACCAGCCTGGCCAACCTGGAGAAACCTCTTCTTTACTAAAAATACAAAAATTAGCTGGGCGTGGTGGCACATGCCTTTAATCCCAGCTACTAGAGGGGCTGAGGCAGGAGAATCACTTGAACCCGAGAGATGGGGGGTTCCAGTGAGCCAAGATCGTGCCATTGTACTCCAGCCTGGGCAACAAGAGCGAAACTCCATCTCAAAAAAAAAATTTTTCAGATAAATAAATGCTTACCATATTTAAACATGAATTTTAAAAATACCTTTCATATACAAAATCTGTGTTCAATCCTTTAAGACTGGGCTTAGTTTTTTTATCTTGAATTAAAATTTTCAAGAGGCATTCCAATAAATTAGAGACTTTGTATTTATTATTATTAATGAATAATTGCATGTTTACTTATATTTGTACCTATGTATACACTCATCTGATTTATAACTAACTCCATTTAAAGGTTACAATCTTTGACATTGTCCAAACAAAACATATGAACTACTGTCAGACATGCTAAAGGACACACATTTACTACTATAAATCCCACAAATTTTGCATCCCAAACCCTATATTTAATGGAAGACATGGACAAGTAATACAGTAATTTATTTTTCTGGTTAATAGTAGCAAGTTGGCCGGGCACAGTGGCTCCTGCCTGTAATCCCAGCACTTCAAGAGACTGAGGTGGGAAGCCAGGAGTTTGACACCAGCCTGGGCTATATAGCAAGACTGTGTCTCTACTTAAAAAAAAAAAAAAAAAAATTAAAAATTAGCCAGGCATGGTAGCACGCACCTGTAGTCCTAGCTACTTGGGACGATGAAGCAGGAGGACTGCCTAAGCCCAGAAGTTTGAAGCTGCAGTGAGCTATGATCTCACCACTGCACTCTAGCCTAGACAACAGAACAGGACTCCATCTCTTTAAAAAAAAAAAAAAAAAAAAAAGCAGCAACTCAAAAAAAAAAAAAAAAAAAGAAGAGATGTATCAAAAGACTTATACAGGACCATGTCATGCTTCATTCACTCACCTAAAAATTATTCTGTCAGGCAATGTGCTAGTTAGATGACCTTGTACAAAGCCAATTAACCTTCCTAAGTCTCAGGTTTTTCCTTGTTAAATTAGAATTACAACACTCTTCCAGAACTGACCAAAATGCATATAAAGCACTTAGCACAGTGCCTGATCACAGTCAATTCTCAAATGCTAGTTATAGCTATAATAGTTAATGTCAGGCCAAATGAGAACTTGAACTAAAAGTTTCTGAAAGACAGAACTTATCAACACTGGTATTTCAGGAGCAAAGTAATTAAGAGAAGTAGGTAAGAGTGATCTCAGGTTTCTTTTTTAAACATTATGGTACTGTTCACTAAAAATAGGAAACCAAGAAAGACACAAGACAGGCGGGAGAAAGCATTTTGAAGTCTGAGATGCCCAAAAGGGACCAGAATGGAGAAATAACGATTTAGAATAGTCATTGAGGAGAACAGAAGAGGTTGCTGAGCTAAAACATGTAAAAGAACTTTTAATTGGTTGCAGACTCAGCTGAGATTTTAAATTCCTAGCTACATGTTTGTGTGATTTTTCTCCAACAGCACCCAGCTGACACAGACCATCAATTGTCTGAATTTTAGGTGGTTACAGCATTTCTTTATTATGTGCCCCAAAGAGAATGACTGTTAAAGTACAGAATGGATTTTTTCAAGTAAACAAAAGTAGGGGCCAGATGTGGTGGCTCACGCCTGTAATCCCAACATTTTGGGAGGCCAAGGTAGGTCAATCACCTGAGGTCAGGAGTTCGAGACCAGCGTGACCAACATGGTGAAACCCTGTCACTACTAAAAATACAAAATTAGCCGGGCGTGGTGGTGCATGCCTGTAATCCCAGCTACTTGGGAGGCTGAGGCAGGAGAATCGCTTGAACCCAGGAGACTTCAGTGAGCCGAGATTGCACCATTGCACTCCAGCCTGGGCAACAAGATGGAAACTCTGTCTCAAAAAAAAAAAAAAAAAAAAAAAAAAAAAGAGGGTGGGGGAGATGTATAAATGACTGAATGAGGCTCTTCAACAGCTGAGTAGCGTGAACTAGGAAAATTTCAATTTTGAAAATTCTAACATCATTGTTGAACTAGATTGTTTAGATGGGTACTATACCATAGTATGACTAGAAGGAAAAAAGGAAAGGATGAAAGAAAAGTTATTTCAGCTGGGTGCGGTGGCTCATGCCTGTAATCCCAGCACTTTGAGGGGCCGAGGCAGGCAGATCACCTGAGGTCAGGAGTTTGAGACCAGCCTGGCCAATATGGTGAAACCCTGTCTCTACCAAAGATACAAAAATTAGCTGGGCATGGAGGCAGGTGCCTGTAATGCCAGCTACTCAGGAGGCTGAGGCAGGAGAATCACTTGAACCTGGGAGGTGGAAGTTGCAGTGAGCTGAGATCGAGCCACTGTACTCCAGCCTGGGCAAAAGAGTGAAACTCTATCTCAAAAAAAAAGTTATTTCAATGGAATATCATTAGGCAATCTGCCAAATAATTTAAAAATTAATAAAAATCACTTACCCATTTTGAAAAGAACAGCTTTGTGTTTCTGAATCATCACTATCACTGATGATAATAGTTTCTCCATCCACACTGTTAACATGTCCATTAGCAAAACCATTTTGATGTGATGGAGGGAGGACTTCCAAAATCCTACACTGCAACCTGAAATAAAATGATACATTTAAAAATGCAAATCATTTCATATTTTACAGCCAAACATGTCAGAGCAATCGAATTGTTTTGAACTAGTTATTTTGTTTTGCAGAGGCTATAGCTGATTGATTTAAACAATTTAATTAAAAAGAAAATCTGTAACATCTAAGCAAATATTAGATATAATTTAAAGCTGTAAAACTATTTTAAAACTCAATTTATCAAGATTATACAAAATTATATTATTTCCTTCCTTCTGCTAGCTCTGGATTGTTTGTTCTTCTAGTTCCTTAGGTTGTAAAGTTAGGTTGCTGATGTGAGATCTTTCTTGTGTTTTAATGTAAGGATTTATAGCTACAAACTCCCCTCTTAGCACTGCTTTTGCTGTATCCCATAAATTTTGGTATATTTTTGTTTTCATTCATCTCTAAGTTATTTTCTAATTTTCCTTAGGATTTCTTCTTTGCTCCACTGGTTAAGAGTGTGTTTTAAATTTTCACAAATTTGTGAATTTTCTAGTTTTCCTTTGTTAATGATTGCTAAGTTCATGTTGTTGTAGTCAGAGAATATACTTTGTATGAGATTGTGATGCTTAATTTTAGGTGTGAACTTGACTGCATTAAGGCAAAAGCAGATAGTCGCTAAAGTATTATTGCTAAGTGTGTCTTATTAGGGTGTTTCCACAGAAGAGTGCTGTGTGAGTCAGTGGACTGAGTCAGGGAAGATTCTCCCTCAATGGGAGCAGGCACCATCCAATTAACTGGGGGCCCAGACAGGACAAAAAGGCAGAGAAAAGACAAATTCATTCGATTTCTGGAGCTGGGACACCTCTCTTCTCCTGCCTTTGGACATCAACAACTCCAGGTCCACCAGCCTTTGGATTTTGGGACTTGCACCAGTGTCCCCTCCTCCATACTCTCTCCCCATCCCTTCTCCTATCTCTCTCTCTCTCTCGATAAATATCTCCTATTGGTTCTGTCTCTCTGGAAAACTCTGTCTAATACAGATATCTACCTTCTAAAATCCAATGAGACTAAATTTGTGACCTAGCATAAGGTTTATCCTGGAGAATATCCCATGTGCACTTGAGAAGAATGTGTATTGTTGTTGGGTTGAGTGTTCTGTTTATGTCTGTTACGTCTAGTTGATTTATTGTGTTGTTCAGATCCTCTATTTCTTAACTTCTGCCGGGTTGTTCCATCCATTATGGAAGATGGAGTACTGAAGTCTCCAGCTATTATTGTGAAAATGTCTGTTTCTCTCAGCAGTTATATTCCTAACTAAAGTTAACTGTCTAGAAAGTCATTGCCGGGCGCGGTGGCTCACGCCTGTAATCCCAGCACTTTGGGAGGCCGAGGCGGGTGGATCACGAGGTCAGAAGATCGAGACCATCCTGGCTAACCTGGTGAAACCCCATCTCTACTAAAAATACAAAAAATTAGCCAGGCGTGGTGGCGGGTGCCTGTAGTCCCAGCTACTCGGGAGGCTGGGGCAGGAGAATGGCGTGAACCCAGGAGGCGGAGTTTGCAGTGAGCCGAGATTGCACCACTGCACTCCAGCCTTGGCAACAAAGCAAGACTCTGTCTCAAAAAAAAAAAAAAAAGAAAGTCATATATTGGCACAATATCTTATTTTACAGATTTGGGGCCTTATAATTTTTGAAAGCATCCAATATTTTAAATTCTAAAATTCTTCAGACAAAAGTTATTCTCACAACTTTTGTTGTGATTTCTGATCTCTGGAAAGCTTCCTATTTACTAACTCTATCACCCCTATTCTGGCTTCCTTTACTCTGCATACTGTATCTGGATTTTATGGGCCATGATTTTAGACTCATTCAACCACAATTAAAATATTCCTTAATCGGCCGGGTGTGGTGGCTCACACCTGTAACCCCAGCACTTTGGGACACCGAGGCGGGCGGATCACCTGAGGTCCGGAGTTTGAGACCAGCCTGACATGGAGAAACCCTGTCTCTAGTAAAAAAAATACAGAATTAACTGGGCGTGGTGGCACATGCCTGTAATCCCAGCTACTCCGGAGGCTGAGGAAGGAGAATGGCTTGAACCCAGGAGGCGGAGGTTGCTGTGAGCCAAGATTGTGCCATTGCACTCCAGCCTGGGCAACAAGAGCGAAACTCCGTCTCAAAAAAAAAAAAAAAAAAAAAATACTCCTTAATCCCATCTCTATTGTGCTAATTTTCAATGCTAGAAAAGACAGCACCTGTTTTCTCTCCACACTCCCTCTTGTTCCAAATTCTTTACTTCCTGCCTTGAAACCATGAGTCTACTATGAATTCAAGGTTAGGATCTTACTGTTGAGATAACTTTTGTTGGTTCTCAAAACAGATTTCCAAAACTTTCTCGTTTCCTCAAGTCCCAGTCTCAGTGCTTTAACATTAGAAAATGAAAGAAGAGATCTTCACTTAGGCTCTTTGACTTCCTTCTCAACATCAAATGTCCATATCCTTCATAATTGTTCATATTCTGATGTCAGAAGGGTTCTCTTCCAGCCTGTAACCTCTTCTTTTATCCCGTTGCATTGTATTTCTCCTCCTGTGTATCTTCAGTTTTCCTCTGCTAAAAGACATGCTCTTCAATATCCTGGAAAGTTTTTATCTATCTCTAGCTTTCTAGAGACTCCAGGGTATGGTCTCTTCTTCTCATTCCCTAGAGGGACCTGGCATTGCGGAAGCCAAAGTAGATTCCAAGAACAAAAACAATCCAATTTTTATAAATATCCCCTTATATGGAAGCATAGTGATTGCCAAAGCAAGGGAAAGGCCAAGCAAAGATAATCTGCATCTGTACCTGCTCTGTAGACATTTTGCTTCTTGTAAAGACCATTTGCACGCCTGCAATCCCAGCACTTTGAGAGGGTGAGAAAGGCGGATCAATTGCTTGAGGCCAGGAGTTCAAGACCAGCTTGGCCAACATGGCGAAACCCTGTCTCTACTAAAAATACAAAAATTAGCTGGGTGTAGTGGCATGCACCTCTAATCCCAGCTACTTGGGAGGCTGAGGCACAAGAATTGCTTGAACCCGGGAGGTGGAAGTTGCAGTGAGCCATGATTGTGCCACTGCACTCCAGCCTGGGCAACAGAGTGAGACTCTGTCTCTGAAAAAAAAAAAAAAAAAAAAAAAAGCCAGGCATGGTGGTGCTGCTGCACACCTGTAATTCCAGCTATTCAGATCCTACAACTGCATGCACCCCAGCTTGGGTGACTGAGTGAGACTATCTAAAAAAATAAACAAAAATAAATAAAAATAAAAAAAAAGACCATTTCATTGGCCAAAAAATAAATTAATAGCAACTTCCTATCAATTTATAATCTGCTCTTCAATGTATCCTCTTCTCTCAGGACTTATTCATCCATCAGTGAAGTCTCCTCTCCTTCCATTTACTGTCAGGTGGTTCAAAAGTGTGACTTATATTGTCTCTCCACTTCCCTACCATTCCTACAATTTTGGTCATCATATACAAAACTTGTCCCAAGAAAGTCACAATAATCTAACTATTGGTCAACAAATCCAAAGTATTGTATTAGTTGTCTTAATCTTCTGTAAACCATTATCCACCCCCTTACTAAAAAATTCCACCTCTATTTTTATGGTTCAAAATCTTACCTATTCATCATCTAACCTACCTCCCTGACCACACTTCTTCTCTGTCTTTGCCTGCTTCTTGATCTCCTCATACTACCAAAATATATAGTGATTCCCCCAAAGTGCTACTGCATATCTCTTGGTTGATATATACTTTCCCTTGGTGTCTCATCTCAGCTCTAGATAACTGATTGTCTGACTCTCAACTTCTAGAAATGTGGTCAAAAAAATCCATTTCTTCTCTAGAGGGAGTTTATGTAACCAAGGAGGTTTAATCTCTATTGAGACAGTCACAATAATAGTATTGGTGAGGATGTAGAACCACCTTGAAAAACAGTGTGACAACTCCTCAAAGATTTACCATATGACCCTGTAATTCCGCTTTTAGCTATATACCTGAGAGACATAAAACATATGTCCACACAAACTTGTACATAAATGTTCAAAACAGTACTACTCATAAGAGCCAAAAATTATAAACAATCCAAATATCCATCAACTGATCATTAAAATGTGGTATATACCATGCAATAAAATATTATCCAGCAAAAAAAAAAATAGGAATGAAGTACTGATACATGCTACAATATTTATGAATCTTGAAAATATTATGCTAATGAAAGGGGCCAGACACAAAAGACCACCTATCATAGGATTCCATTTATATGAAATATCCAGAAATCTGGATATTTATATTTCATATAAAATCTAGGCAAATCTCTAGAGAGAAGATAGACAAAGTAGGTACCAGAAACTTGGCGGCGGGGGATGGCGGGGGCAGTGTAAGGGGACAGGAGGGCCATGGGCAGTGACTGCTAATGGGCAAAGCTTTTCTTTCTGAGATTTTGAAAATGTTATAAAATTAAAACTGTACATTTTAAATGGGTGAATTTTATGGTATGTGAAATATATCTCAATAAAGTCATTAAAAAAAGAGTTGCAAGATACAGTAGGGAGTAAATATAAAGGAGAGAGAGCATTGCTGGAATTATATTTATGGTATATCTCTACAACTCCTTTTTTTTTTTTTTTTTTTGAGTCTCACTCTGTCCCCCAGGCAGTGTGCAATCTCAGCTCACTGCAACTTCTGCCTCCCGGGTTCAACTGATTCTCCCACCTCAGCATCCCAAGAAGCTGGGACTACAGGCACAATCCACCACGCCCAGCTAATATTTTGTATTTTTAGTAGAGATGGGGTTTCTCCATGTTGGCCAGGCTGCAGCCTCTACAACTCTTATGCAATCCTGGGGAAGGTTTTATTAACTACAAATATTCTAAGCACATAAATACCTACCATTGGGCTAAATCTCTATTCTCTGAGAAAAAGTGGTTCAAGATTAGATACTTTGCTGACTATATCATTCATTTGGTTATACCATACCATCAACAAATTTTGATATACTGTTTGATATCCTGTCTCATTTACCAGCTCTATTCTCCTAGGAACTTTATTCTTCCCATGTTCTACCCTCTTCCAAATGGCTATTAATAGAGCTGCCATGTTCTCCCAAAATAATGGCCAGATTTAGCTGATACAGGGTAGGCACTACTTTGCTGAGCTCATATATCTTTTCTAAGATTTTTAAACTTGGAATCTAGAAGGTAAAAATCAGTCCTTGTCTCCCACCATGAAATCTGTAAGATAAAATTCTGGTGCTGTCGGCAGCCATATATCCTGCTACATGGAGGAGACAGTGTGCAGTGAAAGGTGGTAAAATCTGTAAGACAGAAGAGATGGCAAGGATACTAGAGGCAATTAGTTCTTTTATTCCTGTTCTTCCTCAGATTTAGCTGCACCTTGCCCATTCCAGGCTTAGCTGTTTAATCTTTCCTTCCATTTAACAAACAAATAATCCTACACCCAAACAAAAGAAAACATAACTGGTTCCAAAGCACCCTAAGGCCTAAGAATCAACAAAATGTATACTATATGGGTCAACCCAAAGTCCTCAAAGCATCTTACCTTCTACCTTCTACTCATTTCCCCTCACTAAGATTTACATAAGTTCAATTAAATTTAAGCATCCTAGTCTTGGTCCTTTTCAAGCTGCTCTTTTTAAAAAATTGAAGGAAAAAAAAGACTCAAATTACTAAAATCAGAAGTGAAAGTGAGAATATTATCGCTGATTTTACAAAAATAAAAAAGGTTATAAGAGAATACTGGCTGGGTGCGACAGATCACACCTAATCCCAGCACTTTGGCAGGCTGAGGAAGGGAGATGGCTTGAGCCCAGAAGTTCAAGACCAGCTTGGGCAACATGGAGAAACCCTGCCTCTACAAAAATACAAAAATCAGCCAGGCATAGTGGTGTGCACTTGCAGTCCCAGCTACTCAGGAGGCTAAGGTTGGAGGATCATTGAGTCCAGGAGGCAGAGGCTGTCTCAGAAAATGTAAGTATGTATGTATGTGTATGTGTGTATATATACATATATACATATACACACACACACACACACACACACATATATATATATATATGTATGTATGTATATTTCCTAACAAAGAAAAGCCCAAGAACAGATGGCTTCACTGGGGAATTCTATTCAACACTTACAGAAGCATTAACATACATTATCTCAAAATCTTCCAAGAAACTAAAGAAGAGGGAATGCTTCCTAATTCATTCTATAAGGCCAGAATTACCCTGATACCCAGGCAGACAAAGAGATGGCAGAATATATGAAGAACTCTCACAACTCAAAAAAAAAAAAACCCCAAACCACTCAATTCAAAGACGGGCAAAAGACTTGAATAGACATTTCTCCAAGAAGATACAAACAGCAATAAGCACATGAAAGATGCTCAGCATCATTTGTCATAAGGAAAATACAAAATCAAAACCACAATGAGATACGACTTCACACTCACTAAGATGGTTATATATTTTTTCTTTTTTTTAAACACAGAAATTCACAAGTGTTAATAAGAATGTAGAGGAAATGGAACACTAGTGCATTGCTGGTGGGAATGTAAAATGGTACAACTGCTACAGAGAACAGTTTGGCAATTCCTCAAAAAATTAAACATACAATTATCATATAGCCCAGTAATTCCACTTCCAGGTATATACCCAAAAGAATTGAAAACAAGAACTCAGATACTCATACACCAATGCTCATAGCAGTATTATTCACAATAGCTAAAAGGTGGAATCAACCTAAGTGTCCATCAACAGATGAATGGATAAGCAAACTGTGGTATATACATATAATGGAACATTCAGACATAAAAAGGAATAAAATTCTGATACATGCTACAATGTGGATGAACCTTGAAAACATGTTCATAGGCTGGGCAACAGAGTGAGACCCCCAACTCTACAAAACAAAAATTTAAAAATTAGCCAGGTGTGGTGGTGCACATCAGTGGTCCCAGCTGCTAGGGAGGCTGTGGTGGGAAGATCGCTTGAGCCTGGGAAGTTGAGGCTGCAGCGCACCACTACACTTCAGACACTGTCTCAAAGAAAAACAAACAAACAAAAAACCCCAAGCTTGGCTGGGTGTGGTGGCTCACGCCTGTAACCCCAGCACTTTGGGAGACCGAGGCGGGTGGATCACGAGGTCAGGAGTTTGAGACCAGCCTGACCAAACATGGTGAAATCCCGTCTCTACTAAAGATACAAAAATTAGCCGGGCGTGGTGGCGCGCGCCTATAATCCCAGCTACTCAGGAGGCTGAGACAGGAGAATCATTTGAACCCAGGAGGCGGAGGTTGCAGTGAGCAGAGATCACACCACTGCACTCCAGCTTGTGCGACAGAGCGAGACTCCATCTCACAAAACAAAACAAAAACCCCAAGCAAACAAAAAAGAAAACATTATGTTCAGTGAATTGAGCCACAAAAGGACAAATATATGATTCCACTTATATGAAGTATCCGGAATAGGCAAATTCACAGAGAAAGAACATAGAATAAAGGTTACCAGAAGCTGGGGGAAGGATAGAATGGGGAGTTATTGCTTAATAGCTACAGAGTTTCTGTTTGGGATGATGAAAAAGTTCTGGAAATAGTGGTGATATTTACACAATACTGTGTACAACATTAAGTACACTGTGAATGTACTTAATGCCACTGAACTGCACACTTAAAATGACAAAAATAGTAAAAATTTTATGTTTATTTTACTAAAATAAAAAAAACAACTTTTTTTATTCTAAGAGAAAAGCTTGAGAAGAGGCTCAATTACCAATCCTACATTGGTAGCAAACGGAAATGATGTCTAAAGAACTGCAGGCTGACTTTCACCACTGACTGGTAGAAATAAACCAGTGTTTCTCAAGAGGAACAACTACAGGAAATCATATCAAAACCTGTTAGGTAATTATGTAGCCTATTGATAAAAAGGCTCTGTACTTTAGTAACATGAGCTGTAAAAAATATGAAAGAAATCAAATGGATCTGCCTTTGAAAGGCTTAGATATCAGATCTATCAGGGCTCATAATATTACTAAGGCTTCTGGGAAGTAATGAAGGAAGCTTTTCAGGGACCCTATGACAAGGTTGCTCAAGTTAGAAACAGAGATGATCTTTGCTGGCAGAGCCCAGGTGAATGCCCCTTAAGTGGTAACAGTGGTGGTGGTCATGAGGCAAATACAGGGTAAATGAGTCTACTCTGAACCCAATTACAGTTGATGTGAGGCCTAAAGTGGTCTGACAGTCATCAGTGGGAACAACTGACCACAGTAGGTCCCACAGGGCTACAATAATTTGAGGACTAATATATTTAAAACCAACAGAAAGAAATACAATTCCCTGACAGAGGAATTAGGGAGAAGGAAACCAGTGCAACACAGGGACATTGCCCAGAAGTAAATTATATAAATTGTAGTAATTATTGTCAATGCTACTATTGACTTTGTAGCACAACCAAACCACCGGTAGCATTCCTTGTCAATCTAATCAAGGCTAGCCCTTCCCATAGGTACTTAGCTAAACTTATGTTACTCAAGATGCCAAGTCAACACCTTCTAATAGATTTCTAGAGACTTAGTCTATGTCTTTCACAGCTACTTGCTACCATTTCTTGATTCTAGGGAGTTCAAAGAAGTTTACAGGGGTGTATGTAAAAAAACAGAGAATCATGAATTAAGACCCAGCTAGAGGATCTTCAAGAGCATAGAAACTATTTGAATTAAAGTTATGCTCCATTATTTGAGAACACAGTGGAAGTTAATGATTAAGAGTCCTTACCATTAGCATTCATGTGTGCCAGATTAAATATGTAATTTACATATATGTCTCTCCTTATATATCAATCAACTCCATAAGTTATACATTTTCTAGAAGATGAAATTCCGGCTCAGATTTTTTTTTTTCCTTTTTTCCTGAGATGGAGTCTCGCTCTGTTGCCCAGGCTGAAATGCAGTGGCATGATCTCAGCTCACTGCAACCCCTGCCTCCTGGGTTCAAGGAATTATCCTGCCTCAGCCTCCCCAGTAGCTGGGATTACAGGCACGCGCCACCATGCCCAGCTAATTTTTGTATTTTTAGTAGAGATAGGGTTTCACTATGTTGGCCAGGCTGGCCTCAAACTCCTGACCTCAAGTGATCCACTCGCCTTGCTTCCCAAAGTGCTAGGATTACAGACATGAGCCACTGCACCCTGCCCAGGGATTTAAGTAATTTGCTCTCAGTCACACAACCAGTAATGGTACAGCCAAAACTTTAACTGTGTGACTCTTAAGCCCATATACTTTCTAATTTTCCACTCTATTATTAGAGTTGAAGGGAATGGAAACATTATGTTGACCCAAGGGCATTTCACAACTTTAAGCCCAGGCAATGCGAGGCTCCTTAAAGTACTAACAACTTAAACACATTTCAGAGTGAAAGCAAGACTGTGGAACAGGAGCAAGTACAGTATAAGGGCACAACATTAATTAGTCATAAATCTGTAATAAGCTGAACATGGAAATAGTTTTTTTTTTTTTTTTCCTGAGACAGAGTTTCTCTCTTGTTGCCAGGCTGGAGTGCAATGGCGTGATCTCGGCTCACTGCAACCTCTGCCTCCCGGGTTCAAGCAATTCTCCTGCCTCAGCCTCCCGAGTAGCTGGGATTACAAGCATGCGCCACCACGCCCAGCTAATTTTGTATTTTCAGTAGAGACAGGGTTTCTCCATGTTGGTCAGGCTAGTCTTGAACTCCCGACCTCAGGTGATCTGCCCGCCTCAGCCTCCCAAAGTGTTGGATTACAGGCGTGAGCCACTGCGCCCAGCTGGAAATAGCTTTTTATGAGGATAGTCTGGAATGTATATACCTTCCGCTAAAAAGCTATTTTTAGTAGCCATTTAAATTTATATCTCAAAAATTCAATGGACCAAAAGCAAATTATAAAACTTTCTATAGGCCGGGCGCGGTGGCTCACGCCTGTAATCCCAGCACTTTGGGAGGCCGAGGCGGGCGGATCACGAGGTCAGGAGATCGAGACCATCCTGGCTAACACGGTGAAACCCCGTCTCTACTAAAAATACAAAAAATTAGCCGGGCGTGGTAGCGGGCGCCTGTAGTCCCAGCTACTCGGGAGGCTGAGGCAGGAGAATGGCGTGAACCCGGGAGGCGGAGCTTGCAGTGAGCCGAGATCGCGCCACTGCACTCCAGCCTGGGCGACAGAGCGAGACTCCGTCTCAAAAAAAAAAAAAAAAAAAAAAAAAAAAAAAAAAAAAAAAACTTTCTATAACTGAGACACATGCAGAATTTCTACAGGGTATTTGGGGTAGAAGGTAAATAGTTAACAGCAAAGGGAAAGAAGATCTAGAAGCCTGGGAAGACCTACTTGAAATAAGAGACCGACCCTCTGTTTGGGTCTCTAAAAATTGAATATGCTGAATCTATAGCATACTTCACAACTGCTCCCCATTCTGCCTCATTAACCTTTATTTTCTAGTAATACAATTGCAAGAATATTTATAAAAAATACTATGCTTGGACAATTAAGTCAATATTTTCTAACAGTGAACTAATTTGAAGTTTAGAGTTAAAAAACAAAAACCTTAAATTAAGTTTATGTGATATCTCATTTTAAGTGGAAGAAACCAGAGCATTTGAGCGAGTCAGCTATTCACACAAAAAGAGTGTGAATTATGTCAATTACTTGTCAATGAGAAAAAAGGAAAAGATTGCTTTGTTTATAATTCCTTTTTTAGAGAAATACGTCAATGTAGCTCAAAGAATGTTTCCTTTTAAAAAAATGTATTATTTTTAGTAGACACATGGTCTTGCTATGCTGCCCAGGCTGGCCTCAAACTCCTGGGTTCAAGCAATCCTTCCACCTCGGCCTCCCAAAGTGCTGGGATTACAGGCATGAGCAACCATGCCTGGCCTAAAAGAATGTTTCATTTTTAACTGTTCTGAGACCCTTTATGGACTACAGAACCTTATTATTTCTCCAACTGGCATTTGACCTATTATAAGTCTAAATATCACAAGATGATAATCACTAGATTCTTACTGAAGACTAAATCCATTATTAAAAGATATATATAATACTAATAAGTCTCTTTTTTTCTTTTTTGAGGCAGGGTCTCTGTTGCCCAGGCTGGCGTGCAGTGGTGTGATCTTAGTTCACTGCCATTTCCGCCTCCCAGTCTCAAGCAATCCTCTAACCTCAGCCTCCTAAGTAGCTGGGACTACAGGCGAATACCACCACCCCAGCTAATTTTTTTTTTTTGTAGAGATGCGTTTTTGCCATGTTGCTTGGGCTTGTTTTGAACTCCTGGCCTCAAACAATCCTCCTGCCTCAGTCTCTCCAAGTGCTGGGATTATAGGCATGAGCCACTGAGCCCAGCCACAAAAATCTTTAGAAAGAAAATTCTAGACACAAAATCCATGGCTTAAAACCTACATATTTCTAATTAGTTTCCAAATATCTGGATATTATTAATATGCTGCTTAACCTCTTTAGTATTCAAAAGTATCTTATTAAAGCCTTATTAATTAGTGTGGCTGCAGAATCAACCAAATTAATTAAAACTACCAAAAACTTTAAAATTCTAAGTAGTATATTCAAATAAATAGGTATTCAATTGTTTGTGGGCTCAGCTTTGTGCCGTCCAGCCTATTGACACAAACATGTAAGATAGTCTTGCCTCCTTACAGCAAGGTTAACATTTTAAGATCAGAGACAACAACACATTAAATATGAAAAGCCACCACAGATTTGACAAGTGATCTTTTGTTTCAACATAGTAACAGTATTTTCAAACTAACCGGCCTCAATGTGAAAAATGCATAGGAAAAGGCTTCTTGTCTTTCCTCTATTTTGAGCCATCCTGAACAATGAAAACGATTGTTACAACAACAGGATGATGAAGCAGAAAACAAATAAAAGCCTGAGTTCCTGACAACTTTGTGGACCTATCATACCAGCCCTACACTACACACTTCTGGACTCATTTTACACAAGACAAAAACTTCCATTCTGTTTATGCCATTAAACACTTCCGTTATATGCATCCAAGGCAAATCCTGCTGTTAAGGAAAGGCAATCTATTAGGTGTGCTAGATATTTATTAAACACTGATCACTTTATAAACATTTGTGTAAAATTCACTTCATGAATCACAGAACCTGAATAAGGTTTTTAAATTTGAAAGTTACTGGCAATATAGATTTCAAGTCGTATCTGTTTCAGAAAATTGAAAATCTGAAGAGAAAGAGCAATATGAGAGAGCCCTGTAGAAATGTTCTGTATTATAACTATATCAATGTCAGTATTCTGGTTGTGATACTGTACCATAATTTTGCAAGATAATATCATGAGGGAAACTATTTTTTTCTTTTTTTTTTTGGAGACAGAGTCTCCCTCTGTTACCCAGGCTGGAGTTCAGTGGCGCAATCTCGGCTCACTGCAACCTCCTCCGCCTCCCAGGTTTAAGCGATTCTCCTGCCTCAGCCTCCCAAGTTGCTGGAATTACAGGCGTCCACCTCCACGCCCGGCTAATTTTTGTATTTTTAGTAGAGACAGGGTTTCACCATGTTAACCAGGCTGGTCTTGAACTCCTGACCTCAGGTGACCCACCCACCTCGGCCTCCCAAAGTGCTGGGATTACAGGCATGAGCCACCATTTCTGGCCAGGAAACAATTATTTTACAACTACATGTGAACCTACAGTAGTCGCAAAAAAGGTTTAATTTTAAAATACTGATGATAAACATTAACAAAATATTAACTCCAATTAAAAGTATTCATTCCATGAGACAAATAAATACACGATGAAAGTAATAAATACTACACAAAGCTACAGTAATGATGACACTGTAGTATTGGTGAAAGGATTGCCAAACAGATCAATGGAAGAGAATAAAGTCCAGAAATAGGCTATAATTCAATTTATATTTTATTCTGGAAAAGGCAAACTTCAGGACAGAAAACAGATCAGTGGTTTGTCAAAGGCTAGAAGGTGAAGCAAGGGTTAACTACAAAGCGGCAGAAATGAATTTTGTGGAGGTTCATAGAAACGCTGTGTGTCCTGATTGTGGTGAGTTACATAACTGTGTCAAATTTCAGAACTTGGCCGGGCGCAGTGGCACACGCCTGTAATCCCAGCACTTTGGGAGGCTGAGGCAGGTGGATTGCTTGAGCTCAGGAGTTCAAGACCTGCAACATGGTGAAACTCTATGTCTACAAAAAATACAGAATTTAGCCGGCATGGTAGTGTGTGCCTGTAGTCCCAGTTACTTAGGAGGCTGAGGCGAGAGGATGGCTTTAGCCCAGAAGGTGGAGGCTGAAGTGAGCTGAGATCACATCACTACACTCCAGCCTGGGCGACTAAGCCAGAACTATCTTTCAAAAAAAAAAAAAAAAAAAGTAGGCCAGGCGTGGTGGCTCACACCTGTAATCCCAGCACTTTGGGAGGCCAAGGTGGGCGGATTATGAGGTCAGGAGATCTAGACCATCCTGGCTAACATGGAGAAACCCCGTCTCTACTAAAAATACAAAAAATTAGCTGGGCGTGGTGGCGGGTGCCTGTAGTCCCAGCTACTCGGGAGGCTGAGGCAGAATGGCGTGAACCTGGGAGGCGGAGCTTGCAGTGAGCCCAGATCGTGCCACTGCACTCCAGCCTGGGCGACAAAGCGAGCCTCTGTTTCAAAAAAAAAAAAAAAAAAGGAAAAATGAGCATTTCCTAGTTTTAAAATTAATTTTTTAAAAAAGAAAAGAACAATTAAAAATTTTTTTAAGTCAGAACTCTACCAAAAAGGGTGAATTTTAGCTTAGGCAAATTCTATAAAACTGATTTTTAAAATAAGAGTGAAAGTAACACATTTAGCAAAGTTTTATTAGTTTAAACTACTTAGAATAAAAGCTTATCTGAATACAAGTTTTTATTTGATTTAAATTATTCTTTAACTTAAAAGAAAAATAATTACTGCTTTTCTAAAAACCTGGCTAATTGAGGTAGGTCTACTTGTTAGATCTCATTGAAGTATAGATTGGTCCTGCCTATACTTATTAGAAGAAAAGCCACAGAGTTTTGTGTAATGCAAAAAATATGTAAAGGGAGTCCTAAAGTTTGTCTCCATCTCAACCGTAAGCATATAAAAATCAATCTTAAAAATCCCTGTTTTTTCAGAAAGAAGCATTATACCGGTGTTTTCTCTCTTACAACCTGAGTTAGTCAAATCAAAGTCAGGTGATTTATGTACATCAAAATAAAGTACATAAAAACAACTGAAAGAATTTACAATGAAATTATTATATGCACAACTACCTAAGATGATAAAATTAGGCTGGGCGAGATGGCTCACACCTGTTATCCCAGCACTTTAGGAGGCCGAGGCAGGTGGATCACCTGAGGTCAGAAATTCGAGACTAGCCTGACCAGCGTGGTGAAATCTCGTTTCTACTAAAAATACAAAAATTAGCCTGGCATGGTGGTGGGCCCCTGTAATCCCAGCTACTCGGGATGCTGAGGTGGAGAATCGCTTGACCCAGGAAGCAGAGGTTGTGGTGAGCCAAAGTTGCACCACTGCACTCCAGCCTGGGCGACAGAGTGAGACTCTGTCTCCCCCCCAAAAACAAACAAACAAACAAACAAACAAACAAACAAAAAACTTATACTTATTACTCCCTTCTTAAATTCTTCTAGCTGGTATTTTCTAGCTAGACCACCTACTTGTAGACCCCTTTTGGGGAGCTCAAACATAACCTTTTCTTTTGTTTGTTTAACCATCCTTAGGGTACATTTATAACAACAAAATCAATATTTTTTTTTTTGAGATGGAGTTTCGCTCTTGTTGTCCAGGACAGAATGCAATGGCGCAATCTTGGCTCACTGCAACCTCCACCTCCCGAGTTCAAGCAATTCTCCTGCCTCAGCCTCCCAAGTAGGTGGGATTATAGGCACCCGCCATCATGCCCTGCTAATTTTGTGTTTTTAGTAAAGATGGGGTTTCACCATGATGGTCAGGATGCTCTCAAACTCCTCAAAATCAGTATTGTTAACTGACTCACTAACTGGAAGGAGATGAAGGAAATTGCAAGCATATCTTTGGAGAGAAAACTAAAATGTAAACATCAGCCCATTCTGATTGCCAATCATAGCAAATTATTAATGTAGGGCTAAATTATTTGGCACTACAATGCCCTTTATTCATTCTATTTGAATATTAGTAACATAATCACTAGCCAAATAAGACTTACCTGTGTTTTCTTTTTTTTGGAGACAGTCTCGCTTTGTCGCCCAGGCTGGAGTGCAATGGTGCAATCTTGGCTCACTTGCAACCTCCGCCTCCTGGGTTCAAGCGATTCCCACCTCAGCCTCTCAAGTAGCTGGGATTACAGGCATGTGCCAACATGCCCAGCTAATTTTTGTATTTTTAGTAGAGACAGGGTCTCACCATGTTGGCCAGGCTGGTCTCAAACTCCTAACCTCAACACACCTGCCTCGGCCTTGCAAAGTGCTGGGATTACAGGTGGTGAGCCACCGCGCCCAGCCTTATTTATGTTTCCTTAATGCATTTACCTTATTCAGTCCTATATCAGTTATTCATATGTATTTCACTTATCCTTGCCTTGCAAACTCTATCCCTACTACAAATATAAACACCAATATAATGTCTGAGAACAATTAAGTACTGATCATTTACTCATATTTAATTATCCTGTTGCATCTAGCACCATGGTTTTCAGAGAAGATACTTAAGTGGCTGAAATAAAAAATATATGATTCAAGACTCCATCCTATCAAGTTTTATTTTAAAAAATTTTTTATGTTTTTTAACTTTTTAATTATTTGGCATGCAAAGTTTTGTTTATAGCACCAATAAATATCTAAAATTATCCTTTTGTGTTTATCTCCCTTGCACTAGAATCTAAGTCACAAGTCCCTGTCTTATTCATAACCCTTTTCCCAATGCCTACAACAGCAGCCAGCACACAATACTTACTGAATGGATTATATAAAATTTGCCTGTGTGTACTTTAAAGTACTAACTCAGAATACTGCCTACTACCTTCAAAGAAAAAAAAAGGCACAAACAATTGCATTTTTCATCCCTGGAAATTCAAGTCAAAAGACAGAACGACAACAAATAAATGAAATATTTGTTTCCCCCATACTTGCTGTCACCTTTTGTTGCCACTAGACAGCATTCTTTCATCTGCTAGCAAAATACTAGAAAAGAAAAAGGCTTAAACATTGCAGAGTACGCAAGTAAAATAATGAAGATACCCTTTGATTAGTACAATGGTTAAGAATTTAAGCAGCAGGGCAACCCATTTATTGAAGCATTTTTCTCTTTGCTTCAATGATCAGATTAAGATGCTGACTTTCAAACCCTCAACAACATAACCTGAATCATTAAGAGCGAATGATTAAAAGCTTAATCTGACCACGCTTTGACAAAAATTATAAAATAGTCAAGTAAAGTGAAAAGTAAATCGTACGTGTTCAATAAATGCATTTAACTATAATATCTTTTAATCCTGCTTAACTGCTATCCTTTAGTATGTTGTCATACACACTTATTCCTCCCAAACAGAAGCACAGAACAGGGCTCTGGTTCTGATACTGCCTGTGCTTGAAAACATCATCACTCATGACCTTGGGCAAATTTTAATTAATTAACATCTGTGTATGGGCTCTTCAAACTGTAAAATGACCAAATAAGCAACTATCACATGGCTATCCTGGGAATTAAATAATAGTACATGTATGCTCTCCCAAAGCCCTAGGGCTCATTCACATTTGAGGGGTGCCCACTCATTGAATTTACGGGAAAAAAAAAAGGGTATATGTCAAAAACCTAGAATAGTTCCTGCACATGGTCAGCTCTCAAAAGTTTAGTAGTCTTGTATTCATCTCCCTAAAATGACATACAGCAAGTTTCAAGAACAGTGACTATAATGTAAGAAAACTAGGGACTGGCTAAAAAAAAAAAAAAGATGAGTCATCACAGCTGGCAGATTCTTCACTTGTCTGACAAATATAAGGAGGATCTAAAATTTACTGAGTTCCTTAGGTGCTAGGCACTGTGGCAGACTGCTGCAGTTACTGAACTGAATCACACCTTTCTGATCCCTTCCCACATTAACTCTGGATTTACTCATGTGACTTCCTTTGGCCAGTGTAACACTAACAAACATACAGCACGCTGAGGCTTGTACTTTCTTGCACTTTGGGGCTTGCTCTCTCTCGCTGCTGGGATCTTTCTACCATCTTGTGAACAAGTTAGGGCTAGTCGCCTGTAGAATAATAGGTCACATGGAAGTGGACTTTAGCTACCTCAGTCTGAGGCCCCAGACATGTAAGGCTATCCTAGATTCTAGGACCTAGACAATCTAGTCCTAGCCAGGTCAGCCCAGACTCTAAGAACATTGCAGCCAACCACAGAATTGTAAGAGTAATGTTTACTGATTTAGGCCACTAACTTTTAGGGGTGGTTTGTTATACAGCAAAGGTAACTACTACAACCACCATATAAATATAGCTATTTTTTTCCAGTTTTACAGATTAGGAAAGAAGATTCCCAAAACTAGCAAGTCAGTTTGGCCCCAAAGACTCTTTCTACTATATCAAGCCATCTTTGCATGCCATTCTCTGAGGTTTTAGGCTCTGGTGGTTTTATCCTACAACCCTTATTTAACCCTTTCCTTTGTACCAGGAGACAGTATACTATGGTCCATGGCCAAATCCAGCTCATCACCTTTGCAAGCTAAGAATGGTTTAAACACGGCCGGGCGCGGTGGCTCACGCCTGTAATCCCAGCACTTTGGGAGGCCGAGGCGGGCGGATCACGAGGTCAGGAGATCGAGACCATCCTGGCTAACACGGTGAAACCCCGTCTCTACTAAAAAATACAAAAAATTAGCCGGGCGTGGTAGCGGGCGCCTGTAGTCCCAGCTACTCGGGAGGCTGAGGCAGGAGAATGGCGTGAATCCGGGAGGCGGAGCTTGCAGTGAGCAGAGATCGCGCCACTGCACTCCAGCCTGGGCGACAGAGCGAGACTCCGTCTCAAAAAAAAAAAAAAAAAAAAAAAAAAAGAATGGTTTAAACACTTATTACCTGAAAAACAAACCAAGAGAACAGTAGCTATAAAAATATAAAATACTTAGGAATAAATTTAACCAAAGAGGTGAAAGACTTGTACACTGAAAACTACTAAAACACTGATGAAAGAAATTGAAGACACAAATGGAAACATATTCTGTGTTCATGAATTCGAAGAGTTAATATTGTTAAAATGTCCATCCTACCCAAAACAACTTACAGACTCAATGCAATCCCTATCAAAATTCCAAAATTGGCTGGACGTAGTGGCTCAAGCCTGTAATCCCAGCACTTTGGGAGGCTGAGACAGGAGGATCACGTGAGCCCAGGAGTTTGAGACCAGCCTGGGCAACGCAGGGAGACCCTGTTTCTACAAAAAAAAAAAATTAAAAATTAGCCAGGTGTGGTGGCATAAGCCTAAAGTCCCAGCCACTGGGGAGGATAACCTGAGCCCAGAAGTTCGAGGTTACAGAGAGCTACTACATTCTAGCCTGGGCAACAGAGTGTGACCCTGTCTAAACACACACACACACACGCGCACACACACACACACACACACACACACACACACACAAAATCCAACATTATTTTTCATAAAAATAGAAAAATAATCCTAAAATTCATATGGTTAAAACATTTTAAATGGTTCAAAATAAAAATCAGAAGACTATTTTGTGATATGTAAAATAATATGCAACAAATTTTAGTGTTCCTTAATATTTTTGGAATACAGCCATATTCATTCATTTATCTATTATATATGACTACTTTTGCATTATAATAGCAGAGTTGGATAGTTGTGACAAAGACCATATGGACCACAAAGCCTATGATATTTACTATTTGAACCTTTGTGTTTTTAAAATGTGCCAACTCCTGCTCGGAATTATTTAGAGAATATGTTTTTAATTTTAAAAGATTTTGCTCAGCCTTTAATGATGAGTAGTTTTGTATTTTTTCATACTTTTACTACTCTTTTCATTTTATTTAAAATTATTTTACACGTGTTATTTCTCTTAATTCTTCAACTTTTTCTTTTTTTTTTTTTTTGGAGGGGAAGAGGGGCTTTCCAGCAAAAACTGGAAAGCCTGCTAGACAATTCTAAAAGAGCTGTAACGCTTCTCTCCTTTATCTTTGGATGACCTCTGAATTTGTCTAAGAAAGACAATCCCAATTTTTAAACTAATTCTGATGCATACGTCAAATGAATTCCACTTGTATTCAATAAATACTACAAGCCTCCTAGGCAGCATGGAAAACAAATGACAGTTTTACCTTGTCCTCAAAATTATTTCAAGTTTATCTATGAGAAAAGTTTTTTATTAAAAACTGGGATCTTGGCTGGGCGCAGTGGCTCACGCCTGTAATCCCAACACTTTGGGAGGCCGAGGTGGGCGGATCACGAGGTCAAGAGATCGAGACCATCCTGGCTAACATGGTGAAAAACACCGTCTCTACTAAAAATACAAAAATTAGCAGGGCGTGGTGGCGTGTGCCTGTAGTCCCAGCTACTTGGGAGGCTGAGGCAGGAGAATCACTTGAACCCAGGAGACGGGGGTTGCAGTGAGCCGAGATCGTGCCACTGCACTACAGCCTGGCGACAGAGCAAGACTCTGTCTCAAAAAAAAAAAAAAAAAAAAGAAAAGAAAACTTTGATCTTATATGGCCCAATAGGAATGGATCATGATGGAGGCAGAAAAAGATGTAGGAGAGATTATTTTATCCAGAAGAGCCTCTAATTCCTCAGATCTGAAACTGTAGTAACCATGTAGATATGAAATCCCCAATGGGGATTTAAGGTCAGAAGTAGCTATACAGTCTCACCTCTTTCATGTGATGAGCCTATTATAATATTTGCCTGCCACTGATAACTAAGAACTTCAGAACCATTACTATTCTACTTCACCACCCTGCTGCTAATCAATTCTGAAAGACACAAAATAAAGCCAACGCTGAATATCCTTTCACATTAGAAAGGAGGTGAATCTCAGTTTACTTGCCACTCCCCATTTTAATCATCTTTCTTAAATAAGATCTCCACAGTAATGACCGTAAGTCCTGGTGGAGACTCAGCTGACTGCATATGGCATCAGTGTAAAGAATAAAGAAAATGCCATAAAAACTAACCACTCTCACCCCCAGCATTTACCAAGGACTTTCTTATGAGGCATTAGACAGATGCTCCTGATAGCCACTACAATTTGGAAGCCCTTAGAACACTGAAGAAATTTGTATGGTAAGTCTAAACTTCATTGAACTATTTTGTGAAGCATAAAGCAGTTGAGTCCATGCAGAAACATTTACAACATAGCTTTATATGCTATTTGAATTAAATGTTTAGAAACAGAGTCATTTTCCATTTTCATTTGTTTTTGTGACTATGTATGAATTTTTAGCGTATAAAAAAAGGGTTTCCCAGAAATGACTTCCCAATTTATACTATTATGCATAAGGGTTCTAAATGTTAACTGTTCAACTTGCAATGACAATCCAGGAGCCAATTAGGTTGGATGGTCTCTGGTACATACAGCAAACCTAACGATATGTACCTAAAAAAGATAGTTCTACTCTAACTTAGATTCCAGAGAAAGAACAGTTATCCCTACCTGTGTAACAAACCTGCACATCCTGCACACGTACCTCAGAACTTAAAAAAAAATTAAAAATAATTTTTAAAAAAGAACAGTTATCCCAAATAACAATTTTAAGAAATTAAAAATTGTATCATCAGCCGGGCATGGTGGCTCACACCTGTAATCCCAGCACTTTGGGAGGCTGAAGTGGGTGTATCACCTGAGGTCAGGAGTTCAAGACCAGCCTGGCCAACATGGTGAAACCCCATCTCTACTAAAAATACGAAAATTGGCTGGACACGGTGGCGCATGCCTGTAATCCCAGCTATTTGGGAGGCTGAGGCACGAGAATGGCTTGAACCCAGGAGGTAGAGGTTTGCAGTGAGCCGATATCCAGACTGGGTGACAGAGCGAGACTAGTCTTAAAAAAAAAAAAAAAGTATCAACATATTAGGGTCATCAGGGTTTACTGAAAACAATGCTGAGATGTTGCTTAAGACTTTTTTGTCCTGGAACTAGCAATTTTTATCTTACGAATTCAGTAGTATATACAGAAGGAGCAGGATTGAGAAAAAAAAAAGGTAGTGTAAGCTGACCAAATGAAAGCTTTCTTTCTGAAAAAGAACTACAATAAATTTAATGTGTTGCTAAAAATCTATACTATCTTTGAGCCGAAATAAGAAGTCCCCCTCCTGTAATCCTTTCTGCTAATCTATATTTTTTTCTTCATATTTCTACTCAACCCTTTCTCAAAAACTTCTACTTGATTAATCCCACATGTACCCAATCACTGGCATCCAAGCATGCATATTTAAATCAAAATAACTGTATTTGTTTCTCGCTTGAATCTTTTATGTTCATCTTACCGCATCAATATATTTAGCAGCTCTCTTTTGTCCTGAACATTAATGCATTTTATGATTCATTAACAGCACTTAATTTAGGCTAGCAATATAAAAGTACCCAAAGATAAAAAATCAATTTTCTCATTTTTAATTCTAATATACCCTGAGTACTTAACACTCTGTATCATAGGTTTGTGTGCAAATTTTCTCTCTCTTTTTTGAGATAGTGTCTCGCTCTGTCACCCAGGCTGCAGTGCAGTGGCACAATCTTGGCTCACTGCAACCTCTGCTTCCTGGGCTCTAGCAATCTTCCCACCTCAGTCTCCCAAGTACCTGGCACTACAGGCACGCACTACCAAGCCCAGCTAATTTTTGTATTGTTTTTATAGAGGCGGGGTTTTGTCATGTTGCTCAGGCTGGTCTTGAACTCCTGAGCCCAAGACATCCACCCACCTTGGCCTCCCAAAGTGCTAGGATTACAGGCATGAGTCATTGCACCCAGCTAATTTTCTTTTACTTCATCTAAATTGCTTAAAGCATTCTACCAATGCAACATAGGAAGTCCACAGGAATATACTTTAATGGCTGAATAGTTAAGAGCCCTAATTGGTTTATTACCACTTGATGCCTAAATTGATATCAGCTTATAAGATTAAAAATAACTAAGGCCAGGTGTGGTGGCTCGTGCCTGTAATCCCAGAACTTTGAGAGGCCAAGGCAGGAGGACCACCTGAGGTCAGGAGTTCGAGACCAGCCTGACCAACATGGTGAAACCTCGTCTCTACTAATACAAAAATTAGCCGGGCATGGTGGCAGGCACCTGTAATCCCAGCTACTCAGGAGGCTGAGGCAGGAGAATCACTTGAACCCAGGAGGCGGAGTTGCAGTGAGCCAAAATCGCGCCACTCCAGCCTGGGCGACAGAGCGGGACTCTGTCTCAAAAAATAATAATTATATAATTTTCATTTTACAAGGCAGTTCTAAAAACAATACTGAACCATAGTCTCATGCTCACTTTGGCAGCACATATATTGAACAATAATCTGTTATGTTTCTTGACTTGATAACATTTTATACATTTTAAATCCAAATACTATGGGGATAATATTTGGGGAAACCTAGCTATAAATGAAACTGATGCAAATCCAATTCGGCCATTTTACTGATTTAACCTATATTAGGGAAAAGGTCTGTTAGTCAAAGCTGAAAGAAAAGGCAGCTTATTATCTTCAAAGAGAGAACTCACACCAGGCTAGCAAAAGAAGCTTTATCCGTCCTCAGAAAAAGGCAATATTACAAGTAAGCTTTTTAGGAACAGTTTAACCAGTTCATGTAAAACCGATCAGAAACAGCACACGTGGCTAGGTGTGGTGGCTCACACTTATAATCCCAGCACTTTCAGGAGGCTGAGGCAGATCGCACAAGGCCGGTTGAAGACTAGCCTGAGAAACATAGGGAGACTATCTATAAACAATTTTTAAAATTAGCCAGGTGTGGTGGCACATGCCTATAGTCCCAGCTACTCGGGAGGCTGAAGCAGAAGGATTGCTTGAGCCTAGAAGTTCAAAGCTGCAGTGAGCTATGATCGCTGCATTCCAGACTAGGTGACAGAGTGAGACTGTCTCTCAAAAGAGGGGAAAAAGAAGACAAAAAGGCACACATCTGTGTGTTCTGATACGAGAAGACATCCAAACCATTACTAAGTGAAAAAGCTGCTTGCTAATTTTTTATGTTAGTATAGTATAGAAAAAACGGTTGAGAAATATGCACTAAATTTCTGATAGTGGTTATCTCTCAATGGAATATTTGGAAAATGAACTCCAGGCTTTCATCTTTTGCATTTTTCTCTGATACATGAATCTTTTACTTTAATAGAAAAAAAAACAGATTTTAAAAAATTTATAAACTTTACTTCTGATGAGTGGAGCAAATCACATTTGAAAGTTCTGGGTCACTCATTATGATTATGAGGACTGAAATGAAAGCATCTAGCCCACTGCCTAGCATACAGGAAAAGCTCAATAAATGTTAGTGTACTTCCAGTTCTGCAATGTGTTCTAATGCAACCAAGTTTTATACCAACCCGCCAGTAGAGTTTTTTAACTGCTGCTTATTCCAGCTTCTCCTTTGCTATTAGGTCCCACTTTTGCTGCTGTCAGTATACCCACCTTTAGAAGTACCTTCTACCACATATTGCTTCAAATCTGCCACAAACTCTTTCAGCTCCCAGAACATCTTAACTGTGCCTCTTTTATAGCAACTTATTCTCTTTCAGTTATTCATAAACCTTTATTAGCTCCTTCAAACTTTGAGTGTCTACACAGAAAAATACTTGTATTCATTTTTGTATCCCCCATCAGAGCCCTACTATGACAGTCACTCAAATATCTGTACGCACAAATAGACATAAGCTATCCCTGTGACCAAAAAAAAAAGGTCAGGCCGGGCATAGTGGCTCACGCCTGTAATCCCAGCACTTTGGGAGGCCGAGGCTGGCACTGCTTGAGCCCAGGAGTTTGAGACCAGCCTGGGCGACATGGCGATACCCCATCTCCACAAAAGATACAAAAATTATCCAGGTGTGGTGGAATGGGCCTGTAGTCCCAGCTACTTCGGAGGCTGAGGTGGGAGAATTGCCTGAGCCCGGGAAATGGAAATTGCAGCGACCTGAGATCCCACCACTGCACTCCAGCCTGGGCAACAGGGCAAGACCCTGTCTCAAAAACAAATGAACAAACAAAAAGTTCAAAGAGGATCCCAAAACAACTTGGGACAGTTTAACACTAATGTTTTAATTTTAATATAGGACTTAGGTCAATAGGCTCTTGAATAGTTTTTATAGTCTAGTCAGAGGTAAAGCACATGGATGAACACTGTGGCAGTTACTTTCCTATCCAGTTTTAGATTTTCAGCTTACTTTTATGTCTAAAGTTGTATTCCAAAGAATTTGAACTATTAAGTAGTCTGTACGCTAGCTAAATAGAAGATTATGTACTACAATATTACAGAGGTTCCTTAAGGGTAGTGCTGACTCTCCAAGTAGTCAAAATTTTAGAATCTCTGCCACTTCTCTGTAGCAAGTATCTTTTCTCTTGCACACACTCAACTTTCTCCCAGACGGAATTAGTATGTATTCCATAGCCATTACTGTGGTTGCAAAATGTAGACTTTCACAGACCCGGAAGATATCTACGTTTTGACAGATACATAGATTCCTTCCAGACCCAAAGAACGATAGGTAGAACTGGTGAAGTAGAAGAGGTTAAAGGTGGAAATTATGCAGAAAAACAGCTACCTATCCACAAATTAACCATTTTGATATCTACTTCAAAGACTACATCAACATGCCAATTCTTATTTAAAAAGAGATGCTTGTAAAAAGGTCCGAAAATGGCTAGGTACAGTGGCTCATGCCTGTAAATCCCAGCACCCTGAGAGACCGATGCTGGTAGATCACTTGAGGCCAGGAGTTCAAGACCATCTTGGCCAACGTAGCGAAATCCCATCTCTGCTAAAAACATAAAAATTAGCCAGGCATGGTTGCAGGCGCCTGTAGTCCCAGCTACTTAGGAGGCTGAGGCACAATAATCGCTTAAACCCAGGATATGGAGGTTGTGGTGAGCTGTGATTACACCACTGCACTCTACCCTGGGCAACAGAGTGGGACCCTAGCTCAAAAAAAAAAAAAAAAAAAAAAAAAAAAGTCTGAAAATGGGTTGCCCAAAGCCCACTTTAATTTTAAAAATTACCAAATTTATGATTATAGTTTGACTCAATTTTTCAGATTCTCTCAAACTCTAATTCTATCTTTGGACTGAATGATGACTACACAATGAGTCCAAAATGTTCCTTTGTTGTATGATTTCCACATCTTTTTTCCTGATTTAATTCTCCAGTTCCAGGGGAGGGGACAGAAGATGGGTGAATCATCCAAGTATTTGAGTTCCAGTTCACCATTCTTCCAGCGTTTCGTTAAACAATGATTGTGTTTGCTCAAAAAAAAAAGACAATGAGAACAAGGCACAGTGGCCCATGCCTGTAGTCCAAGCTACTCAGGAGGCTAAGGTGGGAGGGAGGATCCCTTGAGCCCAAGAGGCCATCTGGGCAACATAGTGAAGTAAAAAAAAAAGGAAATAATACTTAGATGCCTTAAAATCTGTTTGCATGGCGTTCTTAGAAGACCACATAGGCCGGGCGTGGTGGCTCATGCCTGTAATCCCAGCACTTTGGGAGGCTGAGGCGGGCGGATCACGAGGTCAGGAGATCGAGATCATCCTGGCTAACATGGTGAAACCCTGTCTCTACTAAAAATACAAAAAATTAGCCGGGCGTGGTGGCGGGTGCCTGTAGTCCCAGTTACTCGGGAGGCTGGGGCAGGAGAATGGTGTGAACCCGGGAGATGGAGCTTGCAGTGAGCTGAGATCGTGCCACTGCACTCCAGCCTGGGCGACAGAGCTAGACTCCGTCTCAAAGAAAAAAAAAAAGACCACATAAAAATGTGGGATGATCATCTTAAAAAACAAACAAAAAACTATGTCTGTCCACTATATAGAAATTGTTAACTTTTGGAGTTTCCTTCCAGTTACAATAGGGGAATTTGATTCCAAGTTGTAATGGCAAAGATAGCTATTGCAGCCCTTACATCACCACTGGCATGTCTCAAAAAGTGAAATAAAATCAGCGGGGCACAATGGCTCATGCCTGTAATCCCAGCACTTTGGAAGGCTAAGGCGGACAGATCACATGGGGCCAGGAGTTCAAGACCAGCCTGGGCAACATAATGAAACTGTCTCTACTGAAAATACAAAAATTAGCTGGGCATGGTGGCACGCACGCCCGTATTCCCAGCTACTTGGGAGGCTGGGGCATGAGAATGGCTTGAGCCTGGGAGTCGGAAGTCGCAGGGAGCCAAGATTGCACCACTGCACTCCAGCCTGGGTGACAGACTGAGACTCTGTCTCAAAAAAAATAAAATAAAGTGCATGTTCCCCAATGAAGACACTGAAATATTAATAAGACATCTACATGAATGGCAACATTCTATAATATAGCTTTTTAAAAAAATCAGATTTATTACATCATTTCATCCTGAGAAGCAACCCTATAAGGCGGGGGGTTCATTTAATACGTGAAAAAAGACTAAAGCTCACAGAGTTTAAACTACTTGTTCAAAGCCATACAGCTAATCATAAATGGCAGAACCCAAAACCAAGAGCACAGTGAAAGAAATGATTTTGTAAATCAGTCCTCCTTGAATCTAAATCCTGTCTACTACCTGTGTTAAGACTGGAAGGAAAGCTCCATGACTTGGTTTTTTGTTCACTGCTCTATTTCCAGCATCTAGAACAGTGCAAGCGTACAGATGATCAATAAATACATGTTGAACAATTACAAAAAAAAAAATCACTTCTTTTGATCTGTTTCCTCATCTGTAAATGGAAATATTAAGTTCTTGCCTCCCATCTACTGATATAATATAGACACAAAACATCTGGTAAGTATTTAAGAACAGACTCAACTTCCAATTTAGTGTTCCTGTCACAAGACTTCTCCTGTAGGCTCTAAGGAAGTAGCAGAGAACAAATGTCAGTGCATTTGGCAGGCAAGCTAGGTGGTAATCAGGGTGTGGAGGAGAGTTGAACAACTAAATAATAACTAAATCATGCTTTCTTTCCCCTATCTTTGCCAAGTAGTCAGCTATTCTCTTTACTACTCTGTCACAACAATAACAAAGGATCTTTTAAAATAATCTGTTACCTGATTGCTTCTTTGAAAGCATAAAGTCTTGGTGGAGAGGAGGAAGCACCTAAGCTATACTTGTAAAGATGCAAAAAAGACAAGGGAAGGTCAGGCGCAGTGATTCACGCCTGTAATCCCAGCACTTTGGGAGGCCGAGGCGGGTGAATTATTTAAGGTCAGGAGTTTGAGACCAACCTGGCCAATGTGGTGAAACTCTGTCTTTACTAAAAATACAAAAAAATTAGCCAGGCGTGGTGGCACACGCCTGTAATCTCAGCTACTCGGGAGGCTATGGCAGGAGAATTGCTTGAACCCAGGAGACACAGGTTGCAGTTAGCTGAGATGGTGCCACTGCACTCCAGCCAGGGCGACAGAGCAAGACCCCATCTCAAAGATAAAAGACAAGGGGAGATAGTTAAAAGTAAATGAGACAATAAGAAAAGAATATTGAAGCGAGCAGATCTGAGTACCTATACCAACTAATTCAACACAAGAATGGTCTCTATCTGATTTCTCTGTAATTCTGCAGTCCCTTTACTGGAAATCTAGGAGATAAGTGATGTTAAATAACTTGCCAAAAAGTTATACAGGTAGTAAGTATGTGCTGAAGGCACAATTCAAACCAAAGGAAATCTAGTCAATTTAGGCAAGTTTATATCTTAAAGTTATTTTAACTGAAATTTAAGTGAAAGGGATAGAGAGAGAAGGATATATGATGCGGAACTCAGGATCTAAAGTTAAAATTGTGGGCTGTGTGCGGTGGCTCACATCTGTAATTCCAGCATTTTGGGAGGCCAAGACGGGTGGATCACTTGAGGTCAGGAGTTCGAGACCAGCCTGGCCAACATGGCAACTCCCTGTCTAAAAATACAAAAATTAGCCGGTCATGGTGGTGGATGCCTGTAATCCCAGCTACTCAGGAGGCTAAGGCATGAAATTCGCTTGAACCCGGGACACAGAATCTGCAGTGAGCCGAGGTCACGCTACTGCACTCCAGCCTGGGCGACAGAGTGAGACTCCATCTCGAAATAAAATAAAATAAAATGTTAAAATTACAAGTCATCTTTGAAGTTTAATCATAACATAAAATTTAACTTTCAATAGAAAATTAAAGTCAATAGAAAAAAAAATTAACTACCACATAAGCCTCAAGTCAACGGCAGTATTACTCCCCCAGTAAAATGCTACCATATTCTATAGCAATTCAAAATGTATACAATACACACATACATACATATACATTTTCATTTTAATCTCGCAATAACCCAAAAGGATGTCATTTGTCCAACAAAGTCTAACTCCAAATCCTGCCCTTCGCTATCACTACCTCCCTCCCATAAAACTTTTCTCAAACTATAAACAAAAAGCAGAGATAAAGGTATCCTATTAAAACCAAGTGTTGGCTCGGCACAGTGGCTCATGCCTGTAATCCCAGCACTTTGGGAGGCTGAGGTTGGCGGATCACCTGAGGTCAGGAGTTCGAGACTAGCCCTGCCAAGATGGCAAAACCCCATCTCTACTAATGATACAAAATTAGCTGGGCTTGGTGGTGCGGGCCTGTAATCTCAGCTACTCAGGAGGCTGGGGCACAAGTATCGCTCGAACCCAGTAGGCGGAGGTTGCAGTGAGCTGAGATCGCGCCACTGCACTCCAGCCTGGGCGACAGAGTGTAACTACGTCTCAAATAATAATAATAATAATATAATAATACCAAGTGTTAAGTTTAGCCTAATGCTGCTTCCTTATATATTTTAAGTTCAGCCTAAAGGTTTCTCTGTACATGGTTAACTATAATCTAACTGGGTGTATACACAGACTATAACCTACTCTTGTAACAAGTAGCTAAGTCTCAGCCAATCACAGCAGCCATACTTCAACCACTCACAGGCAGCAAACTGTTCAAACCGTGTTCAAATAAGGCAAACGACAAGCTGCAACCAATCTGGCTATTTCTGTACCTCACTTCCATTTTCTGTATGTCTCTTTTCTTTTTCTGTTCATAAATCCTCTTCAACCATACAGCAGCACCAGAGTCACTCTGAACCTATTTCTGGTTCAGGGGGCTGCCTGATTTGCTAATTGTTCTTTCGTCAGTTAAGCTCTGTTAAATTTAATTTGTCTTAAGTTTTTAACACAAGTGGAGAATGCAGGGATGTTTATTGTATTTTTATTCTTTATTTCTTAATTATTTGTTACATATATTTAAAATGTCTTGGGCCAGGCATGGTGGCTCACATCTTAATCTCAACATTTTGGAAAACCAAGGCTAGCAGACTGCTTGAGCCCAGGAGTTCAAGACCAGCCTGGGCAACATGGCGAAACCCTGTCTCTACAAAATACAGAAAAATTAAAAGGTAGCTGGGTGTGGTGGCACACATCTGTGGTCCCAGCTACTCAGGAGGAGGCTAAGGTGGGAGGATCACCCAAGCCCAGGAGGTCAAGGCTGCAGTGAGCCGTGATCACGCCACTGCACTCCAGCCTTAGTGACAAGAGTGAGAAACTATCTCAAAAAATAAATAAATAAGTAAGTAAAGGGCTTTTTACCCTTATTGCACACTTAAGAAAAAGAACAAAAAATGGAACAGAAACATACTTGTAGCAGTATAACAAAGAGCTTAATATGCCTAGTATTTAATATAAATCTCCCACAAACATACTAATAACAAGCCAAAAGAAAAATAAGCAAAGGATTGGAACAAGCAAGCTAAACACTGAGATATCATCCAATCTGGCAAAGGTTAAAAGACTTATTCAGTGTTAGTTAAGTGTGGGGAACCTAGGCCTAGCCTCAATGCCACACTGAACTTGGATGCTCTTGAGTTACCTTATTCACAACTTTAATATTTAGCAAGTCTGCATGTTTGTCTCTCTCTTAACTGAACTCAAGAGCATCTTTTTTTTTTTTTTTTTGAGACCAGATCTTACTGTCACCTAGGCTGCAGCACAGTGGCGCAATATAGCTCACTGCAGCCTAGAATTCCTGGGCTCGTGATCCTCCTGTTTCAGCCTCCTGAGTAGCTAGGACTACAGGCACATGCCATCATGCCTGGCTTTTTCATTTTTTAATTTTTGTAGAGACAGGGTCTCACCGTGTTGCCTAGGCTGCTTAGAGCATCTTAATTCTTTCCAAAACCCCAATATACCCAGCCCAGTATCTAGCCTGTAAGAAGCAATTATGAGGCCGGGTGCGGTGGCTCATACCTTTAGTCGCAGCACTTTGAAAGGCTGAGATGGGTGGATCACCTGAGGTCAGGAGTTCAAGACCAGCCTGGTCAACATAGTGAAACCCCATCTCTACTAAAAATGCAAAAATTAGCTGGGTGTGGTGGCGGGCGCCTGTAATCCCAGCTACTCGGGAGGGTGAGGCAGGAGAATCGCCTGAACTCGGGAGGCAGAGGTTGCTGTGAGCCAAGATTGCGTCACTGCACTCTAGCCTGGGGCAGTGAGAACGAAACTCGGTCTCAAAAAAAAAAAAAAAAAAAAGTCACTTATGAGTAACACAAAGATGTCCATGAAACACAAAATCAGAGCAATCAGAAAATAACAAGGCCTGATTTGAGTGCAAAGATGGCTAAACTGATACATTACTTCCTGAGGCTTCTGCATCTTTTTTCTTTTTTTTTTTTTTGAGACAGAGTCTCGCTGTGTCACCCAGGCTGGAGTGCAGTGGCGCAATCTCGGCTCACTGCAAGCTCCGCCTCCCAGGTTCACATCATTCTCCTGCCTCAGCCTCCTGAGTAGCTGGGACTACAGGTGCCCGCCACTACGCCTGGCTAACTTTTTGTATTTTTAGTAGAGATGGGGTTTCACCGTGTTAGCCAGGATGGTCTCGATCTCCTGACCTCATGATCTGCCCGCCTTGGCCTCCCAAAGTGCTGGGATTACAGGCTTGAGCCACAACGCACCCAGTCTCTTCTTCATTTTAGAGGTAGGGTCTTGCTGTGTCACCCTAGCTGGAGTGTAGTTGGCATGATCATGTAGTCGGCTCACTTGCATTCCTGGGCTCAACTGATCCTCCTGCCCAAGTATAGGCATGAGCTAAGGGACAATAGACATGAGCTAAGCTTCTCCATCTTACCATCTACTAAAGGCAAAAAATTGAGATCATCCATGATTTCATCATCCATGATTTCTCCTTTCCCACACATTCCCCTGCCCAAACCAGCATCCATCCAATCCATGAATAAATCGTGTTAGTTCTCCACCCAAAATATCCTGAATCCATCCAATTCTCTCCATTTGTACTGCTGCCATCTGATTCAAAGTTCTTATCTGCACTAGAAAGCCTGTTGTAGTAGCCTCCAAACTGGTTCCAGGATTTCCATGCTTGACCTCGTTTCAATCATTTCACCAAACAGCAGCCAGAGCAATATTTTAAATTATTTCCACTTCAGGCCTCTCCCTCTGTCTAGAGAGTTCTTGACATGTTTGGTTCCTTCTCCTTCATTCTGTTCTCAGAGTTAATGTCACTTCCTCCACAGCAACATTCTCTGACCACCCTAGCTCAAGTGCCAACCACTTCCTCCCCTCACTCTCTACCATACCACTGCCTTCAAAGCACTTCTATTTGAAATTTGTTTTGCATTATTTATACTTCAACAAATACCTGCTCTGCTCACATACTATGTGCCATTTTAAGTGCTAGCAATACAGCGAACAAAAATTCCTGAGCTCATGGAGCTTACATTCTGGTGGAGGAAACCACCAACAACAAAATAAATAAAGAAAATATGTTAATAGTGCCAAGGTGAACAAAAAACAAAGCATGGAAGAGAAATATAAAATGTTGAGGCGATGACTGAACTGTATCCTCGAAAATGGTTAAGATGACTAATTTTATGTTGTGTATTTTTCCACAATTAAAAAAAAATTTTTTTTTGAGACAGACTCGTGCTTTGTTGCCCAGACTGGAGTGCAGTGGCGTGATCTCGGTTCACTGCAACTTCCACCTCCTGGGTTCAAGCAATTCTGCCTCAGCCTCCTGAGTAACTGGAATTATAGGCACATGCCTGTAATTGACTATTGACTACTCCCTTGTCAATAGTGCTCACAGCAAGTTACAGAGAAGAAAAAACATCCAGCTAATTTTTGTATTTTTTGTAGAGATGGGGTTTTGCCATGTTGACCAGGCTGGTCTCGAACTCCTGACCTCAGGTGATCCACCTGCCTTAGCCTCCCAAAGTGCTGAGATTACAGGCTTGAGCCACCACACCTGGCCCACAATTTAAAAAATTTTTATCAAGAATGTTTTAAAAGTTGGGGCGAGGGTGGGGAGGCAAAAAATAAATAAATTTTAAAATAAAATAAAATAATTAAAAGTTGGGGCGAGGGTGGGGAGGCAAAAAATAAATAAATTTTAAAATAATAAAATAATTAAAAGTTGGGGCAAGAAAATGCTAAATTTCAGATAGGACAGAAGGCTTCAATGAAAGTGATATGGAGGAAGACATGAAGAAGTAAAAGAACTCACCACGTTGATATCTGGGGAAATAAATTCCAGACAAAGAGAAGAGTAATGCAAAGGCCCTGAGGCAGGGATCATGCCTGGCATATTTGAGAAGCAGCAAGTATGTCTGGCTTTGTGAGTCGGGGAGCCATTAATCCATAACACCTAAATCAGTGTCTGGTATAAAAAAGGAACTCAAATATATGACTACTGTATAGCAGCAAGACTGGTACAGGTACATCCCTTTAAAAGGTAAATTATGTTGTTATTTCACACTTCATAGGACAGTGTGGTTGATTTATAAGATCCACAGAAAAGGCCAGGTGCAGTGGCTCACATCTATAACCCTAGCACTTTGGGAAGCCGAGGTGGGATTATTGTTTGAGCTCAGGAGCAACATAGCCAGACCTCATCTATACTAAAAGTTAAAAAAATAAATAAATCAGCCAGGTGTGGTGGCACATGCCTATAGTCCCAGCTACTCAGGAGGCTGAGGCGGGATGACTGCTTGAGGCTGAGAGATTGAGGCTGCAGTGAGTTCTGATTGTACCACTGCACAGTCTGGGCAACAGGGCCAGACCCTGTCAAAAAAAAAAAAAAAAATCCACAGAAAAACAACAGCGTAACTTAATTTTAAAAGGGAAAGAGGTTTTCAGTTATTTCTAAATACTTTTCCTGATGATTTTCTGCTATTGGTTGAAAAAATTTAATTACTTAGCTTAAAAACTTACTAGATTATCCACTGGCATCTTGAGACCCCTTTTCTACTTAACTCTTAACTGAGCCTCCTTTAAATCATGATTTTCCTATAATTCATCATCCCCAATTAATCTTTTTCATATGCCACCTCTTAGTATTTTGTTTTTACTATTCTTACCTTACTTACTACTCCCTTGTCAATGGTGCTCACAGCAAGTTACAGAGAAGACAAACAAAATAGCTTTGTAAAAGATGCCAACCTTAAGGATATATTAGTAAAATATACATATGAATTCTAATTCGTGCTGTCTCCAGTCTTTGGAGGAGTTGAGGAGTTGGGGAGTCTCTAGTCTCAAGTTCCACAACCTCCACCCTCCCCAAACGCCCCAACCCTATGGTACTTATAATCTAAGTGATCATGGGAACAAAGGACCTAAGGAGTGGATCTAATAACTGTAACCATTCTTAGTTTTTAGATAAAAATAACTAATAAAGTACTGTTCTCTTGTTCTTACAAGCACATTTCAGATTAACCCAATTCTATGCTTAATTATTTAAATGCATTAGGACAAGAGTTCCATAGTTTTTTTGTTTTGTTTTGTTTTTTTAACAGAGTACATTCAGAATGTTGTACTTAAGGGAGGAAAACTTCAGGCACAATCACCAATTATGAATGGCCAATATAGGCTGGGCTTGGTAGCTCAGCCTGTAATCCCAGCACTTTGGGAGGCCAAGGCAGGTGGATTACTTGAGTTCATGAGTTTGAGAGCTGCTGGGGCAACATGGTGAAACCCCGTCTCTACAAAAAATACAAAAATGAGTTGGACATGGTGGAATGCACCTGTAGTCCCAGCTACTCAGGAGGCTGAGGTGGGAGGATGGCTTAAGCCTGGGAGGTAGAGGTTGTAGTGAGCTGAGATGGAGCCACTGCACTCTAGCCTGGGCAACAGAGCCAGACCTCATCTATACCAAAAGTTAAAAAAAAAAAAAAAAAGCAAAAAAAAAAAACAAAAACAAACCCAGAGCCAGACTTTGTCTCACACAATAAAAAGAATAGCCAATGTATTAAGAAATTAAGCCTTAGGCCAAGCGCAGTGGCTTACACCTGTAATCCCAGCACTTTGAGAGGCCAAGGTGGGTGGATCACCTGAGGACAGGAGTTCAAGACCAGCCTGATGAAGTCCCGTCTCTACTAAAAATACAAAAATTAGCTGGGTGTGGTGGTGGGTGCCTGTAATCCCAGCTACTCAGGAGGCTGAGGCATAAGAATCACTTGAACCTGGGAGGTGGAGGTTACAGTGAACCGAGATCTTGCCATTGCACTCCAGCCTGGGCAACAAGAGCGGAACTCCGTCTCAAAAAAAAAAGAACTTAATTACTTGCCAAAAATCAAACCCAAATAAATTATATCTTAATATAAACACATTTGGTTGCTTGGCTTTTTAAGATTCAAGTAGAGTAGCACCTAACAATTAAAATGGATTATATTAATTTGTTAAGACATTAATTCTAACATTACATACAAACTTATAATGATTCTTCAAATAAGATAATAGTAACAACATAAATAACTTTTGGCTTCTAAAGTTTAAAATCGAGAAAAAAAAAATTTGTATTCAGGTCAATAATGGGGGCAGGGCATCCAAAAAACAGTTAATACCTAAAGTCAAGAGGCTACAAGAGGTTTTAATGCATATAAAGTTTATTATTATAAATGTCAGTGACTAGCCAATCACAAAGCTTCAGACTTGAGGAAAACATTGATAATTTTTCATTTATTGCCATAGATTGTGTCATTTTCAATGTTCATATAAAAATCCACTTTATTTCTGAAGAGCTCGGTGAAAGGGAAGAGCACTAACCCTGCATTTGTATACTACAGAAAGGAGAAGTGTATTGTATGTGAGTTACAGCTCAATAAAGCAATGTGAGAAAGTATGAAAGAAGGAGAACTTAGTGGAGTATATAAAACTCAATCCTGGTTTTGTTAAATAAAACACTAAAACCAATAAATAAATACTGGCATATTTAAACTATTAGGTGACATAATGAGGACACAGTAGATACCATTAGCTAAAGATTTCTACTCCTAAAGATGGAACTTCCATATAATAGAACTTTATTATACAGTAAATTAAAGAGAAGGAAGGTGGCTTATGTAACAAAGGACTAACCTTCAAGATCTTTTAAGTGAAAAGGGATCTAGAGTATGTATGTTCTTTTGCATTAAAAAGGGAAGGAATTTGTGCACGTTTGTTACATAAGACACATGTTATATATACACATACAGACGCATGCACGTATATGTTTTTGGTGGCATATATATAAATTAGCTTTGGAAAGATATACAAGAAACAGCTAACACCGGGGCTATCTGTGGGTTAACAGAATAGCTAGAGCATAGTAAAAGGGAAGATTTCCTTAGGTCACCACTTTGTGTGTTTTGGATTTTGAGCAATGTGAATATAAACTTACCAAGAGGAAAAATTAAAAGTACTTTACCTTGCACCATTGTTCCTAATGACTTCCACAGTTTCTTCGACAAAATATCGATCCTTGACATATGCAAAGATATCATCACAAATTTCATGTAAGCGCGAACGATGGGTAAGGCTGGTCAAGTATAAAACTGGAATAATTAGTGGTTCTGGAAAACTCTGAAGATTCTGTCTTGCTTTTTTTTCTGACTCAAGTGCTTCCTGATACGTCAGTCCAGGTCTACCCGTCACAGCACAACTCCACACAAGGCTGTTGCACAGAATGGTTCGTTCAAAAAAGTCACTGATTAAAAAACAAAAACAAAAACAAAAGCCCATTACCTATCATTTCACAAATTTTACATTAAAAACTGATAGCATTATCAGGTTATTTTTGTGCCTTTAATGCAAAATTTTATGTAGACTCACAGAACTCAAGGGTTTGGTAACTGGTCAACTTATAACATTAATACAAACATAAGAAAAAGTATATTTAAACTAAATATTTATATTTTGCAATTTAAAGGTACATCAGTCAAAACCAGACTTTGAGTTCCATCTGCTTTTCAGTGAAAAACTGAAAACTTTAAGCAGCTAACAAGAAAAAAGCTAAATAAAGTAGTACTTTATATAATGAAAAATCAGTCATTAAAAAGTATAAAGTTCTTAATTAACATTTCCATTAATGTTAATAGAAAAATACCTATTTTCAGTTTGATCTCTCCTGTATTTTCTTGAAACTATATGATGATCTCATTTGTGTTATAAAAAAAAAAAAGAGGAAAAGAGAAAAAGGAAAGAAAATAAAAGGTACCTATAGAAGCATAGGTTTCTGGAATGTCATACAAAACTCGAGGTAACAGGCAGTAGTGATAAGACTGGGGAACCATTCTATTCAGTGCTCTTCTATTCTGCTGGAATTCCTTAATACGCGCATTTACCTATTTTCAAAAACTCTATCCACTCTCTCTTTTTTTTTTTTTTTTTTGAGACGGAGTCTCACTCTGTCACCCAGGCTGGAATACAGTGGCCGGATCTCGGCTCACTGCAACCTCCACCTCCCAGGTTTAAGCGATTCTCCTGCCTCAGCTTCCCGAGCAGCTGGGATTACAGGTGCCCGCCACCACGCTCGGCTTTTTTTTTTTTTTTTTTTTTTTTTTTTTGAGATGGAGTTTCACTCTTGTCGCCCAGACTGGAGTGCAATGGCGCGATCTCGGCTCACCACAACCTCTGCCTCCCAGGTTCAAGGATTCTCCTGCCTCAGCCTCCTTAGTAGCTGGGATTACAGGCATGTGCCACCACGCCCGGCTAATTTTGTATTTTTAGTAGAGACGGGGTTTCTCCATGTTGGTCAGTCTGGTCTCAAACTCCTGACCTCAGGCGATCTGCCTGCCTCAACCTCCCAAAGTGCTGGGATTACAGGTGTGAGCCACCGCGCCCGGCCATGCTCATCTAATTTTTATATTCTTAATAGAGATGGGGTTTCCTCATGTTGGCCAGGCTGGTCTCGAACTCTTGACCTTGTGATCCACCTGCCTCGGCCTCCCAAAGTGCTGGGATTACAGGCGTGAGCCACCATTCCCAGCCCTATCCACTCTCCTTTAAAATGCAAGAGATCTATATCACAGAAAGATTTCTAAGACATAATGGGTAGGAAAAACATGAATCAATGAATACACAATCCCATGTACATTAATTATAATAATCACAAAAATGTATGTACTTATATATATACTGTAAAGATATTCCCTATGGAGAAAGGAGGGGAGACTGGGAAGGAAGGAAAAGGAAAACTTTTTTTGTGATTCTAAATAATTCTATATTGTTTGAATTTTTTTTCTTTTTTAAGAGAGTCTCACTCTGTTGTCCAGACTGAAGGGCAGTGGTACAATCACCTAGGATCAAGCATTCTGTCTTGCCTCAGCCTCCTGAGTATTTGGGACTACAGGTGCACACCAGGACACTCACCTAATTTTTTTGAGAGTGTAGAGATGGGGTCTCACTATGTTGCCCAGGATGGTCTCAACTTCCTGGGCTCAAGCTATCTTCCCACTTCAGCCTCCCAAAGTGTTAAGATTATAGGAATGAGCCACCAGACCCAGCCTGTTTGAATTTTTATTTTTTTTTATGTATTTACTTTCCAGAGACAGAATCTCATGCTGTTGCCCAGGCTGGAGTGCAGTGGTACGATCTTAGCTCACTGCAAATTCTGCCTCCCTGGTTCCAGCAATTCTTGTGCCTCAGCCTCCCAAGCAGCTGGGACTACAGGTACATACCACTATACCTGGCTAATTTTTGTATTTTTAGTAGAGATGGAGTTTCATCATGTTGGCCAAGCTGGTCTTGAACTCCTGGCCTCAAACAATTCACCACCTCAGCCTCCCATAGTGCTGGGATTAGAGGCATGAGCCACCGCATTCAGTCCTGTTTAAATTTTTTTAATGAGCATTACTCATATATCATTTTGCAATAATTTTTTTTAAATGGAGTCCCACTCTGTCACCCAGACTGGAGTGCAGTGGTGCGATCTCAGCTCACTGCAACCTCCGCCTCCCAGGTTCAAGTGATTCTCCTGCCTCAGCCTCCTGAGTAGCTGGGATTACAGACGCGCGCCACCACACCCAGCTAATTTTTGTATTTTTAGTAGAGACGGGGTTTCACCATGTTGGTCTCGAACTCCTGACCTCGTGATCCACCCACCTCAGCCTCCCAAAGTGCTGGGATTATAGGCGTGAGCCACCGCACACAGCGCAATAAATTTTTTTTTTTTTTTTAAAGACAGAGTTCTCGCTCTGTCACCCAGGCTGGAGTGTAGTGGCATGATCTTGGCTCACTGCAACCTCCGCCTCCCAGGTTCAAGGGATTCACCTGCCTCAGTCTCCCAAGTAGCTGGGACTAAAGGCACATGCCACCATGCCTGGCTAATTTTTTGCATTTTCAGTAGAGATGGGGTTTCACCATGTTAGCCAGGATGGTCTTGATCTCCTGACCTGGTGATCTGCCCACCTCAGCCTCCCAAAGTGCTAAAATTACAGGCGTGAGCCACCACGCCCAGCCAATATAATTTTTTTTAAGTGTAAAAAGCCCACTGTGGTAGCATGAGCCTGTAATTCGAGCTACTCCGGAGGCCGAGGCAGGAGAATCGCTTCAGTCCAGGAGTTCAAGGCTACGGTGAGCCACAATCATGCCACTGCACTCCAGCCTGTGTAAGAGTGAGACTGTCTGAAAAAAAATTTTTTTATATATATGCATATGGTTATACATATGCAAAAGGGTTAACAATGGCTGCCTCTAAGTGGTAAGATACAGGTAAAATTTTTTCCTGCTTTACACTTTGTTCTACTTTTCTATATGTAACCATATAATTCATTATTCTTCAATTTTTTCTCCTTCCTGAAATCTTTACTTCTCCCGTCATTCTAAAAGTACTTAAACTGTTATATGTCTATTTCCTGGTTAGCACATCTATCTGTGTAGGTTATCTCTATTAGTTTGATCTCCAAAAATTGGGGGCAATTCCATTTAGATTGTTTCCTTTGTACATCTCTATAGAACAACTTTTTAAAAAGGTATCTACGGAAATAAAGCAAGAGAAACTAATCATACCTTAACTTAAATGAGATCTACAGAAATAGCATGCATATGCCAAGTTATATGGCTCTTAATTCAGTACAAAGAAGATCCTTTTGAACTAAAGTTTAGTTCAGGAAATAATCGGTGTATATCATCAAAAATACAAAGTAAAAAGCAGTTATCCTTATAAGCTAGAAGGCAGATATCCTAAGAATTCAGAGAAAGGGAAGGGAAGAATTCAGAAGGTAAAAAAAGATTTTTAAAAATACTATTAGAACTTTTTTGGGGGGAAGTAATGTTAACAGGTAGGTCTTAGCCAGACACGATGGCTCATGCCTGTAATCCCAGCACTTCGGCAGGCTGAGGCAGGAGGATCACTTGAAGCCAGGAGTTCGAGACCAGACTGCGCAACAAAGCGAGACCCTGTCTCCACCAAAAATTGAAGAAAAAAATTAGCCAGGGGGCGCACATCTATAGTCCTTGCTACTCAGGAGGCTGAGGTGGGAAGAGCACCTGAACCCAGGAGTTCAAGGCTGCAGTGAGCTATAATTACACCACTGCACTCCAGCCTGAGTGACAGAGCACAACCCTGTTTCTTAAAAAAGTTCTAGTTCAGGCACGGTGGCTCACATCTATAATCCCACCACTTTGGAAGATTGAGGCAGGAGAAATGCTTAAGCCCAAGAGCTCAAGACCAGCCTGGGTGACACGGCAAAACCCAGTCTCTACTAAAAACGGAAAAATTAGCCAGGTCCACGTGGTGGCACATGCCTGTAGTCCTAGCTACTCAGGAGGCTGAGGCAGGAGGAGCACTTCAGCCCGTGAGGCCGAGGTTGCAGTGAGCCAAGATCGCACCATTGCACTCTAGCCTGGGTGACAGAGTAAAACAATATCTCAAAAAAAAAAAAAAAGAAAAAAGTTCTAACTTTTTCCTATAGAAACAAACATATCTATAATATTTAGCTTCTCAAACCAGTACATAGTTAGCACATAGTGTACATTGGTATACTTTTTTCCTCTTTTTTAAAATTGATATATAACAGTTATACATATTAATACCTGTATACAATGTGTAATGATCAAATCGGGGTAACTGGGATATCCATCACATGAAGTATACTTCTAATAACTTAAACAATACTTAGTATTGCTTGAGAAAATTATACTTCAAATCTAAACATCTTATACTTTAGTCTGTAAGCCAGTGCTAGTAGAAATAGAATGGTTAGTCACATGTATAATTTTAAATTTTCTAGTGGTCACATTTAAAAATTTTAAAATAAAAATAACCCAATATATCACAAAATAATTTCATTTCAATACGTAATAAACATTTTAAAAATTAAGATACTTTACTTACATTCTTCTTTAAAAAAAAAAAAAATCCGCCGGGCATGGTGGCTCACGCCTATAATCCCAGCACTTTGGGAGGCCGAGGCAGGCAGATCGCGAGGTCAGGAGATCGAGCACATGCTGGCTAACACAGTGAAACCCCATCTCTACTAAAAATACAAATAATTAGCCAGGCGTGGTGGCACGCGCCTGTAGTCCCAGCTATTGGGGAGGCTGAGGCAGGAAAATCACCTGAACCCGGAAGGTGGAGGTTGCAGTGAGCTGAGATTGTGCCACTGCACTCCAGCCAGGGCAACAGAGCGAGACTCTGTCTCAAACAAAAAAAAGAAAAAAAAAATCCAATGTATATTTTACATTTATGTCTATCTTAATTCGGACTAATCACATTTCAAGTACTTAATAACCCATCTGGCCAAGTAATGGCTCCTGTTCTGGACAGCACAGCTCTAGCCACAGCAGCTAAGTGCCTGAGGTATTGAGTAGGTCACGCATGGGATATTTCATGCCATGGCAGGGGGACAGCTAAACGCAGTGAAGTGCAACAAACACGATTTAGACTTAACACTGCCTAAAAATACCAAGAACAGCAATGGCACAAATGCCACAACCAGTGATGTATAGCTGCCCTTTTATATCCCAAGGTTTCTACTATCTCCTACAAAATGTTTGTGCCATTTGTTTCCTTTGTGTCTATTTACTCTACAAAGTTATTGTTACATTATAGCTTCACTGTTCACAAAGACTTACCCTAAGGAGGCAGGACATGCTACCACAGTGGCCAATTTAAGGGAGAAAAGTCCAAGGGTCATCTCTCCCCTACTCATAACCCCCTAACAGCACAGCACCATCTCTAACATTACACACCTTCACTTTCTCCCACTTCTGTAATTCTGCTCACACTTTACCCATTTATCATACACATTTAAATGTGCAGAATTTGTTAATACTGAATTCTAGGGGGTTGGTTACAATGCCTCTTCAATTTCTACATTATTAAGAATGTAACTAACGAAACTTACAAGAAATACATTTTACTACTATAAGCAAAAATGATAACATACAAAGTATTTTTATATGAATGTAAATTTAGGCTAATACAGGTTATTAATGTCAGATTTATGACTGCGCTCTTTCAATCATCCTCTTCACTAAAGGTGGGCATCCTACTGGCACAGAGACCAAACCCTGCCCTCCACCTGTTTTTGTAGATTTTTTGGGGAACACAACTATACCTGTATTTTTAGGTGTTGTCAATAACTGCTTTCTCACTACATTTGCACAGTTGGATAGGTACAAGAGACCCTATGGCCAAGCAAAGCCTGAAATACTGATTATCTGGCCCTTTGCGGAAAAAATTTGATGACCCCTCCTCTTTACCATTATTTCATAAGGAAAAGTTGCTGAGTTACAAGGGACTTTCTTAAGAACGCACCTGTAATATGAAGTCAACCAACACTCTGGCGAACAAACTGAGGAACAAAGTGCAACATACTATTAATTTGTTGGGTATTGGGAAAACTAAAAAACTAAAAACCTAGTAGGGGAAGATTAAATTGTGACATAAAAATCAGAAACTAGGCCGGGTGCCGTGACTCACGCCTGTAATCCCAGCACTTTGGGAGGCCGAGGCGGGTGGATCACAAGTCAGGAGGTCAAGACCAGCATAGCCAAGATGGTGAAACTCCGTCTCTAGTAAAAATTCAAAAATTAGCTGGGCACGGTGTCAGGAGCCTGTAATCCTAGCTACTCGGGACGCTGAGGTGGGAGAATCGCTTGAACCAGGGTGGCAGAGGTTGCAGTGAGCCGAGATGGAGCCACTGCACTCCAGCCTGGGCGACACAGTGAGACTCCGTCTCAAAAAAAAACAGAAACAAAGTACAATTCAGATAAAAACAAAGTGTACTCTACTTAGGGGCCAAAACACACTCATTCTCTCTATGTATGTAAGTATGTATGTGTGTGTGTGTGTGTGTGTGTGTGTGTATAATACATGTATATATATACATAATATATACGTATATATTATATATGTATATATATACTCGATCTCGGGAGATCGAGACCATCCTGGCTAACACGGTGAAACCTCGTCTCTACTAAAAATACAAAAAAATTAGCCAGGCTTGGTGGCATATGCCTGTAGTCCCAGCTGCTCGGGAGGCTGAGGCAGGAGAATGGCATGAACCCGGGAGGCGGAGTTTGCAGTGAGCCGAGATCTCATGACTGCACTCTAGCCTGGGTGGTAGGGCCAGACTCCGTCTCAAAATAAATAAATAAATAAATAACATAACATAACATAAAATCAGATAATTCTTAGCAAATGCCCCTAAAATGTAAGTGCACTCAATAAATATTATCAATTCTTATTGTTCAGGTACCACATGTGCAGAGAGATCCTAGAAGAATAACCAGTATGGTAGAGAAACAATGTCAGAAAAACTCATGTTTTCAAGAGAGAAAGTTAGACATTTGGAAGGGGAGCAGAAAGAGACAGAACTATCTCAAACATCTGAAGATATTTCTTCTTGTCAGCTCCTGAGGGCAAGTGTAGGAAACAACAGAAATTCTAGGAAGAAAGAGTTTTTGAATCATTGTTATAGGTAGTATGGGGCAAACAACAAGGCAGGTCCACAAGTTCTTAGGATGGTTTTCATTGTGTTTTGATGGATAACATATATTAGACTATCAGTGAACACACAAAATCCAATCAGGATGACCCAACTATAAAATTGTAGCAACTGCTTGTGGTAGACTGTTTGCAAAGAGGTCTAAAGGTGTGCAGGCTCCTTTGAAATATGACATTCATGCTCTTCTCACCAAGAGCTGGAGTCTATTTCATGACCTCTTGAATCTGGGCTGACCTTGTAATCTGTTTTGACCAAAATAATAAAGAAATGATATTGAGTGACTTCCATTCTCACCCTCTTGAAACTCTAAGACCACCATGTGAAACAGCCTCTTTCTGAGGTTGAAAGACCACACGGTAACTAAAACCATCCCAGCTGAGTTCCCAGACCTGTGACTGAGGCTCTTACTCCAACCTGCCTCAGCCTAGCCTCCAGCTGACTGCAGCTAAGTGAGTGAGCCCAGAGGAAACCAGCAGAAAACAAATTGGCAATCCACAGAATAGTGAGCAAATAAAATGGGTTGTTATTTTGAGCCACCAAGTTTTGGGGTAGGTTGTTACTACAACCTACAATATTGCAGTAACTGATCAATGTATTGTCTGAAGAAAAAATGTATTTAAAACATCTGAAACTAAGTACGTGTCTGCTAAGTAGACAAAAGATAAAATTCAAAAAGTAAAGCATTTAGGAATCTCTGCTATACCATCCAGGAAAAAAGGACTCATGGATCCAAGTATCAGGACAATACGGCAGGCTTATTCCTTAAAAAGGAGCTAAACATCTCATTTAAAGACACTAGCTAAGAAAATTATCCAACTTCCTTTGAAAACCCCATGCTCACCAAATAGCCTTTGATTATAACTAGATTTCACACATAACTGACCATTAGTATAGGAATTGGTCAGTATGAAAGACATTCTTCCCTACTATAAATTGATGATGTTCTGATATGTCCATTGAATACCTAGAGCTTAATCACTTGGGGTATAGTAAAAAGCCAAATGTCTAAGCAGACAGTACAGAGTGGTATCTACACAAAGATCTAGGCAGCCAGTTTAAATTCCAGGCAATGCCCCTATTTTCTTAATGCATACTTCAACAGATATCAGGAAGAATTTTCCATAATAAGCACTATGTGATAAACAGTAAAAAGAGCATAAATGCTAGAATAATTGATGTTAGAGTCTAGCATTATCAGTTACTAGAAAAATAATTTTGGACACCGTAATCTTGGATTTACTCCCCACCCCAACTTGTTTCCTCACCTGTAAAAGGAGGCTGTTGAAAGGACTGACTTATTAACAAGGGAGAGCAGATGAACAATGAAAACAGGATGCCTTGTAAGCTAGTTAAACCTCTTCCAATGAAAAGCCAGTGTGAAACATAATTTGGACCACCTGTTAGTGATGTTGTGGAAGAGAGTTATACATTTTATATTGAAGGCTGAACTCACTCAAAGATGGGAAATATATTCCAAGTGTCTACATGGCTAAAAAAAAAGTTATTTTATTTATGAGATTAAGTCACTAGGTAATACAACAAATCATTTTCCTATCCCACAAGTCAAGAAATTCTGTATTCAGACCTGTTCCATTTTTTAACAATCCACAGCAAAAATAAACAAAATTGTTGTCGGCTAGCCAAAATTAAAGAATATTTTTATTTTTGTAGAAACAAGGTCTTACTATTTTGACCTGGCTGATCTCAAACTCTTGGCCTCAAGTGATCCTCCCACCTCAACCTCCCAAAATGTTTGGATTATAGGCATGAGCCACCGCATGCAGCCAGAATAAATCGTATTTAAGAGACTACATTATGCACCTTAGCTTACGCATTTGTCTATAGTTGATGTGCTATTGAGTCTTCTTTACCTATGAAAAAGCAGGTCAATCAAGAGTTAGCAATTAGTTAAGGAGAATGTAGTAAGGAGCTTCTGCTACATAATCACTGAGGATGCATCCTGGCCAGTCACTGTCTCAAAGAGTTCAGGTTCTTGGAGAAGACAAAATGTGAGGCACAGGCCAAGTGCGGTGGCTCACGCCTGTAATCCCAACACTTCGGGAGGCCGAGGCAGGTGGATCACCTGAGGTCAGGAGATCCAGACCATTCTGGCCAACATGATGAAACCCCGTCTCTACTAAAAATACAAAAATTAGCTGGGCGTGGTGGCAGGCTCCTGTAATTCCAGCTACTCGGGAGGCTGAGGCAGAGAATGCTTGAACCCGGGAGGCAGAGGTTGCAGTGAGCCGAGATGGCACCACTGCACTCCAGCCTGGGCGACAGGGTGAGACTCCGTCTCAAAAAAAGAGCAGCCTGCAGAGGTTTCCGTCATAGTTTTTCCAGAGTTGTTCCAAAGGTCAGGTTACCATACTACAGACCACCATATCCACGTACCACAAATGCATTTTTGGAAAGATCTCTTTGTAATCATTTGCGAGAAACAGAAAGTAATTCAAAATGTAACATGATTAAATGGCAGTCTTCTTCCAATTTTGTCAAAATTATTTCCGTTCAGTCATAGAAACCTAAGAACATCAGCAATACTCCTTAATTCAGGGTAAATGGTCAAATACCTTTGCTCCCAAACCAGTAATCTCTCTGGGACTGCTTGTAATTTCCAAAAGCCCAAACACTTCAGCATAAGGGAAAAAACAAAAATTGAAAATAAAAACCTAGTTATTTAAAATGTTTAAATGCCCTAAGACTACAAAGGATACAATTCCTTAATATTAATGGAAGATAAGACTAGGCTTGGTGGTTCACGCCTATAATTCTAGCACTTTGGGAGACCAAGGCAGGCAGATCACTTGAACTCAGGAGTTCAAGACCAGCCTGGGCAACACGACGAAACCCCGTCTATGAAAATACAAAAATTAGCCAGAGTGGTGGCATGCACCTGCAATCCCACACTCAGGAGGCTAAGGTGGTAAGGTGGGGGGGGATTGTTTGAGCCCACGAGGTGGAGGCTGCAGTGAGCCAAGATTGTGCCACTGCACTCCAGCCTGGGCGACAGAGCGAGAACCTGTCTCAAAATAAGTAAATAAATAAAAATAATGGAAGACAGATAGTTCTGGAATGCGAAAAATCTGTATTTCAGCAATTCAGATTTCTCCATGGTTAGAATAATTCAGCTCAAGAACCAAAGTGCCTTAAGAGTGTTTAATTCACAAAGGATAACAGTCATATTCATCCTACCCTCTAAAAGTGAGAAAAGCCTCTTTAAAAGACTGCTTACGTGGAAGGAGAAAGCAGTTTGAAATTTAAGCCTATTTACTATTTTGTTGATACTCTTAGTTTTTTTTTTATCGTAATTGTTAGCAAGGCCTGTAGCTTTAAAATCCTAAAAAAAAAAAAAAAAAAAAAAAAAAAACTTGTCCAATTACCTAATCCAAGTTCACTTAACTAGTTACGAGAACTCTATTTGAGTAACAAAACAAGTCTCTACAGGAGCAGAGCGAGATGTGCACTCCTACTTAAAAGTACTGTCTGACGAAAAGTACTCTACTTCTCTGGATATAACATGTTTAACGTGTAACCCTTTCTGTGGAGCTGAAGAAAAAGGTTTACTTAAAATAAATGCTCAAAGGAACTTTTCTAACCTCACTATTCATTTCTTAGACAGGTACAGTTTGCCCAAAACCCTCCCTTGATCAAGCCCCCACTCAGAAAAGGTGCCTCCTTACACGCGACGTTACTTGGTTGCTATTACACTTGGTTTGCAAGCCACAAAGGGACTCCTTTTGAGTGCAGAGGATAAAGCATAAGAAAAAGAGAGGATCACCCTCTTCGAGTGATTGATCAAGTCAGGTTCTCACTTAGAGATCCTGTTTAAACACAAGACGCTAAAACACACCCCCTTGCTCCGTGTCACAGGACTAGATCTCTTGGGATAAATTAAGCGACGGGCTGAAAATGTAGGAGCTGTAACTACACCAGCAGCTCCGCGTTCTTATCAAAACAATAGCGAGTGGCACATGTCAGGCAGCCCACATGCGCAGGGGGATAAAGCGGCGCCTGGCTGAGTCTGGAGTTGAACTTGTCTTAACCCCCTCCCCCAACAACCTCCACCGCGCTTCCCGGCTATGCGAAAGTGAAAACGAGGGGCGCCCAAGGCCCTGCTTCTTCCCCCTTCCTCTTCCCCTTGCCCAGCCGCGACTTCTTCCTCACTGATCTCCCGGGGGCGGAGACGCTGAGTTCCCCGGAGACGAGTTAGTCACCAAGAAGAGGCGGTGACAGAGAGCGCGGCTCGCGTCGCACTCCGAGGCCTAGCAGCGCCGGACGGGAGGCCGCGGACGGAGGCTCTCGCGTCCCGCGCCCTCCACCCCTGGCCCGTAGGGACGCCCCCTCCTTCCCTTCTAGAGCGAGTCTCAACTCCGCTCCTCTCTCCCCTACCCCAGGCAGCTCCAACGTCAGACCCCACTCCCGACTGAGAAAACGAAGCCCAGCCCAGTCGTTTCCTGCCCACCGGGGCAGGAATTCCCTTCCCCGGCCCAGGGACTGCGGCCCCACGTCGCTGACCCTAGCGGGGATCCCCTCGGCCGCCGGGAGGGGATCCCGGAACTGGCCCCGGAGTGCGCGTGTGGCCGCGGCGGGGAGGGGCGAGGCGGGGAGTTTCCGCCGCCCCGCGGCCAAGAGGGCGGGAGGGCGACAGCAGCGGCTAGGAGCGGTCCCCGAGGCCGGCCAGGGACCCAGCCTCCTCCGCCACTACCAACCCGCGTTCCCCACGCGCGCCGCCGCCAGTTGGCCCCGCGCGTTCTCCAGGTGGAGGCCAGGAGGCAGAGAACCGCGGGCCCGGGGGCCACCCGTCACTTTCAAGTCGCCCCGCCAGAAGCCCAGGGCGAGGAAAAGGAGAGAGACAAAAGAGCGCTGCGGGGGGAGTCCCCACACCCCCCGCGGCCCCGCACACGGCCCGGCTCTTACTCGTAGTGGCGGAAGATCTCGTTGGTGACTTTACAGTAGAAAACTTCCTCGTCGGGCCGCAGGTCCGCGGGCGGCTTCTGTCTCACAAACGGCTTTCGGTGTAGCAGCGGCATCTCCCGTCCGCCCGCGGGCTCGCCTGGACCCTCGGCCGCCCGCGCCGGCCCCGCTTCCCTATCAAAATTGGAGGGAAAGGAAAGCCGGTAAGGTGGGGAGCCCTCGGCGGCAGCGTGGGCCGGTCCGCGCGCTGGGAGAAGCTCGGCTGCCTTTTGTGTGACTGACGCGCCGCGGCCGCTACCGGAGCCGAGTTCGTTCCTGCCGCTGCCCGGGTGTCGAGCGAGCGGAGCCGCCGCCGCCCCTGCCCCCCGAGCGCGCCCTACCTCCTCTCGTCCTGCCGCCGCCTCACAATGGGGCAGGACGCCCCGCCGCGGGGGGCAGTGCGGGAGCGGCGGCGGCCCCCTCCCCCAGCGCCGGCTCCTCGCCCGCCGCCGCCGCCAGGCTCACAACGTGCTCGGCGCGCAGCTGGCCGGCCGGCCAGCCCAACGCCGCCAGAGCGCTCGCCGCGGGCGGACCCCGGAGCTGCTCCGCTTTGTTCCCGGCTCGCCTCCACTTCCCCGCCGGCGCCGGCCGGCTCCCGAGCGACCCTCACCTGCGATCACGCCGACTGCCACTTGTCCACCTTCTCCACTACAAAGGCAACGAGGGGAGACCCCGTCCTCCCAGGGGACCGCCTCTCTCCGGCCCCGCCGCGCCCCTGGCTGCCGCTTCTCCCGCTGCCACTGCCCGACTCCGCGCGGGGAATTGCGTCCCACCGCCACTTCCCCGCCTCTCGGAGCTCCTGGGAAGTTTCTGATCTACTTTCGGCTCTGAAGGAGGAAGAGCTGTTGGGAGGAGCTTTTCACTCCTCGCTTCTACCTTTTTATTGGCTACTCGATGACTTTTACAGCCTGTCACTGATACAGGAAGAGACAGCGGAGAGCCTGGGAGAACTACATTATTAATTAATGGAGCAACCCCTCGTGAAGATTCAGAAGCATCCTCCATGTTTGAGATTATCAGCCAAAAGATCTAGGGAAAGCGCTGGGGGTTCATAAACACATGGCTAACAAAGTAAAGCCTTCAAGTCTGGCACAGACTCTTGACTACACGATGGGAAAAGGGATTCCAATTACGATTTAACTTGTATTTTAAAGATGAGAAAAGAAATGAATAAGAAAATTTGTTGCTATTTTTCTTCTTCCAAATTAGAATCTATATCTCTAAAAATACTTTGCATGTTTAGTAAACATCCATCTTGAACAGAAGATACCTTGACATCAGTTCTATTTAATACTTATGGCAATTAAGAGATTTAGAAAGCAGAGGAAAAGACCAAAAAAAAAGTATGTGTTACAAAGTGTCATCATGCTTGTAGGACCCCAGCATTCTTGAAACTAACGCACCTTTAAAAAGTAATATTTACACTGCTGTAAATATTTGCAAAGTATCAATGTTTAATTCACTTAGAATTTTAAGGATTATGGATTTACTAGCGAAAATTCCCCTAAAGCAACTTTCCCATATCAGTAACTTTTATTTAGGGAAACAAGTTTAATGTACATAATACATGTGACCTTGGAATTCAATAGAATTTTCGAAACTAGAAGTAACTCAGAACGTTCACTAGATGTGTTTTAAAGTCTTTTTTGATACTGTCCTTAACATTTGCTTATTTGCAAATTAATATGTAAGAATGAGTCTAAAAGTAAGTTTTAGGAATGGTTATTCGACAAAGATGTTATTCCTATTACCAATACTGCGAAATGATAATTACAGAAACAATGTGGGATCCGTTTTATAACTTCAAATTTAAGTTCCTTTGTACTTTGGAGCAGAAAATGTAAGAAATCGAAATCAAGAGTTAGTATTTTTTATCTTTCAGGCTGGCTTTAACTGTTCATACACCTAGCAAAATAAACATTTGTGAAAGGCGTTATTCTTTGGGTGTTTTAAATTTCATTAATACTATGAATGCACCTTACTGTACAGAAGTCACAGAAGTTTGGAAATGCTCCTGTAAGTAGTAAGTATATACTTTAGTATCGGTTAACTCTTCAAATAAGAGTTTACAGATTTAATTTTTTTTTTTTTTTTGAGACAGAGTCTCACTCTGTCCCCCAGGCTGGAGTGCGGTGGCACGATCTCGGCTCACTGCAACCTCTACCTCCTGAGTTCAAGCGATTCTCCTGCCTCAGCCTCCCAAGTAGCTGGGATTACAGGCGCACACCACCACGTCCAGCTAATTTTTGTATTTTCAGTAGAGACGGGGTTTCACCATGTTGGCCAGGGTGGTCTCAAACTCCCGATCTCAGGTGATCCGCCAGCCTTGGCCTCCCAAAGTGCTGGGATTACAGGCGTGAGCTACCGCGCCCGGCCAAGATTTGGTGTTTTAAACCTGTCTCCAACTAGTATACTGAGTGACAAGTTAGAATTCCCTGCCTAGAAAGTATTTATTGGGCCGGGCGCGGTGGCTCATGCCTGTAATCCCAACACTTTGGGAGGCCAAGGCGGCCGGATCATGAGGTTAGGAGGTTGAGACCATGCTGGCCAACATGGTGAAACCCTGTCTCCACTAAAAGTAAAAAATTAGCTGGGCATGGCGCTGGGTGCCTGTAATCCCAGCTGCTCGGGAGGCTGAGGCAGGAGGCGGAGGTTGTCCTGAGCCGAGATGGCGCCACTGCGCTCCAGCCTGGGCGACAGAGACTCCGTCTCAAAAAAAAAAAAAAAAAAAAAAAAAAAAAAAAAGTATTTATTGATCTACCAGGTGAAAAATTTAGAGCCCACAAAGGTAAACTCAAAAGGGGGATTGGGAAAATGGATAATTTTCAAGCTATATTGAAGCATCACCCTCACAACTCAAAATCCCAATTTAACAATTAAGCTAAATAAAGATGAAATTCTTTCTGAATACGTCAGTATTTATATTTATTAGATCTTACTGTTCAATAAGTCATTCAAATCATGATCAAAAGTCGTTATTTTATTATTAAATACAAATATTTAAGTTGGGTTTTTTCTTATACTAGCTTAAAATTTTATTCTATTCCATCAAAAGCTATCATGCTCAGTTTTCTCACGATCATACTCAAATTTCAATACTATCATAACTTATTTCTCTGAATTATATACATATGGTTTATTTTAATGATTTGTGGCATTTAATGAATGTTATACAGTTGTTCATTGTTATTTCAGAACAATGTAAGTTTAGAAAATTATAATTAAAATGTTCAAAAGTTTAGTTTTAATGTGTTTATAATACTCAAATGAATAGACTACCTAAACTGCCTCATGAAATAACATTTAAAGTATTCTACACATTCACAACTAAAAGCTTACCTAATTTATGATCTATTTCTGTATTTTGGTATCATGATTTCTTCCCTGCTTTGTTAATTACTACTTCTTGGCTTTTGAGAATAAAAAGCTCATTGCTGTATTCAGAAAGTAGTTAAAGGATACTGTCATAACATAGGACTTTGTGTAAAAAATTTTTTTGGAAATATTGTCAAGGAAACAAAGCTAAAGTGGCACAAAAAAAGAGAAGGCAATGATATTAAAATTATTTAATTTTTAACAATTTAAACATTTGTCAAGCTCCTTTTGTGTGCCAAGACACTGTACTAGCTCATGTAAGGGATACAATGTAAATAAATGTATCCTGGCTTCAAAAAATGTATAATCTTATAGGAAAGAGACAATGCAAATACAACCAATACAAGAATTATGTGAATCCTGATGATCACGAGTAATATAATGCAAAAAGAGAAGTAGAAAATATTAGAATAAAATGTAGAAGGAAGACCCCAGGATCAGTCCTAAATGAAGTCATCTACAGGGCATGATTTGAAGGGCAACAGAGAACTCATGCTCCAACATATCCTCGCCAGTCTCAAGCGACAACCCCATCAATCTCCATTAGTCGTCCTTCAGCATGAAGACACGTAAAATGGGAATATTCTAGTTAGGCAGAACATATATTAATCTAATACTATCAAGACATAGTTTGATTAAAATATCAATTTTGAGACACATACTGCCTTAGAAGTAAAGACAAAACAAGACTATGGGCCAGGCGAAGTGACTCACACCTGTAATGCCAGCACTTTGGGAGGCCAAGGCAGGTGGATGAGGTCAGGAGTTCAAGACCAGCCTGACCAACATGGTGAAACCCTGTCTCTACTAAAAATACAAAATTAGCTGGGCATGGTGGCACACGCCTGTAATTCCAGCTACTTGGGAGGCTGAGGCAGGAGAATCACTTGAACCCAGGAGGCAGAGGTTGCAGTGAGCCAAGATCATGCCATTGCACTCCGGTTTGAGCAACAAGAGCAAAATTCCATCAAAGAAAAAAAAAAGACTGGAATTTTAAGTTTTATTATTTATTTATTTTTGAGACAGTCTCTTACCCTGTTGCCCAGGCTGGGGTGCAGTGGCACGATCTCAGCTCATGCAACCTCTGCCTCCTGATGCAACCTCTGCCTCCTGCGTTCAAGTGATTCTCCTGCCTCAGCCTCCCGAGTAGCCGGGATTACAGGTGCCTGCCACCATACCCAGCTAATTTTTGTATTTTAGGTAGAGACGGGGTTTCCCCATGTTGGCCAGGCTGGTCTCGAACTCCTGACTTCAGGTGATCCACTCGCCTTGGCCTCCCAAAGTGCTGGGATTACAGGCATGAGCCACCGCACCTGGCCCGGAATATAAATTTTTAAAGTTTGAGGCCAGGCGTGGTGGTTCATACCTGTAATCCCAGCACTTTGGGAGGCCGAGGCGGGTGGATCACGAGGTCAGGAGTTCGAGACCATCCTGGCTAACATGGTGAAACCCCGTCTCTAATAAAAATACAAAAAATTAGCCAGGCATGGTGGCGGGCGCCTGTAGTCCCAGCTACTTGGGAGGCTGAGGCAGGAGAATGGCGTGAACCCAGGAGGCGGAGCTTGCAGTGAGCCAATATCCAGCCACTGCACCCCAGCCTGGGCGACAGAGTGAGACTCTGTCTCAAAAAAAAAAAGAAAGAAAGAAAGAAAAAAGTTTGAACTAGAACAATTTTCCTGCAGCTTCTATTAATATTGACTGATTAACTTAAGAAAGGCTTTATACTTAGGTGGTTTAGTGAGACAGTAATCACTTACACCTGAAAGAAACCTTTGGGACCTCTGTTAATTCTTCCATTTTGCACCTGAGGAAATTGAAGCTGAGGAACCAGAATCCAGGCCTCCTGAGTCTCCTTGTCCAGTCAGTGTCTTTAGACCACACTGCTCTTTCTTTGGATTCAATAATAGCTAATTTTCTTATATACCCTACTCCCACAGCATTAATGAGCTAAAATACCATTATACATCCTTCCTAAAGTGCTCATATAGGGATAAGCTATATTACTGATGATTAGAAATAATTATTTTTGTTGCAGCTGTGTCCTTAACATTAAAAAATAAAAAGTAAAGAAATAATTATTTTTGAGAATCATCCAGGAAAGCAATGGGGTAATAAAAGTCATAGGCCGGGTGAGGCTGCTCATGTCTGTAATCCCAGCACTTTGGGAGGCTGGGGCGGGCAGATCACCTGAGGTCAGGAGTTCAAGACAAGCCTGGCCAACGTGGTGAAACCCCGTCTCTACTAAAAGTACAAAAATTGGCTGGGCGTGGTGGTGTGCGCCTGTAATCCCAGCTACTCGGGAAGCTGAGGCAGGAGAATCGTATGAACCTGGAAGGTGAAGGTTGCAATGAGCTGAGATCATGCCGTTGCACTCCAGCCTGGGGACACAGTGAGACTCCGTCTCAAAAAAAAAAAAAAAAAAAATCATAAATTTCTCTAATTGGACAGCTGACATGAGACCTATCTCCATGCTTCCATTAACACATCTAACAGATAGAAAATTTCATTTCCCTTACCTCTCAGCAATATTATAAAAGTACTTACAGTATAGCTGCCCAAGCTTTTCTGAGAAAGATGCCTTACAAATATATACAAGGAACATCTTTAGTTTTGTAATTCCTTTTCTCACATATCTCTAACATTTGTCTCAAGTCTTCTATGTTCTTTATAATGTCTTTCTAATGAATTCATGGCATTTTACCCATAAAAGATTTCTATATACAGTACTGTTATTTAGAAGCAATGTGTTTTCCTTTATATCTGAAACCAGTGGCCTAGTGTTAGAATAGTGGTTCTAGAACTTGGCTGCCCATTGGAAACACCTGAAGGGTTTTTGAAAAATACTGGTGCTTGGGCCATATCCAGGCCCCAGGTCGCTGGGAAAGAGACCCAGGCATTGGGAGTTTAAAAATCTACTCAGGTAATTTAATGGACTGCCAAGGCTGAGAATTACTGTGCTCGGACTGTTGATGTTGAAGTGGTAATGTGGGCAAATTGGGAATACATCTTTTTATTCAACCCCTTCCGATTAGAGTCATGAATTATGGGATGTAGTTAAAGTTGAGAGAGTAGTCTATGGTCATCATCTTTATCACAGTAATACTTTACATTTAATGACTGTTTCCAACTTGTCAAGGATTGTGCTAAGGGCTTTAAGGGAATCATCTCATCTCATGCAATTTTCACCTCAAACTAAGAAGTACTTATCACCATTTTACAGATGAAGCCAGTGAGGCTCTGAGAGGTTAATTAAGTAGCATGCCCCAAACCATACAGTTCAGAAACAGGAAGGCCTAAATTCCAATCTTATCAACTCCAGAATCCAAGCTTCTTACTACTATTCTATATTTCCATAGGACTGACTTGCTAATCTAGCTCAGATATAAACTGAAACAGGGAACTCAGTACTATCCACTGAACAATTTAGAACTTGTAATGATTAAGAAGGTTTGTTAATCATAAAAGTACTAACGAAAACCATGTAAGATTTTTTTAAAAATTATCTCAAAAGAAAGAAAGCCTACTTATAAGAGAAAATACACAATATATAATTCTACAAAATAAAAATTTAGGCTGGGCACAGTGACTCATGCCTATAATCCCAGTATTTTGGGAGGCCGAGGCAGGTGGATCACTTGAGCACAGGAGTTCAAGAACAGCCTGGGCAACATGGTGAAATCCCATCTCTACTGAAATACAAAAATTAGCCAGGTATGGTGGCACACGCCTGTGGTCCCAGCTACTCAGGAGTCTGAGGTGGGAGGATCATTTGGGCCCAGGAGGTTGAGGCTGCAGTGAGCCAAGATCTCACCACTGCACTCCAGCCTGGGCAACAGAGTGAGACCCTGTCTCAAAAATAAAATAATAAATAAAGTTCCGCATATAAAAGTTAACACAGGCCAGGCACAGTGGCTCACACCTGTAATCCCAGCACTTTGGGAGGCCGAGGCAGGTGGATCACCTGAGGTCAGGAGTTCAAAATCAGCCTAGCCAGCATGGCAAAAACCTGTCTCTACTAAAAATACAAAAATTAGCCAGGCTTGGTGGTGGGCTCCTGTAATCCCAATTACTCAGGGAGACTGAGGCATGAGAATCGCTTAAACCTGGGAGGCAGAGGTTGTAGTGAGCCGAGATCGTGTCACTGCACTCCAGCCTGGGCAACAGAGCAAGACTCCATCTCAAAAAACAACAACAACAAAAACAACGAAAAAAAGCTACCACAAAGTTGAAAGACAATAGCAAATTGGGGAAAAAAATATTTGCAACTCGCTGACAAAGGGCTAATTTCCCTAATATATAAAGAGCTCCCATAAATAATAATAATAAATCACAATAACCCAACATAAACAGAAAAGGAAGCACAAATGGCTTTTCAAACATAAAAAACACTTTGGGAGGCTGAGGTGGAGAGATCACTTGAGGTCAGGAGTTTGAGACCAGCCTGGCCAATGTGTCGAAACCCCGTCTCTACTAAAAATACAAAAATTAGCCAGGCGTGGTGGCGTAGGCCTGTAGTACCAGCACTTGGGAGGTTGAGGGTGGAAAATCGCTTGAAACTGGGAGGTGGAGGTTGCAGTGAGCTGAGATTGCACCACTGCACTCCGGCCTGAGAGACAGAATGAGACCCTGCCTTAAAAATAAAAATAAAAGATATTCACTAACAAGACAAGTATAAATTAAAACTACACTGTGAGGCCGGGTATGGTGGCTCACACCTGTAATCCCAGCACTTTGGGAGGCCAAGGCAGGTGGATCACAAGGTCAGGAGTTTGAGACCAGCCTGGCCAGAATGGCAAAACCCTGTCTCTACTAAAAATACAAAAATGAGCTGGGCATGGTGGCACACGCCTGTAGTCCCAGCTACTCAGGAGGCTGAGGCAGGAGAATCACTTGACCCTGGGAGGTGGAGGTTGCGGTGAGCCGAGATCGCACCACTACACTCCAGCCTGGGCGACAGAGCAAGATTCCGTCTCAAAAAAAAAAAAAAAGAAAAGAAAAAGAAAGAAGTAAAATAAAAACACATACAAGGTACAGAAAAATGTGTATGTTGTTTAAAAAATATTATAATATATATTTGCCTGATACATAAAATACATCTGGAAGGATATGTAAGAAAATAACACACTGGTTGCCTCTGAGAAAGGGGTGGCTAGGAGACAAGGATGAAAGGGAAACTTTTTAGCTGGGCATGGTGGCTCACACCTGCAATCCTAGCACTTTGGGAGGCCGAGGCGGGTGGATCACGAGGTCAGGAGTTTGAGACCAGCCTGACCAACATAGTGAAACCCCCTCTCTACTAAAAATACATATTAGCCGAGATTGCACCACTGCACTCCAGTCTAGGCGACAGAGCGAGACTTTGTCTCAAAAAAAAAAAAAAAAGAAAGAAAGGGAAACCTTTCACTGTTGAAATAAAGATACAGAGGTTAGAAGGTAAAGAGGCAAGTCAGGAGAGATAGCTGATGTAATAAAATCTTTCACTTCACAATCAGAAATATAAAGTTTAGAACTGCAAATAGAAAGTAAAAAATGTCTGTGTTAAATATTTTACAGGGCCTACCATAGTGTCTTTCCCAAGATAGAAGTTCAATACATATCTGTTGGATGGATGAATGGTTACATGGATATATAAAACACAAATTTAATTTGATTATAGTGAGAGAAATAGAGTCAGATAACTGCTTTCATCTTAACCTGGAAATAGAATTGAGATTACACATTTCTGAAAAATTCTATCTAGATTACCTACGTTTATAGTTATTTACCAACTTACAAAATAAATCATACTATGTTCAACCAGAGAGATTTATTGTTGTTTTTAAAAATAAGACATATAAGGAATAATCAGACATAAAAACCGTTTTGACTCCAATAACTTACAATGTGCTTTAAAAGAAGAGTCCTCACATTGCACTGCCTGTATCCACAGACTACCTGGCCATTATGGAAGGAGAGCTAGAACTAAGACAAAATTAAGAACCCAGGTCTGAAAGTATTTTTGTTAAATTCTAACCTAAGAGTTCCTGACAAAACGTGCTAATGCTATAGGTTCCTATAAAATAAAAACATTTAGGATTTTCTCCTTTTTATTTTTGTTGCCATCATCACATCTGGAAGCCAGGAATCATAATAACCGCTCTATTTTCTCTAATTCAAATGTTTGGACTGGGTGTGGTGGTTCACGCCTATAATCCTAACATTTTGGGAGGCCAAGGTCAGAGGATTGCTTGAGGCCAGGAGTTCAAGGCCAGCTTGTGCAACAAAGCGAGACTCCATCACTAACTCAAAAAAAAGAAAAAAAAAAAGTTTGTGTTGAAACACCATCTCATTTCCTTACCACAACTGAAATTTCTTTTTTTTAGCTGAAAAAAGATCATTTCATTTCAAGCTACCAGTAAACTGTTTCTCAATCACTTCTCAGCATGTAGACGCCACATTCATGGCCCCTGGAAGCCAGTTTATCTACCAGAATAAGCATCTTGCCCGATTCAAGTACAAAAACCAAATTTCTCTATACTAAACACCTTTCTTTTTCCCATTTCTTTCCTTTTCTTTTCTTTTCTTTTCTTTTTTTTTTTTGAGACAGAGTCTCGTTCTGTTGCCCAGGCTGGAGTGCAGTGGCATGATCTCGGCTCACTGCAACCTCCGCCTCCCGGGTTCAAGTGATTCTCCTGCCTCAGCCTCCTGAGCAGCTGGGATTACAGCTGTGTGCCACCACGACTGACTAATTTTTGTATTTTTAGTAGAGACGGGGTTTCACCTTGTTGGTCAGGCTGGTCTCCAACTCCTGACCTCGTGATCCGCCCTCCTTGGCCTCCCAAAGTGCTGGGATTACAGGCATGAGGCACCACGCCCGGCCCTTCTTTTTCCCATTTCAAACTCTCCTCTTAAAATAAGGACTTCACAGTCAGTTCCAGTGTAGCAGGCAGAATAACAGCCTTCAGAGATGTCCACATCCTAATACCCATAACCTGTGAATATGTTATCTTATATGGCAAAAGAAACTTGCAGATGTGATTAAGCTTAAGAACTTTAAGGCCGGGCGCGGTGGCTCACGCCTGTAATCCCAGCACTTTGGGAGGCGAGGCGGGCAGATCATGAGGTCAGGAGATCACGACCATCCTGGGCAACATGGTGAAACCGCATCTCTACTAAAAATGCAGAGGCTGGGCACAGTGGCTCACGCCTGTAATCCCAGCACTTTGGGAGGCTGAGGCAGGTGGATCACGAGGTCAGGAATTCGAGACCATCCTGGCCAACATGGTGAAACCCCGTCTCTACTAAAAATACAAAAATTAGCTGGGCATGGTGGTGGGCGCTTGTAATCCCAGCTACTTGGGAGGCTGAGGCAGGAGAATGGCTTGAACCCGGGAGGAGGAGGTTGCAGTGAGCAGACATTAAGCCACTGCACTCTAGCCTGGGCGACAGAGCAAGACTCTGTCTCAAATAAATAAATAAATAAATAAATAAATAAAATAAAATAAAAATACAAAAATTAGCTGGGCATTGTGGCACGTGCCTGTAATCCGAGCTACTCGGGAGGCTGAAGCAGGAGAATCACTTGAACCAGGGAGTCAGAGGTTGCAGTGACCCGAGATCGTGCCACTGCACTCCAGCCTGGCAACACAGAGACTCTGTTTCAAAAAAAAAAGAAAGAAAGAAAAAAGAACTTTGAGATAGAGAGAGTAGCCTGTATTACCCAGGTGGACCCAATCTAATCACATAAATCCTTGAAAGTGGAGAACATTTCCTGACTATGTTAGAGAGAGATGCGATGGTTGAAGCAAAGTCAGAGATGTGACATTGCTCCTTCTGAATGAGAAAGAGGGCCACACACCAAGTCTCTAGAAGGTCTTCCAGCTTCTAGAGACCGCTTCAAGCTGCAAAAATTCATCTAGTCATTTCATAATACACTATTACCTTAGCCATATACAACCATAACATATATACAAAATTTGCATGTATATAGTAAGGAGATGATTATAAATGGACAAAGACTTTTTTCCTGATTGGATTCCATCTCCTCAGACCTCTTTAGGGAACTTGCTCCATCAGTCAGTTTTCCTCTAATATCAACCTCTCCTTCACCCCTAAGATCTCTGCCCTTAGACTGTAAACTAGTGTAGGTCCATTTCATTGTGGGGGAAAAAATTAAGTACAATCCTCAGCACTGTTTCTGTTCTCAACCAACATTTTAAAAAGGAAATCTGTATTCTTTATTTCTCCTTATTTTCCAGCTCACTATAGCCTTTCTACTCCCTACACTCCCCTGAACCTGCTTTTGATTCTGACCCCCTAACTGACAAATCCAAAGAACTCTTCTCCAGGAAAGAGTCCACCTTACTCACTCAATCTGTTCCTTGGCATCCTCTCCTACCTTGGTCTCTGTGATACAAATTTTCCTGATTCTCCTCCTACCTCCCTGAGCTGTTCTGAGTCTCCTTGGCATCACCTCTTCTCCCTCAATCTATTCTCTAAAGCCTGGCATTTCCCAGCTTCCTCCCATCCATTCTCTTCTCTTGTCATTCCTCAGGGAGGCCTTCCCTAAATCAACATCTCTTCCTCACAACATTAACTGCCTCCATTCTCATTGGAATATGAGCTCCTCTGGGGTCTTGTTCTTTCCTTGAGGACTCCGCCACAGTTCCTAGAAGATTTTTGAGATGATGAGTGACTCCCCAAACTGACATTTTATAAAGATTAATCTGGGAGGAAGTGGTGTGTAAGACTGACTGGACTGGGTAGTGCCTGGAGATAGGAAAACTTGTTGAGAAGGCATAGAAGTACCAGCACGAAATGAAATGAAGCCTGAATTATTGCCTTGGCAATGGAAGGGAGGAAAAGTCAGGAGAAATATTTCAGAGGAAATATTTGGTGACATAATTTGATGATACACTAAGGAAGAGAGAGGAAAAATCAGAGATGATTCAAAGGTTTCAGGCTTGGGAGACCAGAAAGATAATAACATCATGAACAGAAATGGGGTAACAAGGTATTAAATTAGGTTTGGGAGGGAGATGAAGCATTCAGTTTTAGATATGCAGCATCAAATCAGACCTGCCCTGCAGGCAGTTGGAAGACAAGGCTCTGAAATCAAAAGAGAAATCAGGCCGGGCGCGGTGGTTTACGCCTGTAGCACTTTAGGAGGCCAAAGTGGACAGATCGCCTGAGGTTAGGAGTTCGAGACCAGCCTGGCCAACATGGCAAAACCCCTCCTCTACTAAAAATACAAAAATTAACTAGGTTTGATGGCACTCGCCTGTAATCCCAGCTACTTGGGAGGCTGAGGCAGGAGAATCACTTGAAGCAGGGAGGCGGAGGTTGCAGTGAGCCAAGATTGTGCCACTGCACTCCAGATTGGGTGACACAGCAAGACTCTGACTCAAACAACAACAAAAAGCAAAACAAAAAACAAACAAACAAACAAAAACCCGAAGAGAAATCAAAATTCAGTCTATAGATTAGGGGATTGTTTCCAGAAATGTGATAACAAAATCTACTAGAGTTGATGGATATATAGTAGGTAATTATTTGCTGAACAAATACATTTCTTTATACTCTTCCCTCTATTCAGGCACCCAGATCAAGTACCAAGACACTCAAGACCCCTCCTCAGCACTCCAGAATACCTCACTGAGCCACTGAGTAACCACCGGCATTTGTTTTCTCCGTTCCTTCTTCTGGGTTGATCATTGCTAGATATTACAAAAATGTGCTCTCTAATCTTAGGGGCCTTTGCTGACACTCTAAACTCCTTTTACATCATCTCATATTGACATTCTGTTGAACGCCCTACAACAGGTTTTCCGAACTTCTTTTCATTTTTCTCAAGGCTCCAACCTGGTCTTCCTTTCTTAGCCTTACCTTTGCTCTCGGCAATCACCTTGCCTCCTAATTTATTTACAAAATCTGAGCCATTCTGAGAACTTCTGTTCTCAACCCAATTTTTTTTTCACCACATCCCTTTTTCCTTCCCTATTGTTTTCTCCTCTCCAAGACTATATCTATGCCTTTGATCGTATTTGCTTCAACCCCTAGGAGCTTATTCCTTGACTTCCTTAATATCTCCTCCCTTTGGTTGCTCTTTTCTTTTGGCCTACTAACATATTCAAGCTTCCCTGATCTTCCAAAAATGTTTTTCCTTCACTTTGATTCCCTCAGATGTATCATCTTATCACTCTCCTTTTTTTATCACTAAGTAATATAAACTTTACAACTATGTGTAGTCTTGATTAGTAGTTCGAATTCTTGCTGTAACAGTGTTGTGTTGGTATGTTCTATATATTGTGTCAGTCTCCAAAATGTAAGTTTCTATAGGGCAGCAATCATCTGATAAATTAATCTTAAAATGTTTTCAGCTGTGACTAATCAAATATTTGCACCATTTGGGATGCTGACTTTCAAGAAGCAACAAATAATCTAATACTACTTTGCCTTTATTTGTTTCCAAGGAATTGGAATTGTAAATGCACTTAGAGTTATCATATGATGATTATCTCTTAGTCATAAGTCAGGATTTTTCGCTCTATAACAATAGCAATTATACTCATTTAAGGCTGTAAGCAAGAATCTTGGGCAATTCCTATGGCAACAAACTTGAGTGTTAGCATGAGAAGTGGGCAGTCAAGTTTTAATTTAGAAAGTGCCAATAAGAACACCGCATTTTTCCATTATTAATTTAAATACAATCAATCTTACTTCACAAAATATATTTATGTTTTAGAACTTTCTAGCAGGAAACTTAGCAATGCCTTCCCCTCTGTACTCTACACGTATACCTACATTTCTCCTTCAATCATAAAAAGCTACCTCATTCCACCATAGCTACCGTCTTAATTGTTAATGAAGTTAGAGAAAACACCAGAGGCCAGGCGCGGTGGTTCACGCCTGTAATCCCAGCACTTTGGGAGGCCCAGGCAGGCGGATCACGAGGTCAGGAGATTGAGACCATCCTGGATATCACGGTGAAACCCTGTCTCTACTAAAAATACAAAAAAATAGCCGGGCGTGGTGGCAGGCACCTGTAGTCCCAGCTACTTGGGAGGCTGAGGCAGGAGAATGGCGTGAACGCGGGAGGCGGAATCTTGCAGTGAGCCGAGATCGCGCCACTGCACTCCAGTCTCTGGGCGACAGAGTGAGACTCTGTCTCAGAAAAAAAAAAAAAAAAAAAAGAGAAAACACCAGAATGTGATGCCAGGTATTTGGATCTAAGAGCTAAAGAATGAAATATTTAAAACTTAAATGCATCTGTATAACCAACTTTTAGAAAAATTTATTTTTGGCTGGGCATGGTGGCTTACGACAATAATCCCAGCCCTCTGGGAGGCCGAGGTGGGAGGATCATTTGAGGTCAGGAGTTTGAGACCAGCCTGGCCAACACAGCGAAACCCTGTCTCTACTAAAAATATAAAAATTAGCCAGGCTTGGTGGCAGGCGCCTGTAGCCCCAGCTACTCCGGAGGCTGAGGCATGAGAATCACTTCAACCCGGGAGGCAGAGGTTGCAATGAGCCAAGATCATGCTACTGTATTCCAGCCTGGGTGACAGAGCGAGACTCCGTCTAAAAAAAATACGAAAAACAAAAACAAAAACAAAAAAACTTATTTTTGTGATTTTACAAAAACCAAGTATGTGTTATATCACAACAAATGAAGGTTCCACAACTAGAAAATTGCTGAAAATATTTAAAGATATTGTGATTTATAATAAAGCAAATGTATTCCTTACGTATAAAAATTAAATGAAAAAAATCACAGAGCAACTTTGCCAATCACTAAATTTAAGAACAAGAAAGTCATAGTGGCTCAGATTAAAAATCTGACAGGCCACAGTGGCTTGTTCCTGTAATCCCAGAACCTTGGAAGGCCAAGGTAGGTGGATTGCTTGAGCCTGGGAGTTGAAGCCCAGCCTAGGCAACATGGCGGAACCCCATCTCTACTGAAAATACAAAGATTAACTGGGCATGATGGCGAGTACCTGTAGGCCCAGCTACTTGGGAAGCTGAGGTGGAAGGATCACCTGAGTCTAGAAGGTCGAGGCTGCAGTGAGCCATGATCAAACCACTGCAGTCCAGTCTGGATGACAGACTGAGACCCTCTCTCAAAAAAAAAAAAAAAAGTCTATGTCCCAAACATTCTGTATTATTATTCTCATTTTACAGATAGTAAGAGTAAGGCTTATACTCTTACTATAAAATACTAAGAGTAAGGCTTAGCAAGGGAAAGAAAATGTCCAAGATTCCACAGTATGCAAGTGGAAGAACTGGGATTCAAATTCAGATTGATTATATGTCAAAGTCTGTTCGTTCAACAAATATCTCAGTGTCTTCTAGCTGCCAGACATGGTTCTAGGGACCTTGGGATATATCAGGGAATAAAACAGAAGATCCCTGCACTCTGGGTGATTACATTCATTAGATGACAATTTCTCTATATTCTCTCCTGCTACCTACATCCACAAATAAAGAAAAATTTACTTTCCCAAAATTAACTCTTCTACTTATGTTCTTGATTTTTATCAGCTCAAGTCTCCTTTAAAACATAGAATACTCAATTATTGCCTCTTCCACTGTTCCACTGACCCCATCTAACTATATTAAATATACACAAGTATTATCTTTTTTTTTTTTTTTTTGAGATTGAGTCTCGCTCTGTCACCCAGGCTGGAGTGCAGTGGCGTGATCTTGGCTTACTGCAACCTCCGCCTTCCGGGTTCAAGCAATTTTTCTGCCTCAGCCTCCCGAGTAGCTGGGATTACAGGCACCCACCACCACACCTGGCTAATTTTTATATTTTTAGTAGAGACGGGGTTTCGCCAAGTTGGCCAAGCTGGTCTCAAACTCCTGACCTCAGGTAATCTGCCCACCTTGGCCTCCCAAAATGCTGGGATTACAGGCGTGAGCCACTGCGCCCAGCCAAAAAAAATGAACTTTTAGAGTCCCTGGTAGGCCAGAACTTTATTGGACCCAACTAGGATGCTCTTTCCAAGGAACAATGGGACTTAAAAAAAAAAATGTAAAGGTATATTAATTCATTGTCCTATCTAGAATGAAAGTTTTCCATTCTAAATTACCACAGCCATCACAAACTCCCTGCATTTCTATCACAGACAGACCATCCCCACGGTTTTGCCCTTTAGTGAATCAGTAAACTAATTTTTTTACTGGTTTGGTTCTCTTGTCTGGCAAGTAAACTCAGTTTGCCTTCAAAGGGGGAGGGGAAATAGATAAATCAATGAAACAAAACAGGAAGTCCAGAAATAGCCCAGTATAGGTAAGAATTCAGGATACAAAAAGGTAGCATTTTGAAACAGGGAAAATGATTCAGTCAAAATGACATTGAATCAACTGGCCAACTGTTTGGGGGGAAAATCAATTATATCTCTACCTATGTCTTACTTCAAAATAAGTTTCACATGGAATAAATATTACATGAAAAAGAAAACATAAGCATGTAAGGCAGAGTTTCATTCTGATGTAAAAGTCTGCTATTAAGAGAAAATGTGTGTAAGTATATAACCATGGTGTGGAGAATGATGCATAAGCGTGATACAATGGGTGGAAATAAAATTGAATAGACTAATAGATTTAACTGTATTAAAATTAAAACTTTTCTAACTTCAAAATAAAATTAAAGAGCAAATAGAAAACTTACCAAAATATTTGTAATAATTATGACAGGTAAAGGTTTAGGATCCTTAATATATAAAGAGCCCTTACAGGCAAAAAGAAATAACTTAATAGAAAAATGAACAAAGGGTATGAAACCCATTAGTAAAAAAAGAAACAATTCAAATATTTAGCAAAAAGATATAAAATAAATATCTAAACAATTGACTACTATGCTGCCATTAAAAATGATGTTGTACAAACATATTTTATTCCCATGGAAAGTTTTTTTATTTTTGTTTTGAGATAGACAGCTCTGTTGCCCAGACTGGAATGCAGTGGCACAATCTCAGCTCACTGCAACCTCCAACTCCAAGGTTCAAGTGATTTTCCTTCCTCAGTCTCCCAAGTAGCTGGGATTACAGACATGTGCCACCATACATGGCAAATTTTTGTATTTTTAGTAGAGACAGGCTTTCGCTATGTTGGCCAGGCTGGTCTCAAATTCTTGGCCTCAAGTGATCTGCCCATCTTGGCCTCCCAAAGTGCTGGGATTACAGGGATGAACCACCACACACAGCCTTTCTAAAGATATAACAAATTTTTATTACTAGCCAGCAGTTATTTCTGGATTGATTGGTGTTTTTCATTTTCATTTTTAGTTTTTCTGATTTGATTTTTCTGTAATGAGCATACAGTATTATTATTTATTTATTTATTTATTTTTGAGATGGAGTCTCACTCTGTCGCCCAGGCTGGAGGGCAGTGGCGTGATCTACTCTCACTGCAACCTCCGCCTCTTGGGTTCAAGCAATTCTCTGCCTCAGCTTCCTGAATAGCTGGGATTGCAGGCGCCCGCCACTACGCCTGACTAATTTTTTTTTTCTTTTTGTATTTTTAGTAGAAACGGGGTTTCACCATCTTGGCCAGGTTGGTATTGAACTCCTGACTTCATGATTCACCCGCCTTGGCCTCCCAAAGTGCTGAGATTACAGGCGTGAGCCACTGTACCCGGCCTATTATCTTTTTATTTTTATTTTTATTTTTTTTTGAGATGGAGCCTCACCCTGTTGCCCAGGCTGGAGTGCAGTGGCGTGATCTTGGCTCACTGCAACCTCCGCTTCCCAGGTTCAAAGAATTCTCTTGCCTCAGCCTCCCAAGTAGCTGAGATTACAGGCACCTGCCACCACACCCAGCTGTTTTTTGTATTTTTAGTAGAGACGGGGTTTCACCATGTTAGCCAGGCTAGTCTGGAACTCCTGACCTCGTGATCTGCCTGCCTCGGCCTCCCAAAGTGCTGGGATTACAGGTGTGAGCCACTGCGCCCAGCTGAGCACATACTATTTTTAAGATAAGAATAAAACAAGGGGCCAGTCGTGGTGGCTCACACCTGTAATCCCAGCACTTTGGGAGGCCGAGGCAGGCGGATCACAAGGTCAGGAGTTCAAGACCAGCCTGACCAGCGTGGAGAAACCCTGTCTCTACTAAAAATATAAAAATTAGCCAGGCGTGGTGGCGTGCACCTGTAATCCCAGCTACTCAAGAGGCTGAGGCAGAAGAATCTCTTGAACACAGGAGGCAGAGGTTGCAGTGAGCTGAGATCGCGCCACTGCACTCCAGCCTGGGTGACAGAGTAAGACTCCCTCTCAAAAAAAAAAAAAAAAAAAAAGAATAAAACAAGGTTACCTGGATTTTGTTTGTCTTAAACTGCCGCAACTCATTAATTTTTATTACAACCAGAAGACATCATTAAAACTATGGTAGGTCTGGGGAAAAATGTTTACCATACATGATGAAATAGTTTGTCTTTGGCAATATAATTACATATGAAGAATATAAACTGCAAGTAAGGATGCCCCCAAAGCAACACCATCCAAGTCTTTAAAGTATGGCTGCCTACACCTGCCTCCACACTTTTCCTTTCAGTATCACCAACACAACTGAACATTACTTTTCTTTTCCTTTATAAGTCTTTCTTTCTGTTAATGATAATGGTTATTTCATTCAGAAAAAATACAAGAAAATGACTAAAAAATTATTGCTCTAGTAAATTAATTTGATCACTGGAAGTCTAGTGGCTAGCAAAGGTCAAATGACCCTAAGCATTGATAAGAAACTTCTCTAGTCTGCAAATTGTTTGCTTTCAATGAGAAAGTTAATTGTTATCTTTCAGAGAAAGTGCCTAAGCACAGTGTCTGGTCCATAACGGGCACTTAGTATCCCCCGTTCCCCTCAAGCAGTGTGTTCATGTTTATCCAGACCTTGAAGCGCCGAGCACAGTGTCTCACGCCAGTAATCCCAGCACTTTGGGAGGCCAAGGCGGGAGGATCACTTGAGCCCAGGAGTTGGAGACCAGCCTGGGCAACATAGTGAGACCCCATCTCTATATTTTTATTTAAAAATAAATAAATAAATAAATAAAACCCTTCAGGAGTCTTTCTTTCTTTTTTTTTTTTTTTAGACAGAGTCTCATTCTGTCACCCAGGCTGGAATGCAGTGGCCTGACCTTGGCTCACTGACATCTCTGCCTCCCAGGTTCAAGTGATTCTCGTGCCTCAGCCTCCCAAGTAGCTGGGATTACAGGCGTGCGCCACCATGCCCGTCTAATTTTTTGTATTTTTAGTAAAGACGGGGTTTTGCCATGTTGGCCAGGCTGGTCTTGAACTGCTGGGCTCAAGTGATCCTCCCACCTCGACCTCCCAAAGTGCTGGGATTACAGGCGTGAGCCACTGCGCCCAGCCAGGAGTCTTTCTAAACAGCAGCAAAATCAAACTGGCCAATATTTTTATTTACTCTTCCACCAAGGAAGACTGATCATGCCTTATCTCTACAACTTGAGAGACCTCTCTTGTACTTTCAGGCTTTGATATTCTTTTTTTTTTTTAAGAGACCAGGGTCTTACTATATTGCTCAGGCCAGTCTCGAACTCCTGGCCTCAATCGATCCTCCCACCTTGGCCTCCCAAAGTGCTGGAAAAACAGGTGTGAGCCACCAGATCTGGCTGATTTTCTTTTTAAAAAGCCTGGGTGGGTGCCCAGTATAACAGCATCTAGGACCAAATCTCGATAAATTATCTTGAATTTAGCCACTCAAAGTTATGGCACCACCCACACATTTAACCTCCATTCCTATGCTGTTGTTTTGGTTATTTCCCAGAGCTCATGTAGGCCACCTGATCTCAATCTAACTCAGTAAAACATTCGCTCTGATGTCCGTACGCTACAGTAATAGCAATACTCGAGGCTTCTTTTCAGTTCTCTAGGAAGGTCCCTGGTTCTTATGTTAGCTCTATCCTACTCACTTTAAAAGTAAAATTCTTGGCCGGGCACGGTGGCTTGCGCCTGTAATCCCAGCACTTTGGGAGGCGGAGGCGGGCGGATCACGAGGTCTGGCTAACACGGCGAAACCCCGTCTCTACTAAAAATACAAAAAATTAGCTGGGTGTGCTGGCGGGCGCCTGTAGTACCAGCTACGCGGGAGGTTGAGGCAAGAGAATCGCTGGAACCCGGAGGACAGAGATTGCAGTGAGCTGAGATCACGCCACTGCACTCCAGCCTGGGCGATAGAGCAAGACTCCATCTCAAATAAATAAATAAATAAATAAATAAATAAATAAATAAATAAATAAATATTAAAGTAAAATTCTCTGGGGCTTGCTATCTATGGAGTATTTATTCCCCGTCTTTCTTAGGATTTAGCTTCCCAACAAGAAGTGCATTCTCTTTGTTCTAACAAAGTAGCAAGTTTTGTTTTAGCCTGAATATTTCTTCTCTGGCTTTTGAATGACTTCAGGCTCATAAATTATCTATTAGGTAACACATTGCTTTTTATGCATATCCTCAAGGACAGTCTTCAAATTTTTATTTAGCTGTAATTTTGTTCTTCATAATAACGTGGTTACAGCTAGGTAGGGCCCCTGTATCTTCTGGAGTCCACTCCCTACTCCATGCTTCCACACTGGGAAGTATATTCAAATGTTAAAATTCCCAAGAGGCAATCAACAAAGAAGGTTCTCTGCAACTGGTACTTATCTATTTCTTGTGTTATCTGGGTACAGTTTAAAGTTTGAAGCAAAGTAGCAGATCTAATAAAAAGCCAGTTTTGAACTGTAGCGTTTTGTGTTTTTGTTTGTCGCTTAATTTGACAAACACATTCCAAAGCTGTTGCAACGGTCTGTGCAGAACAGTGTGTTGTTCCTTAGTGTGTCTCAACATTCAGATAAAACATATATTGCATTATGCAGAGCTCAAATTTACAAAATAAGTAGGACCCAGAAAAACTTAAGGGGTTCCAAAGTTCTACATAATTTTAATTTGCCAGCATAAAAACTACTACCGTCCCTAAATTATGTTTTGTACGAGTCAAATATCATTATGTGGACCATTGTTTTACAAATACAGATTAAGAATACATAGTAGACTAAACGCATATTTTATTCTACAGGAAACACTTCTTGCATCCCTAGTCCCACAAACAGCCATAAAACTCATGGCTTCTTTCTCGGTACTCTTATTCCCCTACGTATCTCCTATAACACACTGTACCAATTTGTTTATGTGTCAATAATCCTGGGATGGGGATGGGCAAGGACAGTGTCTTCCTCCTCTAAAACAATACCTGACACATTGTAGTTTTTTATTTACATATTCTGAATAAATGAGTGAATGCTTTGAAGAATCTGGGTTCCGTTTTTTGCATCTTTTTTTTTTGAGACTAGCTCTGTCATCCAGGCTGGAGTGCAGTAGCGCAATCCCGACTCACTGCAACCTCCACCTCCCGGGTTCAAGCAATTCTCGTGCCTCACCCTCCTGAGTAGCTGGGATTACAGATACGCACCACCACGCCAGGCTAACTTTTGTATTTTTAGTAGAGACGGTGTTTCACCAGTTTAGCCAGGCTGGTCTCGAACTCCTGGCCTCATGTGATCCGCCCATTTAGGCCTCTCAAAGTGCTGGGATTACAGGCGTGAGCCACCGCACCCGGCCGGTGCTGACAATTCTTATGTATGATTGTGTAGCCACCTTTAGCACAGTGTCTGATACACAGTGTCTGACACGCTGTGGGCCTCCAAAAATATTTTTTGAGGAATGAATTTTTAATATTCTAGGTTCATCTTAAACTCATTCAAGCATAACATTTCACACATTTCTAAAATAGGTCTATTTTTAAATTTAGAAGTTTTTTTCATGGTGATTTTAAACTCCTTTGTATTTCTCTGGCGCTTGTGCCATTATTACTGCTATTTAAATTTTTTATTTCATTTGAAATACGTAAAAGAGTATTAACTAAGAACTGATTCATATATCAAGTGGGTAGATCACAGAGTTTAATTACCTATAAGCTGTCTGTCGGGGTGTTATGAACTTTAATACCCATAAAGGCTTCTACCACGCTGGGATGAAAGACGTTCACGAGTAATGACTAATTATCAACAGTGCAGCCACAATTTGCAAATTTAAAAATACATCTGAAAAACCATTTCAGGCCAGGCGTGGTGGCTCATGCCTGTAATCCCAGCACTTCAGGAGGCAGAGGCAGGCGGATCACTTGAGGTCAGGAGTTCGAGATCAGCCTAGCCAACATGGTGAAACTCTGTCTCTACCAAAAATATAAAAATTAGCTGGGCATGGTGGCGCTCGCCTGTAATCCCAGCTACTCAGGAGGCTGAGGCAGGAGAATCGCTTGAACCAGGAGGTGGAGGTTGCAGTGAGCTGAGATTGCACCACTGCACTCCAGCCTGGGCGACAGAGTGAGACTTTGTCTCAAAATAATAATAATAATAAAATAAAATAGGCTGGTGCAGTGGCTCACGCTTATAATCCCAGCACTTTGGGAGGCCGAGGCGGGTGGATTACTTGAGGACAGGAGTTCAAGACCAGCTTGGCCAACATGGTGAAACCCCGTCTCTACTAAAAATACAAAAAATTAGCTAGGCGTGGTGGCGGGTGCCTGTAATCCCAGCTACTCAGGAGGCTGAGGCAGGAGAATCACTTGAACCTGGGAGACAGAGGTTACAGTGAGCCAAGACCGTGCCACTGCACTCCAGTCTGGGCAAAAGAGCAAGCCTCTGTCTCAAAATAAACAAATAAATATAAATAAAATAAAATAAAAAATAAAAACACAAAATTAGCTGGGCGTGGTGGCATATGCCCGTAATCCCAGCTACTTGAGAGGCGGAGGCAGGAGAATCACTTGAACCCAGGAGGCAGAGGTTGCAGTGAGCCCAGATTACACCACTGCACTCCAGCCTGGGCGACAGGTGAAACCCTGTCTCAAAAAACAAACAAAGAAACAAAAAATAACAACAACAAAAACTCTTTAACACAGCCTTCAAAACGGTGGCCACTCTGTCTGTCATCTACTCATTAGCTTCCTATACATTCTTTTGGCTTTCTTCTCTAGCCACACTCCCCACTCCTTCTCCTGCCCCTTGGCATTTTTTTTTTTTTTTTTTTTTTTTTTTTAGACAGGGTCTTGCTCTGTGGCCCAGGCTGGAGTGCAGTGGTAAGATCTTGGCTCACCGCAACCTCCGCCTCCCAGGTTCAAGCGATTCTCCTGCCTCAGCCTCCCAAGTAGCTGGGACTACAGGCATGTGCCACCATTTCTTGCTAGGTTTTTTGTTGTTGTTGTTTTGTTTTGTTTTGGTAGAGATGGGGATCTCACTATGTTGTCTAGGCTGGTCTTGAGTTTTTGGCCTGAAGCAATCCTTCTGCCTCGGCCTCCCTAAGCTCTGGGATTTCAGGAATGAGCCATCAAGCCGGGCCAACGACAACATTTTTACTAGAATATATCAATGTCACTTTTAACTGCTACTATAAAATCACAACAAAAATAGCAGATAGCAATTTTTGATTGCTTAGTATGTGCTAGGCACTGTGTCAAGGGTAATGCATACAATATCTCATTTAATCCTCTGAGTATCCTTTGAAGTAGCTATTACTAAGCACATTTTACTCAGAAAAAAATGAAGGCTTAGAGATGTCATGCCAAAGTCATACAACTATTAAGTGATAGAGACAGTATAGCCAATATTCAATCCAGGTCTATCTGACTCACTCCTGAATTCCCTCTCCATCCTTTCTTAACCACAAGTACTGTATGCTAGGACTCACTAGGACATCATAAGTTATTTGAGATAATAGGTTGTTAGAGAAGGAGCACGGGCTTTGATGTTAGACCAGCTTTGAATCTGAGACCCAGCTAGGTCGGGTGTGGTGGCTCATGCCTGTAATCCCAGCACTTTGGGAGACCGAGGCAGGTGGATCACAAGGTCAGGAGTTCGAGACGAGCCTGGTTAACATGGTGAAACCCTGTCTCTACTAAAAATACAAAAAAATTAGCCAGGTGTGGTGGCAGGTGCCTGTAGTCCCAGCTACTCAGGAGGCTGAGGCAGGAGAATGGCATCAACCCGGGTGGTGGAGCTTTCAGTGAGCCAAGATCGTGCCACTGCACTCCAGCCTGGGTGACAGAGCGAGATTCCGTCTCAAAAAAAAAAAAAAAAAAAAAAAGAATTTGAGACCCAGCTCTGGCACAGAACAGCCATTGATCTTAGACAAGTTATATAAACCTCTCCCTCCACTCCTACCCCAAAACCTTAGGTTCTATATCTATAAAATGGAAATAATATCAGCCATCTTGCAAGATTGCCATAAAAATTAGGTATAATATATATAGAGTGCTTGACACATTATATGCATTCAATAAATTGCTTTTTATCATTGTCCTATACAATGACTTTATTTTTTCAGTAATTCATATATTTGGCAATATTGTGTTTTAGATTTTCCAGGATAGTCCATTCTGTGATTCAGAAACACTGTCACCAAAGATACATTTGTCAGAGTATGTATCCTTTTTTTTGTTGTTTAGAAACTAAAATTGTCTGGCCTGGCTGGTGGCTCACGCCTGTAATCCCAGCACTTTGGGAGGCCGAGGCAGGCGGATCATGAGGTCAAGAGATTGAGACCATTCTGGCTAACATGGTGAAACCCTGTCTCTACTAAAATTACAAAAACAAAATTAGCCGGGTGTGGTGGTGGGCGCCTGTAGTCCCAGCTACTTGGGAGGCTGAGACGGGAGAACGGCTTGAACCCAGGAGGCGGAGCTTGCAGTGAACCAAGGTCTCGCCACTGCACTCCAGCCTGGGCAACAGAGTGAGACTCTGTCTCAAAAAAAAAAAAAAAACCACACAAAAGAAACTAAGATTATCATACATTTCTCTTAGGCAAGTGGTAAGCCTATAAAACATACCTAATAAATCCATAATTAATAACTGAATGATTATCATACAGCATAAACAAATGCATGAAGAATCCACAGGTAATCAAAAAGATCTACTTTTTTTTTTGAGACGGAGTTGCACTCTTGTTACCCAGGCTGGAGTGCAATGGCGTGATCTCGGCTCACTGCAACCTCTGCCTCCCGGGTTCAAGCGATTCTCCTGCCTCAGCCTCCCAAGTAGCTGGGATTACAAGCATGTGCCACCATGCCCACCTAATTTTGTATTTTCAGTAGAGACGGGGTTTCACCACGTTGGTCAGGCTGGTCTTGAACTCCCGACCTCAGGTGATCCACCCGCCTCGGCGTCCCAAAGCGCTGGGATTACAGATGTGAGCCACTGTGCCTGGCCGGAAAGATCTACTTTATATGGATCAGAAAGAATAAGTAGAGTTCACCAAATTACATGAGTTTTATCTCTGATTTATTAAGTTCTGATACATAGGTACAATTTAATGTTCACAATTTAACCAAATAATGAAAAGGGAGCATCACTGTCTGCACCCTTAAATGTATAGTTACTAGTCAAAAAGTTTTGGTCACCATTTATATAAGCAAAATAAGTGAGCAAATACATTTACTAAATGATGCACAGTATATGTTCATATACACGTGGAAATTTTTAAAATTTATTTAATTGAAAAGAATAGGCCAGGTACGGTGGCTCACGCCTGTACTCTTAGCACTCTGGGAGGCCATGACAGAGTGACAGACTTGTGGCCAGGAGTTTGAGACCAGCCTGACCAACAGGGTCAGGCCGTCTCTACTAAAAATACAAAAAAAAATCAGCCAGGTTTGGTGGTGCATGCCCGTAATCCCAGCTACTTGGGTGGCTGAGGCCCAGAATCGCTTGAACCCAGGAGGTGGAAGTTGCAGTGAGCCGAGATTGTGCCACTGCACTCCAGCCTGGGTGACAGAGTGAGACCCTGTCTCAAAAAAAAAAAAAAAAAAAAGTACATATAGGATATCTAGCAGCAACAAAGCTAGTAAAAAAGATGAGTTTCTGAATCTGTGATTTTGGAACTAGTCTCCTAATGCTGACTTCAACTCTGAATTTAAAAAAAATTTCCACATGGAAGACAGAAATCTAAACAATGGCTCCCTAAATAAAGAACTACTTTATGTTTAAGCAATCTAATCTTTTTCACTGTACAGTACTTGTCAATTAATTTGATTAGGAACACTCTTGGAGATCAGCTAATTAAGTTGTTGCCCAGGTGGGAATTTCAAAGCTGCAGGGAGAGGCCTTTCCCAAACCTCTTCTAATTCCCCTGGCAGCTGTCAGTCATTAATATGTAAATATGAATCAGGTTACCAACTTGTATAAGACTTGTAGGAAACAAGACATGGGAGGTCTGTGGGGAGAGAGAAAGAAAGGGCAATTGCCAGGCTAGTAAGTCTGCAGTGGACAGCAATAGGCAGTTTGGGGAGTTGCAAAAGAACATAAGTGCCTGGAAGAATAGAAGATGCAGGCCAGGCGCGGTGGCTCACGCCTGTAATCCCAGCACTTTGGGAGGTCGAGGCGGGCAGATCACCTGAGGTTGGGAGTTTGAGACCAGCCTGACCAACATGAAGAAACCCCATCTCTACGAAAAATACAAAATTAGCTGGGCGTAGTGGCGCATGCCTGTAATTCCAGCTACAGGGGAGGCTGAGGCAGAAGAATTGCTTGAACCCAGGAGGCAGAGGTTGTAGTGAGCTGAGATCATGCCATTGCACTCCAGCCTGGGCAACAAGAGCAAAACTCCATCTCAAAAAAAAAAAAAAAAAAAAAAAAAAAAAAAAAAAAGAATGGAGGATGCAGAAAGCCACCCCAGAAAAGAGATAAAGGATTCGGGGGTGGGGGGGGGTGAGAGGGGCGAACTTCACCTATTTCACAATTTTTCAAAAACATCTGGAGTAATTTATACAGTTGATTCTAAACAGAATTCAAATGAGATAGTCAGGTCTTAAATGCCAAATACAGTTACAGGCAACAAAAGCTCTAAATAGCTAAGAAATACTTAAATAATTACCTTTTTTGGGTGGTGTTGGAAAGTTATAGGCTGAATTTCATATTGCTATGAATATGTTCTATTTACTGGCTTCCTCACAGCAGTTAAAAACCAGTAACCCACAGGATTACACAGTAGTATAATCTCAACATTCTATTAAACTTGGTCATGGCCAGGCATGGCGGCTCACGCCTATAATCCCAGCACTTTGGGAGGCCGAGGTGGGCGGATCACCTGAGGTCAGGGGCTTGAGACCAGCCTGGCCAACATGGCGAAACCCTGTCTCTACTAAAAGTACAAAAATTAGCTGGATGTGGTGGCGTGTGCCTGTAATCCCAGCTACTCGGCAGGCTGAGGCAGGAAAATCGCTTGAACCCAGGAGGCACAGGTTGCGGTGAGCCGAGATTGCACCACTGCACTAGTAGTTGAGCCAATACTGAAGTGGTAAGGTCAGTTATTGTAATTTATAGTGAAGTGAAGGTGTATGTGTGTTTTGTAAATTTTTCTTCTTTTGAATAGAGATGTGGGGGCGGGGGTCTCACTGTGTTACCCAAGCTGGTCTTGAACTCTTGGGCTCAAGTGATCCTCATACCTCAGTCTCCCAACATCCTAGGATTATAGGCCTGAGTCATCATACCTGGCCAGGTGTGGCATGCTTTTAATCCCTTTTATTAGAGAAGATGAAATTACTGAATGTTTAAATAAATTATTAGAGAAAAACATATTCTCCTTTCTAAGAATTCATTATATGCAATTCTAATAAATGGGCTACAATCATGTATTGAGTTCAAAATCTGAAAATGTAATATAAGATAGAGTACTTGGGGGAGGGTACATGTCCATACTTCTGTCTGTTTCAGATATATACAGGGATGCCAGGGACAGAAAAAAAAAAAGCATATATTCGAATAGGTCCTGGGGAGACAAATGAGTCCATAAACCTCTCCTCAAAGAGCAAAGGCCCCTCACTGTTTTTGGTTTTTATTTTCATATATCACTGACAGAAAAACATAGGGCTTTAGAAAACCACCACCACAGACACACGATAGGGATGAAATTGCTTAACTGAGGGCTTCCAAGCATCATTTCAAGTGTGAATCTGGAATATCCTGTTGGCAATTTGAAGAAAGGTAGAAAGGTGAGCTTTACCTAATAGTGTAGCAAAGAACGACAACAGATATAAAGAGCAGTTTTTATGGTGGTCACTCATTTATCCCCTGAAGTCAGGTAGGCTTGGATTTAAATTCTATCTCTGGCACTTCATGGCTACAACTAAACGGTGTGTGTATATCATTTAACGTCTGTGCCTATTTCCTGATCTGTAAACGGAGTTAATAATAGTGCCTACCTCAGAGGGTTGTTTTGAGGATCAAATAAAATAGGTGCCTGGCATGGGCAAATTTTATTTATTTATTTTATTTATTTTATTGAGATGGAGTCTCGCTGTGTTGCCCAGGCTAGAGTGCAGTGGTGCAGTCTCGGGTCACTGCAACCTCCACCTTCCAGATTCAAGGAATTCTCTGCTTCAGCCTCCCTAGTAGCCGAGATTACAGGCGCCCACCACCATGCCCAGCTAATTTTTGTATTTTTAGTAGAGACGGAGTTTCACCATGTTGGTCAGGCTGGTCTTGAACTCCTGACCTCGTGATCTACCTACCTCGGCCTCCCAAAGTGCTGGGATTACAGGCATGAGCCACCGCACCCAGCACGCAAATTTTTTTATTAATTATTTTCCCTATCACTGTTCTTAAGTTGGAAAAGGCAGATTTTAAGGCAGATCATAAAATATGTTACAGGTGACTTGTTGATAGATATTTCTTTCTTTCTTTTTCTTGAGACAGAGTCTCACTCTGTTGTCCAGGCTGGAGTGCAGTGGCGTGATCTCGGCTTACTGCAACCTCCGCCTCCCAGGTTCAAGCGATTCTCCTGCCTCAGCCTCCTGAGTAGCTGGGATTATAGGTGCGTGCCACTGTGCCTGGCTAATTTTTGTATTTTTAGTAGAGGCGGGGTTTCACCATGTTGACCAGGCTGGTCTCAAACTCCCGACCTCGTGATCCACCTGCCTCGGCCTCCCCAAGTGCTGGGATTACAGGCATGAGCCACTGCCCCCGGCCATTGGTAGAAATTTCTAAAGTCAAATCTGCCTTTAGTATTGACTGTATGCCCTAAAACTGAAATTTACATCATAATACCAAAATGTTTAAATGGCTATCTTGTTATATCTCTACCTTAATATAAATTGTCTTTATCTTCCACCTGCAGATTCTTTAGAAATTTGTAGGCCTGGCGCAGTGGCTTACACCTGTAATCCTAACATTTTGGGAGGCTGAGGCGGGAGGATCACTTGAGCCCAGGAGTTCCACACCAGCCTGGGCAACATGGTGAGACCTTGTCTCTACAAAAAAAACTTTTTTTTTTTTTTTTTTTTGAGACGGAGTTTTGCATTTGTTGCGCAGGCTGGGGTGCAATGGTGCGATCTCGGCTCATTGCAACCTCTGCCTCCTGGGGTCAAGCAATTCTTCTGCCTCAGCCTCCCGAGTAGCTGGGATTACAGGCATGCGCCACCACACCCAGCTAATTTTGTATTTTTCGTAGAGATGGGGTTTCTTCATGTTGGTCAGGCTGGTCTCAAACTCCTGACCTCAGGTGATCTGCCCACCTTGGCCTCCCAAAGTGCTGGGATTACAGGTGTGAGCCACTGCACCCGGCCCTACAAAAAAACTTTTGAATATTTAGCCCGGTGTGGTGTCGCACACCTGTAGTCCCAGCTACTTGGGAGGTTGAGGTGGGAGGACTGCTTGAACCTGGGAGGTTGAGGAAGCAGTGAGCCAAGATCACCCCACTGCACTCCAGCCTGGGTGACAGAGTGAAACCCTGTCTCAAAAAAAAAAAAAAAAAAAAAGAAGTTTGTAGGAAGAAATACTTCAGAAAAGAAATAGACTTACTTTTCGAGGAAAATAATATAATTTTAGCAGCCGAAAAAAAGAGTTTAGCAACCTGATTACTATATTGTTTCCATCTTCTAAGCAACAAGCAATATTTCAAGCTGGAAAAAAAATCAAAATACTTCCGGGAAACTGCCCTCTAGGTCCCCCAGATAAAACTCTTAACATTGTTCACATCCCTGGGACAGATGTTAAAATTTGCATATCTGTAATACCAGTAGAGTATTAGAAATTCCAAACTTTAAGACCAGCTATTTTCACACACAGAACTTCATCTGCCCCATCCAATCCATTTCATTCATACTACATTCAGTTTGTATTGGTTGGAGATATATTTCTTCCTCCATATGGAGAAGTAAACTCCTTGGTTACTCAACTTTGTCCAAGTTCAGCACATCATGATGCTTCATTTATGTATGTTAAACAGACAACTAAGGCCGCAATATATGAAAAGATAATAAATTTATCTCTCACTTCTACAGAGTTCAAGACTCCAGCACTCTGGAGAATTATACCTAGATACTGAAAGAATGTGCCCAGTGATTTCACAACCAGCATTAGTAGTTTCTGAGAAATTATGTTAAGAACGAAGTAGGAGCGATCAGGTTTCTAGAAAACTGTAGACTGACAACCTTCCAAATTTTCAATAGTCTAATAGTCTCTTCCACATGGTGGAAAGTTTGAATCTGAGAGCCTGCAACATTCTATTGTAGTTTATTAAGCATTGGCTTATGTGTATTTATAGAAGCACACAGTGATCATTAGAAGCCAACATGGATGGCCAGGCGCGATGGCTCACACCTGTAATCCCAGCACTTTGGGAGGCCGAGGTGGGCAGATCACCTGAGGTCGGGAGTTCAAGACCAGCCTGACCAACATGGAGAAACCCCACCTCTACTAAAAATACAAAATTTGCTGGGCATGGTGGTACATGCCTGTAATGCCGGCTACTCGGGAGGCTGAGGCAGAAGAATTGCTTGAACCCGGGAGGCAGAGGTTGTGGTGAACCGAGATCGTGCCATTGCACTCCAGCCTGGGCAACAAGAGCGAAACTTTGTCTCAAAAAAAAAAAAAAAAAAAAAGAATCAACACGGACTCTTAGAATGTCATTCAAAATGAATCCCTTTTCCTTTCTTTTGCTAAGGTTCTGGGTTGGCATACCTGAGGAATTCTATGGCGTACTGTCACTAATCACCACGGTGGAAGATGAGCTGACCACTGTGATAAGAACTATTTATAAGTATGGAATTTTAACAGTACAAAAGAAGAAAAATCTCCCAAACTGAAGCTGCAACTAAGTAGGAGGGGGATCAAATTTTTGTTGTTATTTTTGACACAGCGTCTCGCTCTGTTGCTCAGGCTGGAGTTCAGTGGCTCAATATCAGCTCACTGAAACCTGCGCCTCCTGAGTTCAAATGATTCTGGTGCCTCAGGCTCCCAAGTAGCTGGGACTATAGGTCATGTGCCACCACACCTGGCTAATTTTTGTTTTAGTAGAGACAGGATTTCACCATGTTGCACAGGCTGGTCTCAAAACCCTGGTCTCAAGCGATCCACCCGCCTCGGCCTCCCAAAGTGCTGGGATTACAGGCAGGAGCCACCACACCCAGCCAGGAGGGATCAAATTGTATCAGATTCATGAACAAGAATATTTAAGTATACATAAGGCAGAAGAATAGGAACACAGGCAGATACAAATCTGTTGTTCCTTATTAAAGTGAGTAGGCAAGCCAGAACGTTTTATTGGATGTCAGAACGAAGATGAAGAAGAGGTGGTTATCAGGAAACAAGAGTTGTCCATCAAGGAAACCAAACAAATGGCAAGGCAAAAAGCCAAGCCAGGCAGGTACAATAGCTAAAAAGTTCTGGGGATGCAAGTTGCATGAATAATGCTTTCAGATCACCGTTGTTTTCTGATGATACCTCATCAGATGATAAAGGTCCTCTTCCTGGTTTTAAAGTAACTAGGACCCTGACAATGGCAAGCTGTAATTCTAGAGCACTGTTTCTCAACCATGGCTGCTATTAGGGGTTTGTAAATATACCAATGCCAAGCGTTTCAACCCCAGGCCAATTAAATCAATCTCTGGGGTTGCAACTCAGTCCTCAGTATTTTTTAAAAACTCCCCCAGGTGAAGTTAATGTAAGCGAAGGTTATGGATTATTATCCTAGAGATAAGTCTCTATAGTACACTGCTTTCAAACTTTGATGTGCGTACAAATTGCTTCGGGAGTCTTGTCAAAATGCAGGTTTTAAATTAGTAGGTTTGAGTTACTAATCTCAGGCCTGAGATTCAGGATTTATAATAACCAAGAAATATTGGGAGGCTGGACCACAGACCACACTTACAGTAACAAGCGTCTAGGAGAATGCTGCAAGACCCTCTTTCTGGCCGTTTTTTGTTCAGAATCTTAGATTATATTAAGATCTACAGGTATGGTTATTAAATATGATTATGCAAAAAGAGAAATGGCAAAGTTTTATTTTAGAATTCAGATTCAAAAATATTTTCACAAGTTGAAATAAACGGGACAAAATATACTCCTTTTTTTTCCTTTTTAAAAATCAATGTGATTCCAATTGTATTCCTTTTTTAAAAAAAACAAAACTGAGTCAGGCTCTCACTGTCACCAAGGCTAGAGTGCAGTGGTACAGTCATAGCTCACTGTAACCTCAAACTCCTTGGCTCAAGCAATCTTCCTGTCTTGGCCTCCTTAGGTACTGATATTACAGGTGTGAACCACTATGCCTGGATTAAAATTTATTCCTTAATAGGGACAATTTAATATCTATCATATAAGCTAATTCTGAAAAAAAGAAGATACTAAGATATGTTATAAAGCAATAATAATTTCACAGTGTAGTAATCAGTTATAAGTAGATTAATTATATTGAATAGTTAGTAGAGAAATACATATTAAAACAAGAGAATTTGGAATATGATAAAAGTGTTTAAATGAGGGAGGATTATTCAATTAATTGAATTGAAGCCAAAGAAAAAATATTCATCTGGGGGGAAAAGTGAGATCCATATTTCATACCTTACCCTAGGATAAATTCCACATGGATCAAGGATTTAAATGCAAAACGAAACCATGAAAGTGTTAGACAAAACCATGGAAGGGATTTTTTTTCTGTTATGTCTGAATGTGGAAACCGTTTCTAAACATGATACAAAGGCAAAGAGTCACAAAAGACTGAAAAATTAACCAGAAAAAAAAATTTGCATGGCAAAAACCTTTATGTGAGAAGTTTAAAGATAAAGAACAGGCCGGGCACGGTGGCTCACGCCTGTAATCCCAGCACTTTGGGAGGCCGAGACGGGAGGATCACGAGGTCAGGAGATCGAGACCATCCTGGATAACACAGTGAAACCCCGTCTCTACTAAAAATACAAAAAAATTAGCCGGGCACGGTGGCGGGCGCCTGTAGTCCCAGCTACTCGGGAGGCTGAGGCAGGACAATGGCGTGAACCTGGGCGGCAGAGCTTGCGGTAAGCCGAGATCACGCCACAGCACTCCAGCCTGGGCGACAGAGCGAGACTCAGTCTCAAAAAAAAAAAATAAAAATAAAGAACAAACTGGGGAGAAAACATGTCTTACTCATAGCCTAAGACAAAGAATTAATTTTTCTAATATTAAAGAGTTCCTACAAAATAGTAATTTAAAAAATATCTACAAGCTCCTTCCCCACAAAAGATCAACAAAGTATATGACCAAACTGTTTACAGAAAATGACATAAAACACCTCTCATAATAATTCCTATGGCAGTGTTTATTCTACTAAGGCATACTGATACCATGCACTTATTTATGGGTATGCTTTGTATAATCTCTAAAGCAGGCATAATTCTTATGATGCCAGGTAATTGAGCAGAGTCACAGAAAAAGAGTATTTTAAAAGGAGGGAGTCCCAGCCTGGCCAACATGGTGAAACCCCGTCTCTATCAAAAATATAAAAATTAGCTGGGCATGGTGGTGCACACCTGTAATCCCACCTCCTCAGACGCAGAGGCAGGAGAATTGCTTGATGTCCACATGCAAAATAATAAAGTTGGACCCCTACCTCATACCATATGTAAAAATTTACTCAAAACAGATCAAAGACCTAAATGTAAGAGTTAAAATTGCAAGAGTATTAGAATAAAAAATAGGTATAAATCTTCATGCCTAAGTGAGGTGGCTCATGCCTATAATCCTAGCACTTCTGAGATGGGCAGATCACTTGAGCACAGGTGTTTGAGACCAACCTCAGGAACATGGCAAAACCTCGTCTCTATTAAAAATACAAAAAAATTAGCTGGTGTGGTGGCATGTACCTGTAGTCCCAGCTACTCCGGAGGTTGAGGTGGGAGGATCACCTAAGCCCGGGAAGTGGAGGCTGCCATGAGCTGAGATTGTACCACTGCACTCCAGCCTGGGAGACAGGAGTGAGAAATCAACTCAAAAACAAACAAAACAACAACAACAACAAAACCTTTGTAACTTTGGATTAGGCAATAGTTTCTAAAATATAATACCTAAAGCCTAAGCAACCATAGAAAAAATAGATAAATTGGACTTCAGAAAAATTAAAAGCTTTTAGGCCGGGCGTGATGGCTCATGCCTGTAATCCCAGCACTTTGGGAGGCAGAGGCAAGTGGATTAGCTGAGGTCAGGAGTGTGAGACCAGCCTGGCCAGTATGGTGAAACCCCACCTCTACTAAAAAAAAAACACACAAAAATTAGCTGGGTGTGGTGGTGTGTGCCTGTAGTCCCAGCTACTTGGGAGGCGGAGACAGGAGAATTGCTTGAACCCAGGAGGTGGAGGTTGCAGTGGACCAAGATTGTGCCACGGCACTCCAGCCTGGATGACAGAGTAAGACTCCATCTCAAAAAATAGAAATACAGGCTGGGCGTGGTGGCTCACGCCTGTAATCCCAGCACTTTGGGAGGCTGAGGCGGGCAGATCACGAGGTCAGGAGATCGAGACCATCCTGGCTAACAGGGTGAAACCCGTCTCTACTAAAAATACAAAAAAATTAGCCGGGCGTGGTGGCGGGCACCTCTAGTCCCAGCTACTCAGGAGGCTGAGGCAGGAGAATGACATGAACCCAGGAGGTGGAGCTTGCAGTGATCTGAGATCATGCCACTGCACTCCAGCCTGGGCAACAGAGCGAGACTCCATCTCAAAATAAATAAATAAATAAATAAAAATACAGGCTGGGCATGGTGGCTCACGCCTGTAATCCCAGCACTTTGGGAGGCCGAGGCAGGCAGATTACTTGAGGTCAGGAGTTCGAGACCAGCCTGACCAACGTGGAGAAACCCTGTCTCTACTAAAAATACAAAATCAGCCGGGCGTGGTGGCGCATGCCTGTAATCCTAGCTACTCAGGAGGCCGAGGCAAGAGAATCGCTTGAACCCAGGAGGCGGAGGTTGCAGTGGGCCGAGATCATGCCATTGCCCTCCAGCCCGGGTGACAGAGTGAGACTCCATCTCAAAAAATAAAAATACAAAAATTAGCTGGGTGTGGTGGTGCATGCCTGTAATCCCAGGTACTCGGGAGGTGGAAGCCGGAGAACCACTGGAACTGGGGAGGCAGAGGTTGCAGTGAGCAAAGACTGTGCCACTGCACTCCAGCCTGGGCAACAAGAGCGAAACTCCGTCTCAAAAAAAAAAGAAAAAAAAAAAAAACCCAAGTGAAAAGTAGGCAAAGGACTTGAATAGACATTTCTCTTAAGATGATATAAAAATGGCCAATAAGCACATAAAAAGATATTCAACATTATTAATCATTAGAAAAATCCAACTTCAAAACCACAATTGAATACTACTTCATACCTGCTAGATCAGCTGGGAAGAAAAACTCAGATAATAACAAGTGTTGGTAAAATTTGAGCTCTTGTATATTAACAGTGGAAGTGTAAAATGGTGCAGGTGCTTTGGAAAACAGTTTGGCACTTTCTCAAAATTTAACCCTTTTCCAGTTTAGATTTTAAAAAAACACAGCTCGATGCCAGCACTCATTTAATTTTACTTAAACATGTTCTTTGAGGCTGAAGAAAATCTGACTGATTTTCATGTGAAAATAAAATATAAAAACTGTTCTTGGAGTTATTTCTAAACAGAACTAACATCAGAATCATCTGAACCATCAAAATCGTCTATTTCAGAAAAATCAGATCCATCAAATGAATCTTCAGCCAACAACTGTTTGAGAACGATGCTACGTTTTTTAGGATTTGACATTTTCAGTGATCAAGAATTACTATATTTTATAAACGGAAATACAACTAAAAACAGAATACTATAAATAGAATAATGTTTTTGTTTCCAAAGTCAATACACTAGAGCAATGCAAAAATAATAATAAATATTAATATGCTTACTCATGTATTAATAATACAACAATATTTTGTGGCAAGGTTATCTTGGAGTAAATGCTGCAGCTGCAAGCACCGCTGGCAGGTATTCTTGGGGCAAAGGCGAAAAGGGTTAAACAGAGTTATCATATGACTTAGTAATTCCACAATTCCACCTAAGAGTATTGAGAACATATGTCCACACAAAAACTTGTACCTGAATGTTCATAGCAACTTTATTCGTTATAGTCAAAAAGTGGAAACAACCCAAATGTCCGTCAACTAATGAATGGATAAACAAAATAGCATAACCACTCTGAGGTATATCCGCACAACAGAATATTATTGCACAATAAAAAGGAATGAAGTGCTGATACGTACTACAACATGGATGATCCCTGAAAACATTATACTAAAAAAGAAATCCCATTCCAGTAGGTATAGCTAAAAATAAATAAATACACAAAACATTATCTTTAATGAAAGAAGCCAGTCACAAAAGGTCACATGGTGTATGATTCAGTTTATATTAAATGTCCAGAATAGGAAACTCTGTAGAGGTGGAAAATAGATTAGCAGTTGTCAAGGGCTGTAGGGAGGGGGAATTGGTAGTGACTGCTAATGGATACAGGAGTGATGAGAATGTTCTGAAATTAAATGGTAATAGTTGAATGAATTTATGAATATACTAAAAAACACTGCATTGTACACTTTAAAAGATACATTATACACTTTAAAAGGTGAGTCTTATAGGATTTTATGAGATTTTATGAAATTTGAATCATATCTCAATTTTTTTAAAAGTGTTTATTGGATTTCTGAGACTCGGGTGTTGTTAGTGGCCTTGTAGAGGAATGTTAGTGGTCAAAGGCAGCTGGCAGTGGACCAAAGAATGAGTGGGAAGTGAAGAATAGTGAGTGTATACAATTCTTTCAAGAAGGTTAGGTGAGAAGAACAGGGCAGTAGCTGAGAGAGATAAAAGGTCAAAGAATATTCTGGTTTTGTTTGTGGTGCTGATGGCAGAAACTTAAGTAGGTTAAAATGCTAATGGAGGCTGGGCGTGGTGGCTCACTCCTATAATCCTAGCACTTTGGGAGGCCAAGGTGGTCAGATTGCTTGAGCTCAGTAGTTCGAGATTAGCCTGGGCAACATGGTGAGACCCCTTCTCTACAAAATATACAAAAATTAGCTGGGCATGCTGGTGCCTGTTGTCCCAGCTACTTGAGGGGCTGAGGTGGGAGGATGGCTTGAGCTTGGGAGGTCGAGGATGCAGTGAGCTGTAATCACGCCACTGCCCTCCAGTGGACCTGTCTCAAAAAAAAAAAAAAAAGATAGTAAGATCCAACTAAGAGGAAGTATACTGAGGAGGAGGATGATAAATAATAGAATAGAATAATTAAGATAGCACAAGGTGGTTAAAATGGAATTAAGAACACAGGTAACTGTTAAATAGGAAGAAAGGTGCTGACTGGGGGAAGTGAAATTATATATATTGAATTAGTTTAATTTGAGGAAGTTAAGACGCGTTTTATCTGAGGACATCTGTTTTCAGGTCAGTTGATGAAAAGTAAGGAAGTGTAGGCGAAGGGTCAGAAATGTGGGAAGATTAGAAAATGTTGGATGTGCTGGCACGGTGTCTCATGCCTGTAATCCCAGCACTTTGGGAGGCTGAGGCAGGTGGATCACTTGAGCCCAGGAGTTTGAGATTTTATTAAAAAAAAAAATCTATCTATCTATCTATAGAAATTGACACTTCTGGTCTTAAAGCTTGAAACTTACATTTATTTTATCTGAGTTACTTCCTCAGGAAAGGACCCCCAGACCTCTGGGAAAGTATCAAATAATTGAAACTCACTGGATCATCTCATCCAATGAGAGGCCAGGCCCCTCATTCATCATGATTGCTTCCTTAACCTTCCCCGAGTTCTTGTTTTCCTACACATTGTTATATTTCTTACCTGCTATATAAACTCCTAATTTTAGTCGGCAGGGGAGATGGATTTGAGACTGAACTCCCATCTCCTCCACTGCAGCACCTGGTCAAAGCCTTTTGCCTTGGCAATACCCGTTGTCTCAGTCATTGGCTTTCTGTGTAGCGAGCAGCAGGACCTAGACTGAACCCACAAAACCACAAATTTATACTATTGGGACAATCGTAACTCAATCTCTAGTCCCTGATGATTTGGGACGTTTAGGGCATCTAATCTGATCAGTTGTTATCTAATGTATCATCGGGTCGTACTTAAATTCCAGAAAATGCCCAGGAAAGGATAATTCTAGTGAAACAAAAAACCCAGTTTGGTCCTGTTACTTCTTATGCTTATGCTAATTGGAATCCCCTGGTAGCACATACTATCTGAAACGTAGCAGAACTCCCAGGAGAATCTATAATACATTTACGGTTTTGGTGATAAGGAACCCCCACTCGCTTGAGTCCCTTAGATCTGTGCTAATCCTACTCTACGCCTCTGGAACAACCCAGGATTCCAAGGATAGACTGGTAGTTTCTCATTAGTTTAATGAAACTGTGGTTTGGACTACATGTGTCAGCTGCTTTCCACTAATATCTGAGTAGGGCTAAACCACAGGAAAATATTGTTTCAAGTATGAAAATAATATTTAAATAGGACAATAATAATTATTCTAGCCGGGCATGGTGGTGCGCACCTATTAGTTCCAGCTACTCAGGAGACTAAGGTGGGAGGATCACTCAGCTCAGGAGTTCAAGACTGCAGAGAGCTATGATCATTGTGTCACTGCCTTCCAGCCTGGGTGACACAGCAAAACCTGGTCTCTACTGTAAAAAAAAAAAAAAAAAAAAAAAAAGAATAATTAGTTTAATAGGATAGAATAAAAATAATTAAAATTTCTTGATTATTGTCCATCTTGTGTTAGGCTTACATTTATACATATCATATGTATATATATGTACATATGATATGTATGAATGTAAGATATGTATAAATGTAAGATATGCAGCACACCAACATGGCACATGTAGACATATGTAACAAACCTGCACGTTGTGCACATGTACCCTAAAACTTAAAGTATCATAATAATAATAAATAATAAAAAAGATATATAGATATATATCTCTCAATTTGTCTTTCTCCCTCTCCTTACCATGGTTTTTGTTTAAAACTATCTTTATTAACAACAATAATTATAAGTGCAGCATGCAATGCTTTCCAAAGCACTTACTCATCCATTATTTTACTGTATGTAAACTTCCATCTCAGCTAGGTTGGAGATGCATTATTACCTCCAGGTTGCTGATGAAGAAACAATGATTAAGCAGTGATTAGTGACTTGTCCAAGATCATATAATTTGTTGGCAGGTGAGTTGTTTTTAGACTTCAGATATCTTTTGTTACTTCTTAACGTATACTTTCTATTCACTATAAGGTTAGTGAGAATTTTGATAAAGGTTTCCTTTTTTTTATTAAAAAAATTTTTTTAGCCTGTATCCTGCTGAAGATAAAGGTTTCCTAGTAAAACTATTCTAAACTTGTTTTTTTTGTTTGCTAGAAAAATGGTTTCAATAGACTTCTTTTTTTTATGGAATCTCGCTCTGTCCCCCACGCGGAATGCAGTGGTGCAAGCTTGGCTCACTGCAACCTCCGCCTCCTGGGTTCAAGCGATTCTCCTGCCTCAGTCTCCTGAGTAGCTGGGATTACAAGCGTGTGCCACCACGCCTGGCTAATTTTTGTATTTTTAGTAGAGACTGGGTTTCACTATGTTGGTCAGGCTGGTCTTGAACTCCTGACCTCGTGATCTACCTGCTTTGGCTTCCCAAAGTGCTGAGATTACAGGCGTGAGCCACTGTGCCCAGCCTAGACTTCTTTTTTAAAAAATGTATGTTGAACATTCAACAAAGGAAAAATGACCATGATTCGTAAAATACTGATATTTAATACTTCTCAACTTTCCAAAACAATGATAGTGATGATATATTTTAATCACATAAGGGGCACTAATTTTAATATGTCTTTACCACTTTATTTTATTTATTTATTTTTGAGACAGGGTCTCATACTCTGTTGCCCAGGCTGGAGTGCAGTGTTTCGATCAGGTCTCACTGCAGCCTTGACCTCCCTGGGCTCAGGTGATTCTCCCACCTCAGCCTACCGAGTAGCTGGAACCACAGGCTCACACCACCACACTTGGCTAATTTTAAAATTTTTTGTAGAGACAGGGTTTTGTCATGTTTGCGCACCCTGATCTCAAACTTCTGAGCTCAAGCAGTCCTCCCTCCTCGGCCTCAAAAAGTGCTGGGATTACAGGTGTGAGCCATTGTGCCCAGCTATTTTATTTTTCAGATAGGGTCTCACTCTGTCACCCAGACTGGAGTGCAGTGTCGCCATCACAGCTCACTGCAGCCTCGACCTCCCCAGGCTCAGGTGATCCTCCCACTTCAGTCTTCCAAGTAGCTGTGCCACCACATCTGGCTAATTTTTTGTATTTTTTGTAGAGATGGGGTTTCGCCACGTGGTGGTCTCAAACTCCTGGCCTCATGTGATCTGCCTGCCTTGGCTTACCAAAATGTTGGGATTACAGGCGTGACCACTGTGTCCTGCCACCACCTTATTTAGTGCTAACTAAACAACTTTCCCTTTGCCAAATGTGATAATAATTTCTTAATTTCTTGTAGAATTACTGATCAGAGTCAACATTCTTTTTTTTTTTTTTTGAGACAGAGTTTCGCTCTTGTTGCCCAGGAGGGAGTGCAATGGCACGATCTCTGCTCACTGCGATTTCTGCCTCCCGGGTTCAAGCAATTCTCCTGCTTCAGCCTCCCAAGTAGCCGGGATTACAGGTGCCCGCCACCATGCCCAGCTAATTTTTGTATATTTAGTAGAGATGGGGTTTCGCCATGTTGGCCAGGCTGGTCTCAAACTCCTGACCTCAGGTGATCCACCTGCCTTGGCTTCTCAAAGTGCTGGGATTACAGGCGTGAGCCACCACACCTGGCCAGGGTCAACGTTCTGAAATAACCTTCAGCATTAGCCAGTACTCACCAAGATCAAATAATCAGCTTTGCTAATTTGTTGTTGTTGTTGTTGTTTGAGATGGAGTCTCGCTCTGTTGCCCAGGCTGGAGTGCAATGGTGAGATCTCGGCTCACTGCAACCTCTGCCTCCCAGGTTCAAGTGATTCTTCTGCCTCAGCCTCCCGAGTAGCTGGGATTACAGGCACTCACCATCATGCCCGGCTAATTTTTGTATTTTTGCATAGATGGGGTTTTACCATGTTGGCCAGGCTGGTCTGGAACTCTTGACTTCAGGTGATCCGCCCACCTCAGCGACCCAAAGTGCTGGGATTACAGGCTTGAACCACCGTGCCCGGCCCACTTTGCTAATTCTTAAAACATTTAAAGCTAAACTTCAAGGAGTGTGAAAAGGTGGTTAGGGTATCCATAAACAACCTGGTGCTGGGGCACATCTGACCCTGGGGAGGAATTAAGTGGCTCAGTGGTCCTGTGGCTGAGAGGCATGGCCAGCAGGGACTCTGACAGTCACCTTTTTTCTTCCTTCAATGAATCTCCAGGTTAGAAGGTGAAGGAAGTTATTTGCAGCATCAATGGCAATTTCTTTTCCACCTCCACCTGTAACAGCCAAGGCGCAGGACACTGAAGAAAAGAAGCAAAGAGGCCTGATGCTTCTGGCGAATCAGTTGGAAGAAGAATCACATCTAAAGTAGACAAGATATCCACTGTCTACACACACACACAAACACACAACTCTTTAACTAAATTCACATTTGTATCTGGTGTTTCCATGCGATAGTGGCTTAACTGATAATTTTGTAACACAAACATGGAGGTCATAGAGGCTTTCAATAATAGAGCTAAGGACTCATATTTCCTATGCTTTTAAAATTATCGTTTTAGGCTGGGCACAGTGGCTCACGCCTGTAATCCCAGCACTTTGGGAGGCTGAGGTGAGTGGATTGCTTGAGCTCAGGAGTTTGAGACCAGCCTAGCCAACATGGTGAAACCCATTCCTCTAAAAAAAATGCAAAAAATTAGCCAGGCAGGGTGGTGCGGGCCTGTAGTTCCAGCTACTTGGGTCAGGGAGGTGGGGTGGGGTAAAAAGGCAAGAGGATCACTTGAACCCAGGAGGCTGAGGCTGTAGTGAGTTGAGATCATGCCAGTGTACTCCAGCCTGGGTGACAAAATGAGACCCTACTTAAAAAAAAAAAATACACTTTGGGAGGCCAAGGCGGGTGGATCACTTGAGGTCAGGAGTTTGAGACCAGCCTGGCCAACATGGTGAAACCCCATCTCTACTAAAAATACAAAAATTAGCCAGGTGTGGTGGCAGTGCCTGTAATCCCAGATACTTGGGAGGCTGAGGCAGGAGAATTGCTTGAACCGGGAGGCAGAGGTTGCAGTGACCCAAGATTGTGCCACTGCACTCCAGCCTGGGTGACAGAATGAGACTCTGTCTCAAAAATAATAATAATAATAATGCAAATAATAATATAATAAAATAAAAATATATATATATTTTAAATTCTCGGCATGGTGGCTTGCACCTGTAATCCCAGCACTTTGAGAGGCCAAGACAGGAAGATCACCTGAGCCCAGGAGTTCAAGACCAGCCTGGGCAACATAGTGTGACCTCCTCTCTACAAAAAATTTTCAAAAATAGCTGGGCTTGGTGGCATGCACCTATGGTCCCAGCTACTTGGGAGGCTCAAGTGGGAGGATCACTGGAGCCCAGGAGGCTGTAGTGAGCCATGATTGTGCCACTGCACTCCAGCCTTGGGTGACAAAGAGACCCTGTTTCACTAAAAAAATTTTTTTTCAATTTATTTTTTAAAATTGTGGTAAAATATACATAACATTAAAATTTACCATATGCAGTGGGGGTAGATATCATAAGTCATAAGCAGTACTGAGAAGTAGTTTGACAGTAATTGAAAATGAAATAGCAGAAAAGAACCTCAAAAGATTATAATGCCTAAAAATCTGCTGCCAGATTGGTTAAAATTATATAAGACATATGCGCCTCTTGAAGATTCCTAAAAATGAAATTTACAAGCCTATCTAGTGAAGTTCTTCTATGCATTTAACTGTGTCCTATGTACTAGGTGAGGCAGCATGATGTAATGGGAAAAGTCCAGGACTTGGAATCAGGGCAAGTGTAATTGTCTTTGTTGCCCAGGCTGCAGTGAGTGCAATGGCGTGGTCTCAGCTCACAGCAAACTCTGCCTCCCGGGTTCAAGTGATTCTCCTGCCTCAGCCTCCTGAGTAGCTGGGATTACAGGCGCATGCCACCATGCCCAGCTAATTTTTGTGTTTTTAGTAGAGACAGGGTTTTGCCATGTTGGCCAGGCTGGTCTCAAACTCCTGACCTCAGGTGATCTGCCCGCCTGGGCTTCCCAAAGTGCTGGGATTACACGAGTGAGCCACTGTGCCCAGCTGTAATTTCCTCATTTTAAAAATAGGAACAATAAGAGCACCAACATTAGAATACTGTTACAAGGAACAAATGAGGTGGAGTGTAAGAAAAGTATATTGTGAAGTGCTATGTAAATGTTATTTTTCAACAAAGTTATGGTTTGTATACATCTTCCACAGAAGGTTATCCCTCTTATGGCCATTGACCATTTCTTTCTATAATTTTTTTCCATTTTTTATCTTTGTAATCAACATTGACACTTTTTCTTCTCTCTACATACATTGTATTGGTCATTGGACAGTACTTTCTTTTTTTTTTTTTTGATACAGAGTCTCACTGTGTCACCTAGGCTGGCGTGCAGTGACACAGTCTCCGCTCACTGCAGCCTCAGCCTCCCAGGTAGCTGGGATTACAGGGGCCCACCACCACATCCGGCTAATTTTTGTATTTTTAGTAGAGATAGGGTTTCACCATGTTGGCCAGTCTGATCTTGAACCCCTGACTTCAGGTGATCTGCCTGTCTCAGCCTCCCAAAGTATTAGGATTACAGGTGTGAGCCACCATGCCCTGCCTAGACACCACTTTAAAATGGCTGTTTCATGTTACAGATTTAACTTGGGGGAGGCCAGCCTAATGAAAATTTATTATTTTCTGTGAGTCACTGTATTTATAACTCAGGTACTGGCTACCGAGTGAATGGTGGTGCCTGGTTTATGGTTTTGTGGGCTTACTGTCTAGTCTATTATCTGATTTGGGTAAGAGAATATAGATTTGCCCGTAACTTAGCCAAATTTTAAAAAGCATATCTATTTATTAGAAAGAAAAAGTATTAAAGTATGACCTATCAAGCTATTAATGGCATATGTTTGTAACAAACTATAGAAATGATCCCTGAAAGTATAGTCTTAATGGCATATTTTTGCACATCATATCCAATAAGATTTAGAGAAGCACAAATATATATAAGGCCCCTCTCCCTTGCTCAATTTCAACACCTGTTTTTTTTTTTTTTTTTTTTTTGAATTCACTAAAGGGGAAAATGGTGGGGTGGTCAGTCAGTGCTAGGAAGGTAGGTAGTTAATGATGGTTATGCTAATTTAGAATGAAAAACTTTCATTCTAGATAGGACAGTGAATCCAATATCTCTTTTTTTTCCTCCCTAGAGACAGGTTCTCACTCTATTGGAGTGCAATAGTGTGATCATAGCTCACTGCAGCCTTGAACTCCTGGGCTCAAGCAATCATCCCACCTCAGCTTCCTAAGTAGCGGGCATGCTGGCATAAGCATGGTGGTGTGCACCTGTATTTTTTGTAGAGAGGGGGTCTTGCTGTGTTGTCCAGGCTGGTCTTGAACTCCTAGCCTCAAGAGATCCTCCTAAAGTGCTGGGATTTCAAGCAAGGACATCCATGCCTGGCCTCAATACCTTTTAATAACAACTTGCTAGAATCACAGAAGTTCTTCTGGGAGCTTAAGTCAGAACTGGGACATTGCTCTGTTAGAATGAGTGAGCAGTAGGCTGGGCGCGGTGGCTCACACCTGTAATCCCAGCACTTTGGGAGCCCGAGGCAGGCAGATCACGAGGTCAGCAGATCGAGACCATCCTGGCTAACACGGTGAAACCCCGTCTCTACTAAAAATACAAAAAAATTAGCCGGGCGTGCGCCTGTAGTTCCAGCTACTCGGGAGGCTGAGGCAGGAGAATGGCGTGAACCCGGGAGGCGGAGCTTGCAATGAGCCAAGATCGCGCCACTGCACTCCAGCCTGGGCAACAGAGCGAGACTCCGTCTCCAAAAAAAAAGAAAAAGAATGAGTGAGCAGTAAAGTCAATAGAGAGCTACCAGAGTGTGCACTCCTGAAAGTCCTGAAGAATAGGCGAGTCCAGTTGCCAACACAGAGAAGATAGGGTAGGAACCAAAAGGGGTTGTGGTGTGCTGAGAATCAGTCACTGGGATGTCAGTAAGAACATTCACATCAAATCAGGGCCAAGTGAGCCAGAAATTAAGAGACCAAAAAAGATGCCTTACCAGGTCAAAAATTGGAGACTAAGATGAGTCACGCTGCCACGGAGAAAAGAGTGTATCCTTGGGTTAAATAGTGTATACAAACAAATGCTTCCTGGAAACTAGACTCTCCCTTCGGGTTAATGATCAAGAGTTTTCCATAGTCATTGTCTTTTTTAAAAATCAGGTATTTATTGAGCATATGTTGTATGCCCTCAACATTTTAAGAACTGTACTTGGACGTGCACGCACCCTGTCCCTCAACCACCGCTGCCGCCTCCTTCTTCTGTCACTCCTGGTGCTGCACTGTGTTCGTTCAGTGAGAAGCTGGTACCTCTTTTGTGAAGCGGCAGCTGAGAAGACTCTGGCATTTGCCATGGCCGAGGAAAAGCCCAAGGCATTGTCAATGGGGCAGATCAGATTCCGATTTGACAGTCAGCCAATCAATGAAACAGACACACCTGTACAGGTGGAAATGGAGGATATAGATATAATTGATGTGTTCCACCAGCAGATAGGAGGTGTCTACTGAAAAGGGAACCTGCTTCTTTACTCCAGTTCCCATTTTTTTATTGTACATAAAGTAACTGGTATATGTGGACACACATATTGCATTTTTTTTTTTTTTGAGGCTGAGTCTTGCTTTGTCACCCAGGCTGGAGTGCAGTGGCACGATCTCAGCTCACTGCAACCTCCACCTCCCAGGTTCAAGCAATTCTCCTGTCTCAGCCTCCTGAGTAGCTAGGACTACAGGCACCCACCACGCCCGGCTAATTTTTGTATTTTTAGTAGAGACGGGGTTTCACCATATTGGCCAGGCTGGTCTCAAACTCCTGTCCTCAGGTGATCCACCCACCTCAGCCTCCCAAAGTGCTGGGATTACAGAAGTGAGCCACCGCGCCCAACCCATATTGCATTTTTTAAACTAAATAGCAATGGTACGTTTTGACTGACATCAAGTGGAGATGGAATGGGAAAAAATACTGATTCTGTGAAAATACCCCCTTTCTCCATTAGTGGCATGCTCATTCAGCTCTTATCTTTATATTCCAGTAAGTTATTTTGCTCTTACTATTTTAACAAAACAACAACAAGATAAAAATCCTTGCATACCTTGTTCAGTTGGAGAATTTTAATGTTTTTCACTTATCCTTGTTAAACCAATGATAATTTTATAACTTTTTTGTATGCAGCTGTTACACGTAGGGCAATCTCTCTGTAAGTAGGGATAAATTACTCTGAAAAAAAAAAAAAAAAGAATCCTAGATAGTTTTCCCTTCAAGTGTCTTGTTTAAATAAACTTCTTGTTTAAAATGAAAAGATCTTTACTTGTATTATCTTTTAATCTTTATAACAACCCTATGCAGTAGATACTTTATCTTCATTTTGTTTATTTATTTTTTTGAGACGGAGTCTCACTCTGTCTCCCAGGCTGGAGTTCAGTGGCACGATCTCAGCTCACTGCAAGCTCCGCCTTCCGGGTTCAGGCCATTCTCCTGCCTCAGCCTCCCGTGTAGCTGGGACTACCGGAGCCCGCCACCACGCCCGGCTAATTTTTTGTATTTTTTAGTAGAGACGGGGTTTCACCGTGTTAGCCAGGATGGTCTCGATCTCCCGACCTCGTGATCCACCCACCTCGGCCTCCCAAAGTGCTGGGATTACAGGCGTGAGCCACCGTGCGTAGCCTATCTTCATTTTATAGATGAAGAAACGGAGGCAAAGGAGGATAACAAGATTTTCCAAAGTTATTCATCCAACAAATATTAGAGCTATGACCCCAATCCAAACTACCTAACTCTAGTGCTTGCACTCTAAACCACAATGGTATGTGGTTCCCTGTAGTTTTAATTCACATTTATTATCTATCACTTCACTGGGCTCAGCCTACTCTTGAAAGAGATGGCTGAAGACATGCATCTCATGTCCAGATATTATAAGTATCATTTTTCTTGTTAAGAACATAGTATTTGGGCCGGGTGCAGTGGCTCATGCCTGTAATCCCAACACTTTGGGAGGCCAAGGCCAGTGGATTGCTTTAGCCCAGTAGTTTGAAACCACTCTGGACAACATAGGGAGACCCTGTCTCTATAAGAAATTTTAAAAATTAGCTGGGTGTGGTGGCACACTTGTGGTCCCAGCTGCTCAGGGGGTTGGGGGGAGGATCACTTGAGCCCAGGAGGTTGAGGCTACAGTGAGCCATGATCACACCACTGCACTCCAGCGTGGGCAACAGAGCGAGACTCTGTCTCAAAAAGATAGTATAAATAATAAGAATTAAAAAGAACATAATATTTAATAAAATTTTGAAAAAGGACAACTTAAGGAAAAAAAATCTTTTTTTTTTTTTTTTTGAGACGGAGTCTTGCTCTGTCGCCCAGGCTGGAGTGCAGTGGTGTGATCTCGGCTCACTGCAAGCTCCGCCTCCCAGGTTCACGCCATTCTCCTGCCTCAGCCTCCCAAGTAGGTGGGACTACAGGCACCCACCACCATGCCCAGTCAATTTTTGTATTTTTAGTAGAGACTGGTTTTCACCATGTTAGCCAGGATGGTCTCGATCTCCTGACCTTGTGATCAGCCCGCCTCGGCTTCCCAAAGTGCTGGGATTACAGGCGTGAGCCACCGTGCCCGGCCAGGAAAAAAAATCTTTTAACTTTATCCCATTTGGAGTTTAAAAGCCTCTATGTAGTTTGCTGCACAAAAGCACTTGCAATTTTGTCATCAGAATTCTTCATGGCCAATTTTGCTCAATTTTGGATCTGTTTTTTGTAGAAAATAAGTTGGCTTTGTTTTTCCTCTTTGAAGGAAAGACCACATTACCCCTTTGCATTCTAAACTCTCAATCCCTGCATCTTTCTTCCTGGAGGCATATTGAATTTAAAACTATTTCAGGATGTCCAAATAAAAATGTCTGCTAATTAGTTATGTGGGATTAGAGCTCAAGAGAGATTAGGGGAAGAGATATGATTTGGGGTGTTATTTATAGAGAAGCTAGAGTTGAAGTTATGGGAAGTACTTAAGATCTCCACAGAAAAATATTCAAAAAAATGAAAAAAGAGAGCTCCATCTAGGCAGAAAAGACTCAAAATGGGTTTCACCAAAATCAAGGTGCTGGCGGGCTGTATTCCCCACAGAGGCTCTGGAGTAGAATTCATTTCCTTGCCTCTTCTGGCTTCTAGAGGCTGCCTGAATTCCTTGGCTTACGGCCCCTTCTTCTACCTTTGAAGCCAGCGGCATAGCATCTGCTATGGTTTGAATGTTTGTCATTTCCCAAAACTCATGTTGAAATTTAATTACCATTGTAACAGTATTAAAAGGTGGGATGATGATTAGGCTCTACCTTCATAAATGGATTAATGTTGGCTGGGTGTGGTCGCTCACGCCTGTAATCCCAGCACTTTGGGAGGCTGAGTCAGGCAGATCACTTGAAGTCAGGAGTTTGAGACCAGCTTGGCCAACATGGTGAAACTTCATCTCTACTAAAAATACAAAAGTTAGCCAGGCATGGTGGTGGGCTCCTGTAATTCCAGCTACTTGGGAGGCTGAGGCAGGAGAATTGGTTGAACCTGGGAGGCGGAGGTTGCAGTGAGCCAAGATTGCACCACTGCACTCCAGCCTGGGCAACAGAGCTAGACTCTGTCTCGAAAAAAAAAAAAAATGCAGCCTACAATCCTAATGGCTAGAATGTACTTATATTCAGATAAACTTTGTCTACACGGGAGTTTCTGAACATTGATCCAGAGGCTTTGTCCTCTGAAGTCACAAATAGTAAATTTGGTATTTGCCACATAACTCTCCTTCAGACTTTGGAAGACATATTGACCCCATCTCCCCTGGCTTTTCTTCTGTGGAGAAAACTATTTCTTTAGCAATTTCATAGGACATAGTTCCAAAGTCCTATTATCCTGGTTAGCCTTCTATGGATATTGATATAGTTTAGATGTTTGTCAAATCTCATGTTGAAATGTGACTTCCAGTGTTGGAGATGGGCCTGGTGGGAGGTATTTGGGTCATGGGAGTGGAACCCTCATGCATGGATTGGTGCCCTCCTCCTGGTCATGAGTGAGTTCTCTGAGTTCACACAAGATTTGATTGTTTTTGAAAGAGTCTGGGGCCAGGCGCGGTGGCTCACGCCTGTAATCCCAGCACTTTGGGGAACCGAGGCAGGTGGATCACTTGAGGTCAGGAGTTTGAGCCCAGCCTGACCAACATGGTGAAACCCCATCTCTACTAAAAATACAAAAAAATTAGCCAGGCATAGTGGTGGGTGCCTGTAATCCCAGCTACTCAGGAGGCTGAGGCAGGAGAATCGCTTGAACGTGGGAGGCAGTGAGTTGAGATCGTGCCACTGCACTCCAGCCTGGGCAACAGAGCAAGACTCGCCTCCTTCTCTCTCCACCTCCTTCTGGAACCTCCTCCTTCTCGCTCTCTTTCTTGTTCCCTCTCTTGCTATGTAGCATGCTGGCTCCCCTTGGCATTATGAGCCATGACTGTAAGCTTCCTGAAGCACTCAGTAGAAACAGGTGCTGGCACCATGCTTCCTGTACAGCCTGCAGAACCCATGAGCCAAAATAAATCTCATTTCTTTATAAATTAAAATTACCCAAGGCCGGGCGCGGTGGCTCACACCTGTAATCCCAGCACTTTGGGAGGTCAAGGTGGGCAGAGCATGAGGTCAGGAGTTCAAGACCAGCCTGGCCAACATGGTGAAACCCCGTTTCTACTAAAAATACAAAAATTAGCCAGGTGTGGTGGTGGGCACCTGTAATCCCAGCTACTTGGGAGGCTGAGGCAGGAGAATCGCTTGAACCCTGGAAGGGGAGGCTGCAGTGAGCCAAGATCGTGCCACTACACTCCAGCCTGGGCGACAAGAGCAAGACTCTAGCTCAAATAAATAAATAAATAAATAAATAAATAAATAAATAAAATAAAGTTATCCCAGCCTCAGGTCTGTCTTTCTTTTCTTTCTTTCCTTCCTTCCTTCCTTCTCTTTCTTCCTCTCTCTCTCTGTTTCTTTTTTTGAGACGGAGTTTCACTCTTGTTACCCAGGCTGGATTGCAATGGCATGATCTCGGCTCACCGTAACCTCTGCCTCCCGGGTTCAAGAGATTCTCCTGCCTCAGCCTCCCGAGTAGTTGGGACTACAGGCATGCACCACCACGTCCAGCTAATTTTCTATTTTTAGTAGAGATAGGGTTTCTCTATGTTGGTCAGGCTGGTCTCGAACGCCTGACCTCGGGTGATCCACCTGCCTCATCCTCCCAAAGTGCTGGGATTACAGACATGAGCCATGGTGCCTGGCCAGGTATTCCTTTATAGCAATGCAAATGGATTAACACAGACACCTTTGGCTTATGAATGTTTCTTTGAAATTATAGTGTGGTCTGACCAAGCAAGAATAGATAGGGACAATGTTCATTTGGTTCAGTTTTAATTAATGAAGCCTAAAATTATAGTCAGCTATAATCCCTGCCTTTCCACATACTGCTGAAGGACATATTTATCTGAAATATACTGTACCAATTGTTTGTTTGCTTTTTTAGAGACGGTTTTGCTCTGCCATCCAGACTGGATTGCAGTGGTGTGATCATAGCTCACTGCAGCCTCCAACTCCTGTGCTCAAGGATCCTCCCACTTTGGCCTCCCAAAGTGCTGGGACTACAGGTGTGAGCTACTGTGCCTGACCTGTACTATTAATTTTCTAACTTACATACTGAATTTTACAATTAGGCTTACCTAATAATTCTTTAGTGTCAATGAATACATTAGTAATCCTTAACAACTACATGTAATCTACAAATTTAATTTTATGTGATTTTCCATCCAAATAATTACTAAAAATGTTAAATGTAATAGAGCCCGTGATGGAACCTTGCAATGTAACCAAAAGCCTCAGTCCAGGGGAACATTTACCTGCTTTTGTGGGTCAAAGTCATTCAAGCAAGGTCTAACTGCATCATAATCTGCTCCACAGTTTTTCATTTGGTCCACAAGTAGTTTCATGCTTTACATTCTTTGTATAGCATTTTCCAGACTACGAATATGCTAATCTTATCTGAAAAATAAAGTTAGTGTGGCTTAACCTGTTTTTGGTAAACTTAGGCTGGCTCTAAATGATCATGTCTTTTCCTTAAGTACTCTCAAATCACCTATGAAAATCCAATCTAGACTTGTTCCTGGCATTAATGTTAAGTTTGCCAGAATATGTCTTCCTTCCTTGTCAAAAATCTTGCTGTTCTGACTTTACAGTCTTTTGACCCCTCTATTCTTATAATTCCTCAACTATGAATCACTGTGATGACATAAGTAAGGAGATGGAAGAACTGTACATTATAACAAAAGTATTCTGCATATTTTAAAAATGCCATGTAAAAAAAGATTGATAAAGCAAATATTCTCTTATCTATAGCTCTCTAAACACTATTATTGTACTTATTGGAGTAAATCCCAAAATTTAGTCCAGTTTGTTGTATGTGCGTACAAATGTTGGCTAATTTAAAATACAGAAGATATATAATAGAAACTTTTCTCATTAAAGTCTTCTTAACAACAGGGAAAAATAAATATTACCTATTCCAACCTTCTGCAAAAGGTCTGGAGGTCATTACGGCCCTAAGATGTTCACTTTATCCAGGTCCCATTTTTAGTTTTAAAAAATTCATGGACGCATCACTTTGGGAAGCCGAGGTGGGCGGATCACGAGGTCTGGAGATCAAGACTATCCTGGCTAACACAGTGAAACCCTATCTCTACTAAAAATACAAAAAATTAGCTGGGACTACAGGGGCGTGGTTGCACGCGTCTGTAGTCCCAGCTACTCGGGAGGCTGAGGCAGGAGAATTGCTTGAACCCGGGAGACTGAGGTTGCAGTGAACCGAGATCGCGCGCTGCACTACAGCCTGGGCGACAGAGCGAGATTCTGTCTCAAAAAAAAAAATTCATGGACTATTTTGAGGAAATAGATGTATTCATGATCTTGACTGTGGTACTGATATGGGTGTATACATGTCAAAACGCATCAAATTATACAGTTTATTGCATGTCATGAGCTTTTTTTTTTTACAATTTTATTCTCTTAAAATTTTATTGTAAAAAGATTTAAGCCCATGAAAGAATGAGTGAACTATAATTACATAAAACAACACAGATTAACTTCACAAACATAATGTTGAACAAAGGCTGGAAACAGGCCGGGTGCAGTGGCTCACGCCTGTAATCCCAGCACTTTGGGAGGCCGAGGTGGGTGGATCACCTGAGGACAGAAGTTCGAGACCAGCCTGGCCAACATGGCGAAACCCTGTCTCTACCAAAAATACAAAAATCAGCTGGGCGTGGTGGCGGGTGCCTGTAGTCCCAGCTACTCAGGAGGCTGAGGCAGGAGAATTGCTTGAACCCGGGAGGCAGAGGTTACAGTGAGCCGAGATCATGACACTGCACTCTAGCCTGGGTGACAGAATGAGACTCCATCTCAAACAAAAATAATAATTAAAAAGAAAGAAAAAAAGAAAGAGGCCAGATACAAGGAGTACCCCATGTGTGATTCACTCTTAAAAGATGGTAGTATAAGGCAGTCTTCTGGGGTGGTAGTGATTTTCTGTTTCTTGAGCTGGATTATCATATGGGTATATTTACTTCATGGAAATTCATTGAGCTGTGCAGTTAAGACTTGTCCACTTTTCTGTATGTTATTCTTCAGTAAAACATTTACCATGAAGAGTGAGGCACATGTGCTATAATAAACGGGAAAGAATATGAAAATCAACTGTCTCAATAAAAAATTTACAACTGATATTGCACTATAATTATGTAAGACCTGACCATTAGGAGAAACTGGGTGAAGGGTACAGAGAACCTCTCTGCACTAATTTTTCAACCTCCTGTGAATCTATAATTATTTCCAAATGTAAAAATACTATTAACACTGATATTTTAGTGTGTGAACCCCAATTAGATTTTCTTTTCTTTTTTCTTTTTTTTTTTTTTTTGAGATGAAGTCTGGCTCTGTTGCCCAGGCTGGAGTGCAGTGGCACAATCTTGGCTCACTGCAACCTCCACCTCCCAGGTTCAAGTGATTCTCCTGCCTCAGCCTCCCAAGTAGCTGGGACTAAAGGCACATGCCACCACGCCCAGCTAATTTTTTGTATTTTTAGTAGAGATGGGGTTTCACTGTGTTAGCCAGGATCGTCTTGATCTCCTGACTTTGTGATCCACCTGCCTTGGCCTCCCAAAGTGCTGGGATTACAGACGTGAGCCACCATGCCCAGCCTAGATTTTCTTTCTTTTTTTTTTTTTTTTTGGAAACGGAGCCTCACTCTGTCTTCTGTTGCCCCAGCTGGAGTGCAGTGGCGCCATCTCGGCCACTGCAACCTCCGTCTCATGGGTTCAAGTGATTCTCTTGCCTCAGCCTCCCGAGTAGCTGGGATTACAGGCACATGCCACCACGCCCAGCTAATTTTTCTATTTTTAGTAGAGACAGGGTTTCACCATGTTGGTCAGGCTGGTCTCGAACTCCTGACCTCGTGATCCGCCCACCTCGGCCTCCCAAAGTGCTGGGATTACAGGCATGAGCCACCGTGCCTGGCCCCAGCCTAGATTTTCTACTTATATCCTCCTTCTAAAAGTTTCCCTTTCCTGCCTACTCCTCAGAATTGAAGTGAAAATCATCATTTTCAATAGAGGTTGTCCCAAATATAGATGACAGTTGATAAGTCCTGGGATGGACATCTGCCCCAATGTGGGCCGGTTGGAGCCTTTTCCTGAGACATGGCATTTGGACTGAGAAACAGCCATTTCTTTTCCTGTGTCCACACTGTAATTTGTAAACTGAAGAGCTGCCAGCAGCTATTTTCCACCTTGTGGTTCAGGGAAGCAGAAGAACCTGATGGACAGAGAGAAGGTGGAATGATGCTGATGTACAAAGGGAGGAGGACACATGAGACAGAGTCTCTTTGACATTCACCTTCCTGGCTCCTTATGTCCAGTTCAATTTGTGTCCTTGGGTTCTGTGAGACCCTTTATGTGTTTAAAATACATTCACCTCATTATCTAAGCAAGATCCATTCAGATTTCTATTACTTCCAACCATAATCCTAACTAGCACACCTACTACAAAGATGCACAGTTTTTGTCCTACGGCTTACACTTAGAATATGCCTTTTTTTTTAATTTAAGAAGTATGACGCCAGGAGCAGTGGCTTAAGCCTATAATTCTAGCACTTTGGTAGGCAGAGATAGGAGGATTGCTTGAGTCCAGGAGTTTGAGATCAGCGCCAGGAGCAGTGGCTTAAGCCTATAATTCTAGCACTTTGGTAGGCAGAGATAGGAGGATTGCTTGAGTCCAGGAGTTTGAGATCAGCCTGGGCAACAAGGAGACATCATCTCTTAAAAAAAAAAAATTAGCTGGCATGCACCTGTGGTCCCCACTACTTGGTAGGCTGAGGTGGGAGGATCGCTTGAGCCTGGGAGGTTGAGGCTGCAGTGAGCCATGATTGTACCACTGCACTCCAGCCTGGTGACAGAGTGAGACCCTGTCTCAAAAGACAAACAAACAAACATAATGAAGTATGACTTTACTGTATGTAAGATACAGATTGGCACTCCTGCATAGTACGATCACAGAAGATATACTAAAGATCATTTAACCCACCCCTCTTATTTTCAGGTGAGAAAACTGCAGGTTAAGGGCCTTAGCCAAAGTCATACAGCCAGCTGCTAGAAGTATCAGACTCAGCATCGTGTCACCTTTCCCACGTCAATATTACACGGTCAGTCCTGGAGAGAAACATCAGGATGCTCCACTGAGGGTTTTATTTGTTTGCATATAGTATACTAACTGCATAATGAGTTAATCAGAACATAGCTAACAAGGACCTACTTGAGAGATCAAATGAATAAGAGATAATGTATAGGGATATAAATAGTTATAATTATAGGTACTTAATTCTAAAAACAATCTTTAACTTTTGTCACTATTAGTCATGGAGGTATTCCATGTGTCACTTAGAACAGATATACATAGTCTATTGAGAGTTAAAAAAAAACAATTTGAGGACAGATTACTCCAACATTTTAATTCAAATAGTATCTAGAATTGAGAAAAAAATTAAGACTATATTCAACAGGATGTAAATACTAAGTTTGACGTAAACTTCCTGAGAAGTGGAGGTTTGCTCGGAAACTTCCTGCTTGGTCATAACAGAGAGCTGGAACACATCAGTTTACCTCTCTTGATCTGGTCTGATACTGTTGGTTTAAAATGCTGATTTGGGATTATTCTTAGCCAAAGTAGCCAAAGCACAGCATTGTGTTGACTGTATTTTGGGAGGTAATTATAAGGTGGGAAAGAAGTATTACCTAGTTTTTAAATAAAAAGGAGTCTAATGAACATGTGACTTCCCGGAAAGCAAAGCACAGAATAGAAAATGTGTAATTTACAGCTTTCAGTTTTCTGTTCTCTTTATTGAAGTAGCTGTTCCTATCACTGCCAGCCCTTTGGCCATCCAAAGTTGCAGCTGTCTACTTTTTTTTTTTTTTTTTTTTTTTTTTTTGTTAAGACAAGGTCTCGCTCTGTCACCCAGGCTGGAGTGGATATGGATGTCCTATACCTAATCAATCTCCAGCTACTGGACGTTTAGGTGGTTTCCAATTTACTACCATTATAAAACAACACTGTAGTAAACCATCATACAGAAATCATTTTGCAAATATCCGATTATTTTCTTAAGTTTTTAGAAACTGAACTGTTTAGTCAAGGTATTTAAACATTTTTAAGGCCTTTGTGACACTGCTGTCAGCAACAGATGAGGATTTCCTATTCTGATGGGTGGAACTTTTCTAGGGGTGGTAATATCTCTTACGTGAAGTCTTGTTTTGTTTTGAAGATGCAGGAAGTTATATAACAGAGACTTTCCTTGCTGGCACACTGTACCAGGAAGGAGACACAGCACTCTATCCACCCTACTTGGCCAGTTTGGTATTTGAATGGAAAGGGCAAGTTTGTTTTTGAGGTGGTGTGTCACACTTGTGTCATGTGAGACACAATATGTAGATCAAAGAGGAGAAAAACCTTTGGGCAATTCTATTAGTCTTCAGTGTGCTTTTGCTAAATATCTTCAATTAAGCAATCTATTACAGATGGATGGTACTGGTTTTTCTTCCCTGAATCCTCCCCTCTTCAAAGGTGATAACTAATTTCATTATTTTCATTAAATATCCATAGACTGAAAGATCAGGTTCTCAAAGATAGTTTCTTTAATTGTAAACTGTCTAATTTTTACTAAAACAAATAAAAAGAAAACCAAGTGGTATTAACTTTGATTTGAGTATATGTGTGATGAGGGTTAATCCTTTCCTGTTTTAATGTGTATGATACGAAGTGTATCTGCCTCAATTTTTATTTATTTATTTTTTGAGACAGAGTCTTGCTCTGTCGTCCAGGCTGGAATGCAGTGGTGCAATCTCGGCTCACTGCAATCTCCGCCCTTGGTTCAAGTGATTCTCCTGCCTCAGCCTCCTGAGTAGCAGGGATTACAGGTGTGTGCCACCATGCCAGGCTAATTTTTGTATTTTTAGTAGAGATAGGGTTTTGTCATGTTGGCCAGGCTCGTCTCAAACTCCTGACCTCAGGTGATCCGCCCACCTTGGCCTCCCAAAGTGCTGGGATTATAGGGGTGAGCTACCATGCCTGGCCCTGTCTCAAATTTTAGTGCAGTGCAATCTATCACTAAGAAATTTCAGGCCGGGCGCGGTGGCTCACGCCTGTAATCCCAGCACTTTGGGAGGCCGAGGCGGGCGGATCACGAGGTCAGGAGATCGAGACCATCCTGGCTAACACGGTGAAACCCCACCTCTACTAAAAATACAAAAAATTAGCTGGGCGTGGTGGCGGGCGCCTGTAGTCCCAGCTACTGGGGAGGCTGAGGCAGGAGAATGGCGTGAACCCGGGAGGTGGAGCTTGCAGTGAGCCCAGATCGCGCCACTGCACTCCAGCCTGGGTGACAGCGAGACTCCGTCTCAAAAAAAAAAAAAAAAAAAAAAAAAAAAAAAAAGAAATTTCAAAGCTGTTATTTAAGATGTTAATTATATAATATACAAATATCACGGTTGTGTGGTTTAACCTGTTAAGACATGCTTAGAAAAGAGAACGTGAGTATACTGACTTTATTACAAGCCTATATTGGAAGATATATGGTAATACATAGGTATGTATAACTCCCTGATAACAATAGGTTATGCATTATTTAAAAACATAATGTCAAACAGCATTACAGTTGGTAATTTATTTAAAGACTACAAGCTTGCTTGTCTGTTCACTACTGCATTTCTATCCTGAACATTTCTGGATATATTACTATATATCAGGTTTATATACTTTTACTATAGGTATATAAATATTTGCTGAATGAATAAAATAGGAAGATAATTTTAAAAGGTAAAAAATGGCATTTAATTTATAAAACATAATAAACAAAAGTTCTAAATCGTATTAAGTTCTAAAACAAACCAGATTTGTCAACATAATTCCAAGTTTAATTCCAAACTTAAAAATGGTAGCATGTAATATCAGTTCACTGAATATTGTAATTAGATATTAAAAGTTCAGATATGAGTAGTAAAGGCAGAGTGGGACTTGTAATACCAGGGTCAAAGGTAGTGCTTGGGGTCTGACTAAATATTTGAAAAAGGACATCAACCTGTGTGGGCAGGTGTTTATGAAGGATGAGAAAGAAGGCAACTTCTTTTTTTCTCTGGTTCTGTGGGCTTCTCTTTAACTTTTGTTTTTTCACTCTTTATCATCCAAAACTAAAGGATTCATGAACTTTGAAGGATCTGAGCAATCGATCTTTGTAAATAGGTAACTTGACACAGTCTTAGGGGAATTAATGATAGTGTATGATAGACTTAATGGAAGCTTAGAAAACACTCTTTTTTTGGTTAACTACCATAGGCACTCTATTTATTTATTTATTTACTAAAGGCTAGCCAAGTGAAGCAGTGGGAGTAGAGAAAGAACAAAGAAATCTGGAACTGGTTGTGATTAATTAGTCATAAACCACTGCACTCGGACCAGCCCATATGCACTCTTTAAAACTTAAAACTTTTTACCAAAATCTTAAATATCAGAACAAGTCAGAAAGCTTGTTTTTTTTAAACCTTGTTTTTATTATGAAATGTATTACACATAACAAAAACTTCATAAAACATATATATAGATTTAAAAAATAATAAAGAAACATTTATGTACTCACCAGCTTAAGAATAATTTTTTGGGTGGGCACAGGGGCTCATGCCTGTAATCTCAGCACTTTGGGAGGCTGAGACTGGAGGATCACTTGAGCCCTGGAGTTTGAGACCAGCCCAGGCAACAGAGACCCCATCTTCACAAAAAATAAAAAATTAGGCTGGGCATGGTGGCTCACGCCTGTAATCCCAGCTCTTTGGGAGGCTGCGGTGGGTGGATCACAAGGTCAAGAGATAGAGGCCAACATGGCGAAACGCTGTCTCTGCTAAAAATACAAAAATTAGCTGGGCGTGGTGGTGTGTACCTGTAATTCCAGCTACTCAGGAGGCTGAGGTAGGAGAATCACTTGAACTCAGGAGGCAGAGGTTGCAGGGAGCTAAGATCGTGTCACTAAACTCCAGCCAGGTGACAGAGTGAGACTGTCTCAAAAAAAAAAAAAAAAAAGAAAGAAAAAGAAAAAGAAAATTAGCCAAGTGTGGTGGCTCACACCTGTAATCCTAGCACTTTGGGAGGCTGGGGTGGGCAAACTGCTCGAGCCCAGGAGTTTGAGACCAGCCTGGGCAACTTCGTGAAACTCTGTTTCTACAAAAAAAATTTAAAAATTAGCTGGGCGGCCGGGCGCCGTGGCTCACATCTGTAATCCCAGCACTTTGGGAGGCCGAGGCAGGTGGATCACGAGGTCAGGAGATCGAGACCATCCTGGCTAACACGGTGAAACCCCGTCTCTACTAAATATACAAAAATTAGCTGGGCGTAGTGGCAGGCGCCTGTATTCCCAGCTACTCGGGAGGCTGAGGCAGGAGAATGGCGTGAGCCCAGCGGGTGGAGCTTGCAGTGAACCGAGATGGAGCCACTGTACTCCACTCTGGGCGACAGAGCGACACTCCGTCTCAAAAAAAAAAAAAAAAAAAAAAATTAGCTGGGCATCGTGGTGTGCACCTGCAGTCCCAGCTATTCCGGAGGCTGAGGCTGCAGTGAGACATGATTGTGCCGCTGCACTCCAGCCTGGGCAATAGAGTAAGACCCTCTATCAAAAAAAAAAAAAAAAAAAAAGAAGAAGAAGAAGAAGAATTTCTTAAATTAACTATCTATGAGAATTGTCAGGTTGACTGTCGTTTTCCAGCTGAGTTTCACAAAATGGGGCCTGCTTAATAAAACAGATTGATACATTCAAATCCACAGGCTCTGGTAATTTGTACTAACGAATACTTATTTCTAGAATTGACCAGAGTTATCACAGAACTAGGAGTGTATTATTTTACAGAATAGTGGAGAACTAATTAAGTACCTATGACTTGTAAAAATAGAAGCTCATGGTTTTTAAATGGAAAAGTCTGACTGGAAACTACAGTCCTTTAATATTAATTTCTAAACTCAGAAGTGAGATTATGATACAATCGGTTGGCAACTATCTAAGTTTTTCCTAGGCAATACCTCCCGTGGCTGGGTAAAGAATATATCTTCTCACATGCATATTAATTTCTTTGAGTGAAATCTGAGTTAGGTGTAAGTTAATATTTATCAAACAGAATCTATATTAGTTATCTCTTGCTGTATGAAAAATTACCCCCAAACTTGGTGCCTTAAAGCAATAAACAATTATTTTCTTACAGAGTCTATGAGTAAGGAAGCTAGGCAAAGCTTAGTTGGGTCTCTTGGCTCTGGGTTTCTCATAAGGCTGTATAAAAGGTGTTGAGCGGGTGCTGCAGTCATCTTAAGGCTTGACTAGGTGTTGATGTTGGTAGGACTTAGTCCCTATCAGGGTGTTGCACTCAGGGCCTCCGTTCCTCACTGGCTGTTGACTAGAGGCTACCCTCCGTTTTTCTGCCATATGGACCTATCCTTTGGATTGTGACCTATCCTTTGGAAATTGCAACATGGCAATTTCCTACATTGGAATGAGCAAGTGAGAGCGCAAGAGAGAGAGGAAGATGAAAGTCACAGTCTTTTGTAACCTAATCTCAGATGTGACATTCTGTCACTTTGCCATATTCTATTCTTTTGAAAGAGGTCATTAGGTCCGGCCCAAGCACAAGAGGAGGAAATTACACAAGGATGTGAAAACCAGAAGGTACGGTGCTTAGGAGTCATTTTAGATGCAGCCTACCACAGTAACTCAGAAAGAAGGAAATACAAAAAGTAAAAATGCTTCAACAACAAGTGCTACTAAAAAAAAAAAAAAAAAAAAAAAAAAAGAATAGGCCGGGCACGGTGGCTCACGCCTGTAATCCTAGCACTTTGGGAGGCCGAGGTGGGCGGATCACGAGGTCAAGAGATCGAGACCATCCTGGCTAACACGGAGAAACCCTGTTTCTACTAAAAATTAAAAAAAAATTAGCTGGGCGTGGTGGCGGGTGCCGGTAGTCCCAGCTACTCGGGAGGCTGAGGCAGGAGAATGGCGTGAACCCGGGAGGCGGAGCTTGCAGCGAGCAGAGATCGCGCCACTGCACTCCAGCCTGGGAGACAGAGCGAGACTCCGTCTCAAAAAAAAAAAAAAAAAAAAAAAAAAAAAAAAAAAAAAAAGAATAGAAAAAGGAAAAAAAGTAAAAATGCTAACTCAGCTAAGCATCGTAATTAAAGAATATCTTTTGTATGCAGAGATGGCATTATTGATGATGATTCCTTTGGGATAGGTGGTCGGGAATAGAAAGACTGCTAATTGAAGTAAGAATACTTTTCACAAAAACAAAGATGGTTCTATGATTTATAGCCATTGTTCACCACTTGTAGAGTTCCTTGCTGTTTTTTACTTTACAAACAATTTTTATAGTGAAGCAAACATTAAACATGAATCAGCAAAGTGGTACTGTGATTTACAACTCAAAAACAATTCTGGGATACACCAATCAATCAGTAAGAATTTACTGAGCACCTACATATGCTAGAAAGTTACTGATACTAGAAAAGTATAAAACAGTATCTGCCCTCAACCTGCCCTCAAGTCTGTGGCAGGTATCGAAAATCTATGCAATAGGAATTAACCCTTTACTAGGGTATTGTATCAGATCCTGGGCTCTAAATTCAAGAGATGAAGAAAATGGGAAAAAATCCAGAGGCATGATTAACCAAAGGATTAAAAATTAGAAAACACAAAATAGCAACAACAACAACAACAAAAATTAGAAAACAGAATTTATGTGGAAAGTTTAAAGGCACATTGCTTATTTAACCTGAGGAAGGTGAAAGTTGCTTTAGTAATCATCTTTAAGTTTATGAATAGTTACACAGGAGATGGAAATAAATGTTTGTGCCCTCAATGAGAAATCTACAGGGCTGGGTGTGGTGGCTTGTGCCTGTAATCCCAGCACTTTGGGAGGCCGAGGCAGGCAGATCACCTGAGGTCAGGAGTTCGAGACCAGCCTGACCAACATGGAGAAACCCTGTCTCTACTAAAAATACAAAAAATTAACCGGGCGTGGTGATGCTTGCCTGTAATCCCAGCTACTCAGGAGAATCGCTTGAACCCGGGAGGCAGAGGTTGCGGTGAGCTGAGATTGAGCCATTGCACTCCAGCCTGAGCAACAAGAGCAAAACTCTGTCTCAATAAATAAATAAATAAATAGTTCTGAAGTCCCTTCTAAGTTCAGTTAAGTTCCACATACTAGATAGAGGCAGGAAAATGTGAAAAAAAAAAAGTTTTTATTAAAAAAAAGAGACATCTACAAGAGAATTGGATTTCTAATATAGTATATACATTAAAAAGTCTTAGAATACATATATTAAGAGAAAATTGTTTAGGAAGGCTCAATGACTTTTTTTTTCTTTAGGGCTTCTTTACAAAACGTTTCCTCACTGTTTTGACAATATCATGAAAAAAATTCAGTTTAGAATCTAGAACTGACCTGGATGGGATTCACAGGGACTGCACAGTCCCTGATTCCTCCCCGACGGTGGGAGCTTAGCTACTAGAAACAGGAACTCAGTTGGTGTCTCGAGTCAGACAAGAAAGGGGAGGCCAGGCCAGAGGCGCCACGGAACTCCCCTTAGTTCTGAATGACAACTTTTAAACCTGCAAGGTCTTTGCTCTGGAGGGAGACATTAACTTTATTATACAGGAAAGTAAACAAGTCTGATATCTGCTCTGAAGGGAAATACTATCTCTAAATTAAGGCTCACCTGTAATCCCAGTGCTTTGAAAGACCAGGGCGGTGGCTGGGTTTTGTGGCTCACGCCTGCAATCCCAGCACTTTGGGGGGCTGAGGCAGGAGGATCCCTTGAGCCCAGAAATTTGAGACCAGCCTTGGCAACACAGGGAGACCTCATCTCTATATAAAATTGAAAAATCAGCTGGGCATGGGGGCACGTGTCTGAAGCCCTAGCTACTCAGGAGGCTGAGGAATGCACCACCACACTATAGCCTGGGCAACAGTGAGACTGTGTCTCAAAAACAAACAAAAAACTATATTTGACTATTCTGAATATACCATATTGAGATAAACTTGCTGTTCTCAAGAGCCCCTTTACATAATAAGATCAGATAAATTATAATTGTTGAGGTTTTTATACTTTTTTTTTTTTTTTTTTGAGATGAAGTCTTGCTCTGTCGCCAGGCTGGAGTGCAGTGGTGCAATCTAAGCTCACTGCAGCCTCTGCCTCCCAGGTTCAAGTGATTCTCCTGCCTCAGCTACCCTAGTAGCTGGGATTATAAGTGCGCACCACCACACCCAGCTAATTTTTGTATTTTTAGTAGAGATGAGGTTTCACCATGTTGGCCAGGATGGTCTTGATCTCTTGATCCGCCTGCCTCGGCCTCCCAAAGTGCTGGGATTACAGACGTGAGCCACCATGCCTGACACCCCCTGCCCTTTTTTTTCTTTGAGACAGAGTCTCACTCTGTTGCCCAGGCTGGAGTGCAGCACAATCTCGGCTCACTGCAACCTTCGCCTCCCGGGTTCAAGCGATTCTCCTGCCTCAGCCTCCTGAGTGGCTGGGACTACAGGCGCCCACCACCACGCCCGGCTAATTTTTTTGTATTTTTAGTAGAGATGGGGTTTCATCGTGTTGGCCAGGATGGTCTCAATCTCTTGACCTCATGATCCGCCCGCCTCAGCCTCCCAAAGTGCTGGGATTACAGGCGTGAGCCACTGTGCCCAGCCAGGGTTAAAATCTTTTAGAACAATTATTATGCTGCTGTATTAGGAAAGCACATCCTTCCCACTTAGTAACCATCCCATTTAGCCCCCCAAAGGAGCAAAAGATGCTTTGTTCTTAGATGATTAGTGGAAGATGATAACCACATCTGTACCCACTGGCACCCTTACACAGTAACATTTCTGCTGTGCCTTCCCTTTTGTCAGAGGTAGCCTTCCGGGCGCATTTCATCCATTTGACAGGAGTGCTGACAAGAAACTCTTAGGTGATCAGGATCTAATAAGCCTGCGAGAGAGGTGGTTGTGTTAAAACCCCTTTTCAGTTGTACCCCCTTTATAAAAACTGTGTTTGAAACTTTCCACACCTCTTCTTGGCCCAAAGGTGATTATTTTTGTTCGGAAATTGTGAGATAACTCATCTGAGGTGAGGTTTTCTTTTAGTACTCCCAGGAGAAGATATATTTCTCTTTTCACTTTGAAAGTTTTCCTTTAAAAATAATTTCTTGTTTGTCCCTCTCCAAGATGGCTGCTGAAGACAAATTACTGCTGCCACAGCTCCCCGAGCTGTTTGAAACCAGCAAACAGCTTCTGGATGATGTAGAAGTAGTGACTGAACCTGCCGGTTCCCGGATAGTCCAGAAGAAGGTGTTCAAGGGCCTGGACCTCCTTGAGAAGGCTGCCGAAATGTTATCGCAGCTTGACTTGTTCAGCTAAAATGAAGATTTGGAAGTGATTGCTTCCACCGACCTGAAGTACCTGTTGGTGCCAGTGTTTCAAGGAGCCTTCACCATGAAACAAGTCAAGCCCAGCAAGCGTCTAGATCATTTGCAGTGGGCTCAAGAGCACTATAAACTAATTAACTGTGCCATTGCTATCAGGTGGCAGAGCTTGAGCTGCCGAAAACCAAGAACTCAGCTGAAAAATCACACTGCTAATTTCTCCATGGCTTATCCTAGCCTCATTGCTATGGCATCTCAAAGACAGGCTAAAAGAGAGAGACACAAGCAGAAGGAGTTGGAGCACAGGTTGTCTGCAATCAAATCTGCTGTGGAAACTGGTCAAGCAGATGATGAGCGTGTTCGTGAATATTATCTTCTTCACCTTCAGAGGTGAACTGATATCAGCTTAGAAGAGATTGAGAGCATTGACCAGGAAATAAAGATCCTGAGAGAAAGAGACTCTTCAAGAGAGGCATCAACTTCTAATTCATCTCGCCAGGAGAGGCCTCCAGTGAAACCCTTCATTCTCACTCGGAACATGGCCCAAGTCAAAGTATTTGGAGCTGGTTATCCAAGTCTGGCAACTATGACGGTGAGTGACTGGTATAAGCAACATTGGAAATATGGAGCATTACCAGATCAGGGAATAGCCAAGGCAACACCAGAGGAATTCAGAAAAGCAGCTCAGCAACAGGAAGGTCAAGAAGAAAAGGAGGAAGAGGATGATGAACAAACACTCTACAGAGTTCGGGAGTGGGATGACTGGAAGGGCATCCATCCTAGGGACTATGGCAGCCAACAGAGCATGGGCTGATCTTCCCACAAATGAGAGGACTGAAGGGTGCACACCTCCCACGCCAAGGAAAACCATGCAGTCCTCATCTCCCTGGGCTTCCGCTTCAGCTGTGTACAACGAAGGCAAAGATGCTAAATCTTGCTTTGCTTTCAATAAAGTGTCCAGTGATTAAAAAAAATTTTTTTTTCTGAGATGCCTTCTATGTTCAGTCATTCTGCAACTTGGGCTGGAAAATGATACTAATTATTTTTGGCTTCATTGGAGTAACTACTGGCCACTTGAAAATTAAATTTTGGCTGGGCGGGGTTGCTCATGCCTGTAATCCCAGTACTTTGGGAGGCTGAGGCAGGCAGATAGCCTGAGGTCGGGAGTTCGAGACCAGCCTGGCTAACATGGTGAAACCCCATCTCTACTAAAAATACAAAATTAGCCAGGCATGGTGGTGCATGCCTGTAATCCCAACTATTTGGGGGGCCAAGGCAGGAGAATCACTTGGACCTGGCAGGCAGAGGTTGCAGTGAGCTGGGATCATGCCACTGCACTCCAGCCTGGGTGACAGAGTGAGACTCTGTCTCAGAAAAAAAAATTAAATATTATGCTCAGTATCTCCCATATTTAAAAGCAAATTTTTCAAATTTTACTTAAGAGCAAAACTGCAGTGGAACAGTGAGTTTTCAAAATGTTGCTAGTCCTGGAATCTGTTTAAGACTTGAAGCCGTTAAGTAGAAATATAGTAAGTGTTTGGGTGTGTGGTGTCTCCCACCTGTAACCCCACCACTTTGGAAGGCCGAGGCAGGTGGATCACTCGAGGTCAGGAGTTCAAGACCAGCCTGGCCAAATGGTAAAACCCCATCTCTACTTAAAAAAATATAAAAATAAAAAAGAGCTGGGCGTGGTGGTGAGTGCCTGTAATCCCAGCTACTTGGGAGGCTGAGGCAGGAGAATCGCTTGAACTCAGGAGGTGGAGGTTGCAGTGAGCCGAGATTGCACCACTGCACTCCAGCCTGGGCAACAGAGCGAGCCTCCGTCTCAAAAAATAAAAATAAAAATAAAAATAAATAATAAGCATTTAGGCCAGGTGCGGTGGCTCATGCCTGTAATCCCAGCACTTTGGGAGCCGAGGCGGGCGGATCACCTGAGGTCAGGAGTTCGAGATCAGCCTGGCCAACATGGTGAAACGCTTTCTCTACTAAAAATACAAAAATTAGCCTGATGTGGTGGTAGGTGCCCGTAATTCCTGCTACTCAGGAGGCTGAGGCACAAGGATCACTTGAACCCGAGAGGAGGAGGTTGCAGTGAGCAGAGATCACGCCACTGCACTCCAGCCTGGGTGACAGAGTGAGACTCTGTCTCAAACAAACAAACAAACAAAAAAACAAAAAAAAAAAAAGAAAGAAAGAAAAAAGAAACATTATAAGGAATTAAAATAATTTTTTACACACATTTTCTAAAAGCCTTTGAGATATTACCTAAGTTGCTTAATAATTAGCTAGTACAACATCTTGGTAAAGTATCATGATTTTCTTATTTGTCAGTTGTTCATTTTACACCTTTTTTGCTTTTCTACTTTTAAAGATTCCTCCAACTTATAAAATGATTGAAAAAATTAAAATGCAAAATAGGTTCTTATTCAACATTTGAATTATCCATATAACTAAGAAAACATTAGGAAATAAAAACTTTATGCTGTGACTTCTGCTACCACCCAGGATGATGTAACAGGGACCAGAATTAACCTCCCACCTAAAATACTTAAAAAACTGAACAAAAATATACTAGTTAATTGTTTTCAGATATCAGACAGGAGGCAGTGCAGGACAGTGATTTCTCAGAGAAGCAAACAAAAAAAGGTGAGTCCTATGATTGCTGTAGAATTTCCAGGCTGCAGCACAGGGAGGAGCAACCCAAACAGATGTTGACCACCTCTTTGAGTTGAGCAAACAGTATGAAGATCTGGGAGGTGAAGGCATCAGAATTTACATGGTAAAAATCAGAGGAGAGAACTACATAATATAAGAGCTCAGAAGTGTTCTCCTTGAGTCTTCAGCTGGTTCTGATCATCAGTACACGTACGTGAAGTAAACGACCAAGATTTGAGAAAGAAGCACTGGAGAAGAACAAGTAGAACAAAACTTGGATTTAAACAGGACCAGAAACTGTGGTCCAACCAGATCGAGTGGAAAAACCTCCTAAGATGCAAGGCATTGAGTAGAGTCTTGAGAAGGTATTGCTTCAGTAGCTGAGCCAAATAAGCCCCATATTAAAGGCTGTAATGGACCTTCCTACAAAGATTCAAGGCCAGGCGTGGTGGCTCACACCTGTAATCCCAGAACTTTGGGAGGCCGAGGTGGGCAGATCACCTGAGGTCAGGAGGTCGAGACCAGCCTGGCCAACATGGCAAAACCCCGTCTCTACCAAAAATACAAAAATTAGCCAGGCATGGTGGCACATGCCTGTAATCCCAGCTACTCGGTAGGCTGAGGCAGGAGAATTGCTTGAACCTGGGAGGCGGAAGTTGCAGTAAGCCTAGATAGTGCCATTGCACTCCAGCCTGGGTGACAGAGAGAGACTCCATCTCAAAGAAAAAAAAAAAAAAAGGCAGCCGGAAGCGGTGGTTCATGCCTGTAATCCCAGCACTTTGGGAGGCCAAGGCAGGTGGATCATGAGGTCAGGAGTTCAAGACCAGCCTGGCCAAGATGATGAAACCCTGTCTCTGCTAAAAGTACAAAAATTAGCTGGCACGGTGGCAGGCACCTGTAATCCCAGATACTCGGGAGATTGAGGCAGGAGAAATTGCTTGAACCCAGGGGGCGGAGGTTGCAATGAGCCAAGATTGCGCCACTGCACTCCAGCATAAGCGACAGAGTAAGACTCCATCTCAAAAAAAAAAAAAAAAAAGGCTGGGTGCAATGGTTTACACCTGTAATCCCAGCACTTTGGGAGGCCAAGGCAGGTGGATTGCCTGAGGTCAGGAGTTCAGGATCAGCCTGGCCAACATTGTGAAACCTCATCTCTACTAAAAATACAAAAATTAGCCAAGTGTGGTGGTGGGTACCTGTAATCCCAGCTACTTGGGAGGCTGAGGCAGGAGAATTGTTTGAACCCAGGAAGTGGAGGTTGTGGTGAGCAGAGAGCACCACTGCATTCCAGCCTGGGCGACAGAGTGAGACTCCATTTCAGGGGAAAAAAAAAAAAGGATTCAAAGTAAGCCTTGAAATGACCATTCAAACTATTTCCAAGTAATACAACTGCATCCCAGAACAAAACCCAAAACATTTAAATAAGAAAACTCCAGCACAATGGAATCCAAAAATTAGAAGGCTTTTGAAGAAATAAGAAAATACAACCTATAACAAGGAGAAAAAACAATCAATAGAAACAGACCCAGAAGTGACAAAGACTATAGGATTTGTTAGTTAAGAACATTAAAACAGCTATTCTAACTATACTCCATATCTTCAAAAAGGTAATGGAAAGTTTGAGCATGATAAGAAGAGGAATGTAAGATATTTTTAAGACTCAAAACAGCTAGAGAAGAAGAAAGAAACAATGTCTAAGATGGACAATATACTAGAGGGGATTAACAGCAGATTAAATACTGCTAAAGAAAGGATTAAGGCCTGGCACGATGGCTCATGCCTGTAATCCCAGCACTCTGGGAGGCCCAGGCGGGTGGATCACCTGAGATCAGGAGTTCAAGACCAGCCTGGCCAACATGGCAAAACTCTGTCTCTACTAAAAATACAAAAATTAGCCAGGTGTGGTGGCCTGCACCTGTAATCCCAGCTACTCAGGAGGCTGAGGCAGCAGAATTGCTTGAACTCAGGAGGCAGAGGCTGCAGTGAGCCAAGATTGCGCCACTGCACTCCTGCCTCGATGACAGTGTGAGACTGTCTCAAAAGAAAAAAAAAAAGAAAAGAAAGAAAGAAAGGATTAATAAACTTGAAGGCATAGCAATAGAAATTATCAAAATGAACCACAGAAATACAAAAGATTGGGTTGAAAAAAATCAGATCTCAATGATCAGATCTCATTGCACTGTGGGAAAACATTAAGCAGCCTAATATATGTGTAGCTGGAGTCTCAAAAGAGGAAGAAAAAAATGGAGGGATAGAATAAATATTTGAAGAAATAATAGCCAAAACATTTTCCAAATGTGATCAAAACTATAAACCCACAGATCCAAGAAGTGCAACAAACTCCAGGCAAAAGAAACACAAAATAAAACACACCAATGCACAATGAAAGTCACAAAAAGAATATATTAAAAACAGGGCCAGGTGTGGTGGCTCATGCCTACAATCCCAGCACTTTGTGAGGCAAAGGCAGTAGGATTGCTTGAGCCCAGGAATTCGAGACCAGCCTGGGCAACATGGCAAAAACCTATCTCTAAGAAAAATAAATAAATAAAATATAAAAATTAGCTGGGTGTGTTGCTGCATGTCTGCAATTACAGATACTGGGGAGGCTGAGGTGGGAGGACAACCTAACCCTAGAACGTCGAGGCTGCAGTGAGCCATGATCACACGACCACACTCCAGCCTGGGCGACAGAGCGAGACCCTGTCTCAAAAAAACAAAACAAAACAAAACAAAACAAAACAAAACAAAACAGCCAGAGAAACAAGCTACAAGTGCTGAGGAACAAAGGCAAGAATGACAGAACAGTGTGGCTCACACCTGTAATCCCAGCACTCCGGAAGGCTGAGGTGGGTGGACTGCTTGAGCCCAGGAGTTCAAGCGACCTAGGCAACATGGTGAAACCACATCTCTACAAAAGATACAATAATTAGCTGGGTGTGGGGATGCACATCTATGTCCCAGTGACTCAGGAGGCTGAGGTGGGAGGATCACCTAAGCCTGGAAGGTCAAGGTTGCAATAAGCCATGATCACACCACTGTACTCCAGCATGGGTGACAGAGAGAGACTCTGTATCAAAATAAATAAAATGTAAATTCAGTGGTTTTTAGTATCATCAATTGTGCAACTATCACCAAAATCTATTTTTAAACTATTTTTATCACCTCAGAAAGAAACCCTGTACCTATTAGTAATCACTTCCCATCTTCTTTTACCCCCATCCCAGCTCTAAGCAACCAGTAACGTACTGTCTCTATAGGTTTGTGTATTCTAAACATTTCATATACACTGAATCATATAATATGATCTTTTGTGACTGGCTTCTTCACACAATGTTTTCAAGATCATTGGGTTGTAGCATGTATTATTACTATCTTTTAACCTACGTAAAATTTCATCGTATGGATATACCACATTTTATTTATCCATTCATCAGCTGAGAGACATTTGTCCCCACCTCCCCTCACTTTCTGGCTTTTATACATAATGTGCTGTCAATGTTTATGTACAAGTTTTTGTGTTGGACATGTTTTCCTTTCTCTTGACTATGTATCTAGGAGTGAGACTGCTAGGTCATATAGTATCTCCATCTTTAGCATTTTGAGTAACTATCAAACTGTTTTCCAAAGCATTTGCACCATTTTAAAATCCTACCAGCAATGTAGGAGGGTTCCAACTTCTCAACATCAACCTAAAGTAATTTTCAAGCTTCATTTTATCCCATAAATTGTGGGTCCCATGTTGTCAGAATGCAGGTAGGTTTTAAGGAAGTTGCATTCACTCATTTCTTTGCAAAGAAGCTTCAAATACAATTTTTTTTTTCTGTAAGAAAATGGAGTTGGACAAGTTTATTCTGAGACATTTTCAAACTTGAAAAGTCTGTGCTTTTCTGAATTCATACAGAAAGCATGGCTCTTATTTTTGCACCTTGCAGTTTGACTTAAATATTAATGCTTGTTTGACAAGGAAAATAATGTTTGTTTGGCAAGGAAATTAAACAAAAGATTGAGTCCAAAAACTGAGTCGTTATAAGCAAACCACGTATAGTCTCTATGAGTTGTCCTTTCCTGCCTGTTTTCAAGCCAAAAACTTGTCATATTTTCTATTTCTTCAGTTGCTTTTGAAAAGTTCAGGTATTATTTTATTAATGTATGAACAATTCAGTAAATAAAAAAAAAGAAGAAAATGAACCCACTTTCTATATAGGTAACTTTCAATGTAAAAAAAATTACAACAATAATTCCCATTTAGGTTATTAGGTTCATAGTATTGGATGATACCATTTACAGTATTAAAGCTACGTTGTACTTTTATTCACAAAAGTCACAAATTTTGAACCTTTATTTCTTCCTCTTGGCTTAAGCACCCAGCAGATTTATAAATCATCTCATACATTTGACAATTACTCAAGCAACTCTCACATTATGAGGGAATGCAAAACCAAAATAAGGCAAAACACATTTTCTATTAGAATCTATTGATTTCTGTGGTTAATAGTAGGTTATGAAATTTAAAATACAGATGCAGCATAACAAAAGGGCATGGTCTTTGGAGTTCAGATAGGAATAGGGTTGAATCCTGGCTCTGCCATTTACTAACTGTGTAACTTTTGGAAAGGTTCTTACCTTCACTAAAACTCAGTTTACTCATCTGTTAAATAGGGTTAATAGCTCCTGCATCATTGGGTTGTTAGGGTCAACAGCTAATGCATCTCGTATAAAATATGTGTCAGCAAATTTTATGTGTTTTTTATTCTCTGAAAATCTTCCTTGATGACTCTTGGTATAGGAGTCTGTGATTTAGGTCAGTATGGAAGCTGTTTTTTTTTTGTTTTTTTTTTTAGATGAAGTCTTGCTCTGTTGCCCAGGCTAGAGTATACAGTGGCACCATCTGGGCTCACTGCAAATTCCACCTCCCAGGTTCAAATGATTTTCCTGTTTCAGCCTACCGAGTAGCTAGGATTACAGATGCCAACAACCACACCCAGCTAATTTTTGTATTTTTAGTAGAGATGGAGTTTTGCCATGTTGGCCAGGTTGGTCTTGAACTCTTGACCTCAGGTGATCTGCCCGCCTTGGCCTCCCAAAGTGCTGGGATTACAGGCGTGAGCCACTGCGCCCAGTCAGTATGGAAGCATTTTAACAGAGCCTGCTTGAGATGATTTCATAGCTTATGACCTTTTTCTGTCATTAGGTACAGTTGAGATTTTACACACTTTTTTTTTTTTTGAGACGGAGTTTCACTCTTGTCGCCCAGGCTGGAGTGCAATGGTGCAATCTTGCCTCACTGTAACATCCGCCCCCTGGTTTCAAGCAATTCTCCTGCCTCAGGCTCCCAAGTAGCTGGGACTGCAGGTATGTGCCACTATGCCCAGCTAATTTTTTGTATTTTTAGTAGAGACTGGGTTTTACCATGTTGGCCAGGCTGGTCTCGAACTCCTGCCCTCAGGTGATCTGCCTGCCTCGGTCTTCCAAAGTGCTGGGATTACATGCATGAGCCACCGCACCTGGCCACATACTTTCTTTTCTCCTCAGTCTACGTAATTACATTTTCACTAATCCATAATCTATATTTAATTTATTCCTAAAAGGTTATATTGGGCATTTTTTCCTCATCTCCCTCAAAGAAAGTAGAAATTTGAGAATACCAATTAGTGTTAGAGAACTTAACAGCTGGATGATCATTGTTGTTGGCAAAGAGCAACTTGAAGTTGAATGCTCTTCGAAATGAGGATCCTTGATACAAATACGATTACTTTATCTATCTATGTGGTTGGGACATTTCTTCTGATAAACAGATCAGTTCCAATTTGTATTCTATTTATGTGCATTTCCATATGTGTGTCTGAAGGACTGTTTATCATTCTCGATGTACATAATACTCTTGTGAAATTCATGGTCAGAAAAGATGAATTAACTTATTTTACAAGTGGATAAAACGGCAGCCTAAAGTGGTTGAGTTGCTTAAAGCATTAAGCAATACCCCAGGTTCCAAGGCCTGCCTAAACAACACTGTATCTAAGGAAAAAGTTACTTTTAAAGTAGGTATCTGGGCAGGCATGGTGGCTTAGGCCTGTAATCCCAGCACTTTAGGAAGCTGAGGCAGGTGGATCATTTGAACCCAGGAGCTTGAGATGAGCCTGGAAAACATGGTGAAACCGTCTCTACCAAAAAATACAAAAATTAGCTGGGTGTGGTGGTGGGTGCCTATAGTCCCAACTACTTGGGAGGCTGAGGTGGGAGGGTCACCTGAGCCTGAAAGGTTGAGGCCACAGTGAGCTGAGATCATGCCACTGCACTCCAGCCTGGGTGACAGAGTGAGACCATGTCTTAAAAAAAAAAAAAAAAAAATTAAGCCAGGAGTGGTGCCTCATACTTGTAATCTCAGCATTTTGGGAGGCAAAGGCAGGTGGATTGCTGGAGCTCAGGAGTTTGAGACCAGCCTGGGCAATATGGTGAAACCCTGTCCCTACAAAAAATTAGCCAGGCATGGTGGTGCACAGCTGTAGTCCCAAGTACTTGGGGGACTGAGGTGGAAAGACTGCTTGGGCCTGGGAGGTTGAGGCTGCAATGAGTTGAGATCACACCACTGCACTCCATCCTAGGAGACAAAGCTAGACCCTGTCTCAAAAAAAAATTAAAAATAAAGTACGTATCTTTTACTATACTAGCATGTCGCCAGTGAAACCCTTATGTTTGTCTTCTTTTCCGCAGCAAGATTCTTTTTTTTGAGATGGACTTTCGCTCTTGTTGCCCAGGCTGGCGTGCAATGGCACGATCTCGGCTCACTGCAACCTCTGCCTTCTGGGTTCAAGTGATTCCCCTGCCTCCGCTTCCTGAGTAGCTGGGATTACATCCATGTGCCATCACACCTGGCTAATTTTGTATTTTTATTAGAGACGGGGTTTCTTCGTGTCAGTCAGGCTGGTCTAGAACTCCCAACCTTAGGTGATCCACCCACTTTGGCCTCCCAAAGTGCTGGGATTACAAGCATGAGCCACAGCACCCAGCTCCCCAGCTAGATTCTTATTTACAATGTTTAGAACTTTATTTTATGCCCTACCCTAATCCTTGTCTTCAATGCAGTTATCCTTGTGTATCTTATATGTGTGTTTCACCCTTGGCAGGTTCCCATTCAAGCTATTGTTTTAATGTTTGCCTCCTGGCATTCTTTTTTGGCCATGTACTTAGTATTTAACTATTTTTTATTTTGTTAGCGTATGATTCCATGCAGCAGATTTCTTGCTATTATCTTTTGACTTAATGGATTTGCTGTAATGCCTCACTGATTTTCTCAAATCTCTTCGTAAATGTAATTATTAAAACTACTCACTTCCAGATTTATCTACTCCCCACAAAGTGCTAGGCCCTCCTAAATACTTCATGATTCCTTCTTTCTCCCTTCATTCCCAGTGTTGATGCCTTAGTTCATTACTACTGGGTTTGCTGGACCACTCCAGTGGCTGACTTATTTTCTTTGCTGTTGTTTTGCCCTTTTATTTTGTTTTTGAGACAGAATCTTGCTCTTGTCGCACAGGCTGGAGTGCAATGGCACGATCTCGGCTCACTGCAACCTCTGCCTCCCGGGTTCAAGCAATTCTTCTGCCTCAAGCCTCCTGAGTAGCTGAGATTACAGGTGCCCGTCACCATGCCCGGCTGGTCCAGAACTCCTGACCTTGTGATCTGCACTCCTTGGCCTCCCAAAGTGCTGGGATTACAGGTGTGAGCCACCACACCCGACCATGTTTTACCCTTTTAATCCATCCTAAATAACGTCTTCAGAATTACGTTTCTATACTTTTATTCTGACTGTATCAGTATGCTAATGCATCTTGGAATGGCTCCCCCTTTCAGAATACAATGTGATCTCCTTTGTTTGCGACACCATGTCCTTCCCGATCTGGCATTCGTCTACTTTACCAACCTCATGTAATCCTAGCCTGGACCCTGGTCATACTAAAATACTCTCCTCTATGCCCCCGCATATGGCATTCCCTCTACCAGCGACATCTTTCCTTACCCTGTATCTAAATGAAAGAAGCGCCTCTCTCCTTAGACTGTGAGTTCCTTCAGAGTGGACCCAAGTGTTCCATGTTTGTATCCAGAGTCTGGCAGAGTGCTGGATAAACAGTGGACGCTTAGTACATGTTTGTAAAATTAGTGCAATTAATAGTTGAATGGCTGTGGAATTCACCATCAACAAAAAATACCTTATAATGTCTACTAATGATGAAGTTTTCATCAAATTTTGGAATGTTTAAGCTGTTGTATCCCAAAATGGGACGAGGCTGGGACATCTGGGGCATCTGCATTACTAGACAGCACTGGAGGTTGGGTGAGGGAATAAGGTGACAAAAAAAATGAAGAAGCTGTATGAAGTTAATTTTCAAAATTATTTTTATTTTATTTACTTTTGTTTTTATTTTTTTTTTTGAGACAGAGTCTTGCACTTTCGCCCAGGCTGGAGTGCAGTGGCGTGATCTCAGCTCACTGCAAGCTCCACCTCCTGGGTTCATGCCATTCTCCTGCCTCAGCCTCCCGAGTAGCTGGGACTACAGGCGCCCGCCACCACGCCCGGCTAATTTTCTGTATTTTTAGTAGAGACGGGGTTTCACCGTGTTAGCCAGGATGGTCTCGATCTCCTGACCCCGTGGATCCGCCCGCCTCGGCCTCCCAAAGTGCTGGGATTACAGGTGTGAGTCACAGCGCCTGGCCGGTTTTTTTTTTTTTTTGAGACAGAGTTTCAGTCTGTCACCCAGGCTGGAGTGCAGTGGCGTAATCTCAGCTCACTGCAACCTCTGCCTCCCGGGTTCAAGCGATTCTCGCGCTTCAGCCTCCTGAGTAGCTGGGTCTACAGGTGCGTGCCACTATGCCCAGCTAATTTTTTGTATTTTTAGTAGAGATGGGGTTTCACTATGTTGGCCACACAGGTCTTGACCTCCTGGCCCCAAGTGATCTGTCTTGGCTTTCCAAAGTGCTGGGATTACAGCCATGAACCACTGCACCCAGCCCTGTATGAAGTTTAATAATTTAAAAAAATCATTGGCTGAAAAAAGTTCCAGAGTTCTAATACGTTTATTTTCTATCAATTTAATTTTTATCAAATCAATGTAAAATGGTAAAGAGCTAAATAATTAGGACATTTACTGTAATCTTAATGTTTTTGTTTGAGTACCAGCAATGCTATATGAAAAACTGGTTTTGTTTTGTGTATTTTTCATTTGGCTGATGAAATATGAAACTATCTTAACTCTATTTTTCTCCTTCCCCACAAACCTTCTGAGATGCATTGCATAACACTGGAGGATAGAGAGGGAGGTTGAGGTCAAGCTAAGGAATGACAAATTGTGGGAAGTATAAAGCTTCCAACACTAAAAATTCTCCTAAAGTAAGAAACTAGCATTTTTTTTTTTTTTTTTGAGACACAGTCTCACTCTATTGCCCAGGTTGGAGTGCAGTGGTGCAGCTTCCTGGGCTTAAGTGATCCTCCCACCTCAGCCTCCCACGTAGCTGGGACTACAGGCATGCACCACCACACTCCTGGTCAGGAGTTCGAGACCAGCCTGGCCAACATGGTGAAACCCCATCTCTACTAAAAATCCAAAAAAATCAGCTGGGTGTGGTGACGCACACCTGTAGTCCCAGCTACTAAGGAGGCTGAGGCAGGAGAATCGCTTGTACCCGGGAGGTTGAGGTTACAGTGAGCCAAGATTACGCTACTGCACTCCAGCATGGGCTACAGAGGGAGACCTCATGCCACACGCACAAATAATAATAATAAAAATAAATAAAATAAAATGACAGTTAGTTGTCTCTAGGCAAATATATAGACATTTAAAAACTAAGTTGAATAACTCCACATACAGAATATTGAAGGTGGTGGTAGTAATGTCTCCTTGGTATCCTACAGTTTGAATATTTACCTCATATTTATTAAAAAATGTGTTAAGCATATAAAGTGATCTCCACTTAGCCATGGTTTTTCTTTCCGTAGTTTCAATTACCTGTGGTCAACTGTAATCTGAAAACAGCACACAAAAATTTCCGGAAATAAAAAACTCCTAGGTTTTAAACTGCATGCCATTCTGAGTAGCATGATGAAATTTCACGCCATCTTGCTCTGTATCCCAGAAGTGAATTATCTCTTTATCCAGGGGATCCACACTTGTCTCCACTACCCACCTGTTAGTCACTTAGTAGCGTCTTCTTTGTCAGATCAAGCCCTTTGTCTCCTTATCGAAGGGCTGGTGGTAAAGTAAGGCTTATTTCTCGTTCTTTTTTGTTTGTTTTTTAAATTTTCTTTTTTTTTAATTTTCATTTTTTTGTTTGCTTTTCAAGTAATGCTTATTTTACTTAAGAATGGCCCCAAAGCACAGAGTAGTGATGCTGGCAAGTTAGATATGCCAGAGAAGCCATGAAGTGCTTCCTTGATTTGGGGGCCGAGGCAGGTGGATCACCTGAAGTCAGGACAGAGTGAGACCCCTGAAGTCAGGAGTTCGAGACCAGTCTGGCCAACATGGTGAAACCCCATCTCTACTAAAAATACAAAAATTAGCCAGGCATGGTGGCGGCACGCCTGTAATTCCAGTTACTCGGAAGGCTAAGGCAGGAGAATTGCTTGAATCTGGGAGGCGGAGGTTGCAGTGAGCCAAGATCACACCACTGCACTCCTGCATTTTAATTTCTCTGTGATGAAAACCTTAATGATGCACCAATCCAAAAATATTAGTGTCTCTTTCAAATATATTGAAAGGAACTTTCTTGTGTCTAGAATCCATATATGCCATATAAAAAGTAAGAAATCAGCAAGCCTGATTTCAGGGTTTCAGACTACAGACTATAGCAATTTTCTAATTAGAGGATCCTATAGGTACTGATGCACCAATTGTGGCAAGAAGTCAGAAAAGTGATCATAGATTTGCTAGTTTTTCTATTTGAATAGCAGAATAAACTCAAGGAACCTATGATTAATACCTTAAGAACATTTTTAAAGTTCAATAATTAATCTGTTTTCCAGGTTAATAGTCTTGTTTTTTTTTTTTTTTTGAGACGGAGTCTCGCTCTGTCACCCAGGCTGGAGTGCAGTGGTGCGATCTCGGCTCACTGCAAGCTCTGCCTCTTGGGTTCACACCATTCTCCTGCCTCAGCCTCCTGAGTAGCTGGGACTTCAGGTGCCCGCTACCACACCCAGCTAATTTTTTTTTTTTTTTTTTTGCATTTTTAGTAGAGACGGGGTTTCACTGTGTTAGCCAGGATGGTCTCAATCTCCTGACCTCGTGATCTGCCCGCCTCGGCCTCCCAAAGTGCTGGGATTACAGGAGTGAGCCACCACACCCGGCAATATTCTTGTTTTTTTTTTCTGAGGTGGAGTCTCACTCTGTCATGCATGCTGGAGTGCAGTGGCACCATCTTGGCTCACTGCAACCTCCGCCTCCTGGGTTCAAGCGATTCTCCTGCCTCAGCCTTCTGAGTACCTGGGACTACAGGCACCCACCACCACGCCAGGCTAATTTTTGTACTTTTAGTAGAGATGGAGTTTCACCATATTGGCCAGACTGGTCTCGAACTCCTGACCCTGTGATCCACCCATCTCAGCGTCCCAAAGTGCTGGAATTTAGGTGTGAGCCACTGTGCCCAGCCAATATTCTTATATCCATTTAATATTCATTTATAAGCCTTAGTTAATTCCCATTAGTTTGTAATAGGATAGCAATATGATGTTATTTCACAGAAAAAAAACTGAGGCAGAAAAGAACAAGTATAGGCTGGGCGCAGTGGCTCACACCCACATCCTAGCACTTTGGGAGACTGAGGCAGACGGATCACTTGAGGTTAGGAGTTTGAGACCAGGCTAGCCAACATGGTGAAATCCCATCTCTACTAAAAATACAAAAATTAGTCGAACATGGTGGCACGTGCCTGTAATCCCAGTTACCCATACCCAGGAGGCTGAGGCAGGAGAATCGCTGGAACCTGGCAGGCGGAGGCTGCAGTGAGCCAAGATTGCACTGTTGCACTCCTGCCTGGGCGACAGAGCAAGACTCCTCTCAAAAAAAAAAAAAAAAGAAGTATAAAGGCCCACTGAGAATTGGTATTTTATTGTATCCCTCACTGCTAAGGAAATGTTGGATCATGAAATCATTTTATCTGTCAAAAATTAGACACGCTGGGTGTCACAGCTCATGCCTGTAATCCCAGCACTTTGGGAGGCTGAGGTGGGCAGATCACTTGAGGTCAGGAGTTCCAGACCAGCCTGGCCAACATGGTGGAACACTGTCTCTACTAAAAATACAAAAAATTAGCCAGCCATGGTGGCACACACCTGTAATCCCAGCTAGTTGGAAGGCTGAGGTGGGAGAATTGCTTGAACCTGGGATGTGGCGGTTGCAGTGAGCTAAGATCGCACCACTGCACTCCAGCCTGTGTGAGAGAGCGAGACCCTGTCTCCAAAAAAAAAAAAAAAAAATTAGATACTATGTTTTCCAAAATCAGACAAGGTTTGTTTTCATTTTATAAACAGCACTTTTCCTTATACTCTATAAGGAGATTATACTCCTTATAGTTGTTTGAGGAGTAGTTTTTAAAAAGTTTAACATGAAAACATTTCTCACCTACTAATCTCTTTTCATATCTTGCTGGATATATTTTAATGACAAATTTCTTGCTTGATAAAATAACATACCTGGTCTGTTTTGCCTTATTAATATTCAAAAGCATTATTCATAGCATCAGCATTTTGCAGAAGTAAATCTGGTGTACAGATGTCTGCATGAAGCACCTAAAGAAGAATGAATTCACAGACAAGAACAAGGATACAATAGCATACAAGCACATAAGAAGTATCTATTGGTTCACTGATGTTGTGAAACAACATGACAGGTTAACACTTCTAAAAATTGGAGAAAAAGCAGTATAATACTACCACTTATGGGAGTAGTATTATATAAGATGCTTATTATCTAGTAAAACCCATGAACCTGTCAATATTTCTTTTAGAAGCAATTATTCACTTAGTCATAATTATGCTCTTTGACTTCCAGTTCAGTTTTTCCCACTATAATTATAACACTAGTTGTAAGAGTCAAAGGACCTAAGTTCAAATTCTGGCTCCATCACCAACTAGGTTTATACTGTTAGGTAATCAGTTTCTTCATAAATAAAATGAAAGAATATGTTCTAATTCACAGAATCAAATAGGACCATAAAAACATTTTTTAAATGGGTTATAAAAAATTATAAAATGTTAATATATGGTAACTGGTCTTGTTTGGCTTTTCATCTAAAAATCACTTAGGTCAGGCGCAGTGGCTCACACCTTTAATCCCAGCACTTTGGGAGGCCGAGGCGGGTGGATCACCTGAGGTCGGGAGTTTGAGACCAGCCTAACCAACATGGAGAAACCCCATCTCTACTAAAAATACAAAATTAGCTGGGCATGGTGGCACATGCCTGTAGTCCCAGCTACTCGGGAGGCTGACGCAGGGGAATCGCTTGAACCCGGAGGCGGGGTTGCAATGAGCCAAGATAGTGCCATTGCACTCTAGCCTGGCAACAAGACCGAAACTCCATCTCAAAAACAAAAAACAAACAAACAAAAAATCACTTAAATGTATCACCTATCCAAAAAAGTAAACAAAACAATTTATTTAAAAAATACAGGAGAGGCCAGGCGTGGTGGCTCATGCCTGTAATCCTACCACTTTGGGAGTCTGAGGTGGGCAGATCACTTGAGGTCAGGAGTTTGAGACCAGCCTGGCCAACATGGTAAAACCCCGTCTCTACTAAAAATACAAAAATTAGCTGGGCGTGGTAGCGTTCACCTGTAATCCCAGCTACTTGGGAGGCTGAGGCAGAAGAATTACTTGAACCCGGGAGGTGGAGGTTGCCATGAGCTGTGATCGTGCCACTGCACTCCAGCCTGGGCAACAGAGAGAGACTCTGGACACTTGAGTTGGCAGAGAGATGCTCAGAGGAGTGGTAAGGGCAGCAAGCCACCTGATGTGGAGACCAGAGGGTTTGCTGCAGGAGCATTCTGTAATGGAGCACAGCCAGGGACTGCCATGCCTCTAGACTCGACTTACTTTGATAGGAGAGTTTAGCTCTAGGGGAACTCTCAGACTTGAACTCTGCAGGGCAATCTTGTCCATCAGACGGGTGTTGCAGATGATCAGTGTCTATCTGGGCTGGTGGCCCCGGTGGTAAGAATTTAGACAGTTGTAGGCAAAGAAAGGCAGATTTAGCCGGGCATGGGGGCTCACGCCTGTAATCCCAGCACTCTGGGAGGCTAAGGCAGGTGATCACCCAAGGTCAGGAGTTCAAGACCAGCCTGGTCAACGTGATGAAACCCCATCTCTGCTAAAACCACAAAATTAGCTGGGTGCGGTGGTGCATGCCTGTGACACAGCTACTTAGGAGGCCAAGGTAGGAGAATTGCTTGAACCTGGGAGGCAGAGGTTGCAGTGAGCCGAGATCGCGCCATTGCACTTCAGCGTGGGCAACAAGAGTGAAACTCTGTCTCAAAAAAAAAAGAGGCAGATTTATGGCCAGGCCTGGTGGCTCACGCCAGTGATCCCAGCACTTTGGGAGACCGAGGCAGGTGGATCACTCAAGGTCAGGAGTTCCAGATCAGCCTGACTAACATGGTGAAAGCCCATCTCTACTAAAAATACAAAAAAATTAGCCAGGCATGGTGGCGGGCATCTGTAATTCCAGCTACTTGGGAGGCTGAGGCAGGAGAATCGCTTGAACCCAGGAGGTGAAGGTTGCAGTGAGCCGAGATCATGCCATTGCACTCCAGCCTGGAAAGCAAGAGCAAAACTCCATCTCGGGGGAAAAAAAAAAAAAAAAAGGCAGATTTACTAGAGTATGAAAATACACTGCAAGGGTGAAACAGGCAGGTCAGCAAGAAAAATGCTGACTGCAAAGAGACAAGGGCTTGCTGTGAGTTTTTATAGAATGGTGTTTCTGCTGCATGCTGAAGAGGGCTTTGTGCAGTACTGATAATGCCAAGGTTGTGGTGAGCTAACTTACAAGTGTCTGGTGATAAGTTGGGCACAGGATAACTTGACTTATTTGTGCAGGAGGGCTATGTGTCTTTTTTTTTTTTTTTTTGAGATGGAGTCTTGCTCTGTTGCCCAGGCTGGAGTACAGTGGCACGACCTCAGCTCACTGCAACCTCCGCCTCCTAGGTTCAAGTGATTCTCCTGCCTCAGCCTCCCGAGTAGCTGGGATTACAGGCATGTGCCACCATGCCCGGCTAATTTTTGTATTTTTAGCAGAGATGGGGTTTCTCCATGTTGGTCAGGCTGGTCTCGAACTCCCGACCTCAGGTGATCCGCCTGCCTCGGCCTCCCAAAGTGCTGGGATTACAAGCATGAGCCACCGCGCCTGTGTTAGCTAGGATGGTCTTGAACTTCTGACCTCATGTGATCTGCCTGCCTCAGCCTCCCAAAGTGTTGGGATTACAGGCGTGAACCATTGCGCCCAGCCAGGTTTTATTTTTTTAACTGTTCTTTGCTGACCAGGGTCACAGAGTTGGCCTTACCTAGGATTGTGGGTGGTTAGGAGGTTTCACGGGCCTAAGTCCCTGAATTGGGAGTTAAACTGGGCAGGGTCGCTGTTGGACCATGGGGGAAACAGCATTTACAGCCTAAAAAGACACATGCACATGTATGTTCAATGCAACACTATTCACAATAGCAAAGACATGGAATCAACCTAAATGTCCATCAATGGTAGAGTGGATAAAGAAAATGCGGTACATATATACCAAGGAATACTATGCAGCCATAGAAAAGAACAAGATCATGTCCTTTGCAGGAACACAGACGGACCTGGAGGCCATTATCCTTAACAAACTAACACAGGAACAGAAAACCAAATACCACATGTTCTCACTTACAAGTGGGAGCTAAATGATAAGAACACATGGACACATAAAGAGGAACAACAGATACTGAGGCCTATTGGAGAATAGAGGTTGCGAGGAGGGAGACGATCAGAAAAAATAACTAAAGGGTACCACACTTACCACCTGGGTGACAAAATAATCTGTACAGCAAACCCCCATGTCACAACTTTATCTATATAACAAACTTACACACATATCCCTGAACTTAGAAGTTAAATACCCCTCCCAATACTATATACCTAAACAAATTAATTTAGACTACAATCTATAAATCTTACAGACAACAGGAAAGATAGTAAGAAAAAACGTATTTGCTCAAGAGCAAAACAAACTTTTATTTTAAAAATAAAAGTTTACTTTGTATCATATGATTTCTTTTCAAATAAGCACACGGTCTTACAAATATATAATATTCAAAATGTTTTGGGGTCTGTTTTTTTTTTTTTGAGAAAGAGTCTTGCTCTGTCACTCAGGCTGGAGTGCAACGGCGCAATCTAGGCTCACTGCAACCTTCGCCTCCTGGGATCAAGCGATTCTCCTGCCTCAGCCTCTCGAGTAGCTGGAACTACAGGCACACACCACCACGCCTGGCTAATTTTTGGAGCTTTTTAGTAGAGACAGGGTTTCACCATGTTGGCCAAGCTGGTCTCGAACTCCTAACCTCAGGTGATCAGCCCATCTCAGCCTCCCAAAGTGCTGGGATTACAGGCATGAGCTACCATGCCTGGCCTGTGGTCCGATTTTTAAATATTTTCCTTCTTTTTTCTCAGTGTTAGGAATACTAAAATATGGGCCTGGTGCAGTGGCTCACGCCTGTAATTCCAGCACTTTGGGAGGCCAAGGCGGGCGGATTGCCTGAGGTCAGGAGATCGAGACCAGTGTGGCTAACTTGGTGAAACCCTGCCTCTACTAAAAATAAAAAAAATTAGCCGGGCGTAATGGCACGCACCTGTAGTCCAAGCTACTCAGGAGGCTGAGGCAGGAGAATTGCTTGAACCCGGGAGGTGGAGGTTGTAGTGAGCTGAGATCACACCACTGCACTCCAGCCTGGGCAACAGAGCGAGACTCCGTCTCAAAAAAAAAAAAAAAAAAGAATACTAAAATAATAAATTTAAAGTTGGCCTGGAGCCTGTAAACATATTACTCAATATAAAGAAAAAGTCAATCATTTCAAACTTTTGAAACATGTATGAAATACATGAAATATGTAAATTAACCTCCTGATCTATCACAGCTCTCAAACAATTCCCCCCTTTTCTTTTCCATTTCTGTTCACTCTTTTCCCCCACATCCCACAACTATACAGATAGGGTAAAAGAGAATCAGGTGGATCAATTAATTATGGCAGCCCACAGAGGTGCTCTTAAGGTCCCAGGAAAACCATAAAGGAATAGCTCTGGGCGAACTCTGGAATGCTAACAATGCAGAGGCCACAAGGTAGCTCAAATCAATTTAACCGATATTTAATAGGCACCTCCTATGCACAAGATACCATGCAGAGATATACACTATGATGAATGAGACACAATATTTACTCTCAAATATGTTATCTAGTAAGGGGATTAGAAAAGCTATGTTAGTAAGTTCATACAACAGCTGCCATCAAAGGAATAAGCCAACACCAGGGATATGAATGAGGGAAAGTTTACCTCTAGCCTGAAGAAAAGGGAAAAAGAATTTCAATCCATAGGCCTTGCCTGTAAAGACAGTGGATAAGAGACATGTATGTACATTACTGAAACCCCATTATAATGACAGAATAGGGGTTTTTAAAAGAAGGTGTAAACCTTCAAGGATGGGTAGAATGGGAAAGGAAATAACAGATATAAAAATTTGTTGTTAGAACAAAAGGAGAAGTGATAAGGAATTTAGGAGACCAGAGAAAATTGATTTCAAAGATAGAAGTATTGAGAGCTAAGACTCAAATCTGACTTATGCTACAGAATCTCCAAAAGGCTAATAATTGGTGGTACCAGGTGAAGTAGGGGGAAATGCTAAAAATAAGGGAATGTGGCTGAAAGTCAGATTAAGACGCAGTCAGATCCCTATTTCCCTTTCTCCTACTCCAGCAAATGAATAGAGGTTTATTCTCTGGAAATGGTTGAACCAGACAACCAGGGGATTCCAGGCCTCGCTGAAAGAAAGGGTAACGTACTGAAAACTGAGGAATTAAGGAAACATGCATGCAGAATGCTGAGAACCCTGCCTCTTCAACCCTTTTGCTCTACCACTCTGTTCCCAGTATGCAGCTTGTTATTCAGCTAGAAGATTGAAAAGGTTTTTTCTAGGCAATCAGATCAGCCCAAAAGGAAAGATCTTAAGATATTTCACTAGATATTTCCCAACTAATGAACTACCCAGCAAGATCACTCAATAGTGAAGTCCACAGTTAACAATCCCCACTCAGAACTTCAATCAGCTTTTTTGTTACTCATTCTTAAGCATGAGCAGAAAACCAAGGATTCAGAGAAAAGCCCTGTACAAAAGATGAAACAGGCCGGGCGCAGTGGCTCACGCCCGTAATCCCAACACTTTGGGAGGCCAAGGTGGGTGGATCATTTGAGGTCAGGAGTTTGAGGCCAGCCTGGCCAACATGGTGAAACCCAGTCACTACGAAAAATACAAAACTTAGCCAGGCTTGGTGGCATGTGCCTGTAATACCAGCTACTTGGGAGGCTGAGGCAGGAGAATTGCTTGAACCTGGGAAGAGGAGGTTGGAGTAAGCTGAGATCATGCCACCGCACTCCAGCCTGGGTGACAGAGCAAGACTCTGTCTCAAAAAAAAAAAAAAAAAAAAAAAAGAAAGAAAGAAACAACAACAAAAACAAATGAAAAAGGAAAAATTGAACCTTGGAGGCTAGTTGGATTTCAACAGATACAATAAAAAACAATCCTAGAATCCCTTTCTGTTAATTTTAAGATACCTCAAATCCATTTGTTTATAGCTTTAAGGAAGGAAACTGTTAAGGTTTCTAAAAGTCATAAGGTGGTATAAAAATACCAGGTGTGGCTGGGCGCGGTGGCTCACACCTGTAATCCCAGCACTTTGGGAGGCCGAGGCGGGCGGATTACGAGGTCAGGAGATTGAGACCATCCTGGCTAATATGGTGAAACCCGTCTCTACTAAAAATACAAAAAATTAGCCAGGCATGGTGGTGGGTACTTGTAGTCCCACCTGCTCGGGAGGCTGAGGCAGAAGAATGGTGTGAACCCAGGAGGCAGAGCTTGCAGTGAGCTGAGATCACACCACTGCACTCCAGCCTGGGCGACAGAGTGAGACTCCGTCTCAAAAAAAAAAAAACAAAACAAAAAAACCAAAAAACCAGGTGCAGTGACTGAGGCCTGTAATCCTAGCACTTTGGGAGGCTAAGGTGGGCAGATCGCTTGAGCTCAGGATTTCAAGACCATCCTGGGCAATGTGGTGAAACCCTGTTTCTACCAAAAAAAACACAAAAATTAGCCAGGTTGGTGGAGCACACCCGTAGTCCCAGCTACTTGGGAGGCTAAGGTGGGAGGATCGTCTGAGCCCAGGGAGGGACCCTGTCTCAAAAAAAAAAAAAAAAGGTATAAAAAAAGTTTTATCTATTTATTTATTTGAGACAGAGTCTTGCTGTGTTGCTCAGGCTGGAGTGCAGTGGCATGATCTCAGCTCACTGCAACCTCCGCTCCTCGGGTTCAAGCAATTCTCCTGCTTCTGTCTCCCAAGTAGCTGGGATTACAGGGCAGGCGCCACCACACCTGACTAATTTTTGTATTTTTAGTAGAGACGGGGTTTTGCCACATTGGCCAGGCTGGTCTCAAACTCCTGACATCAGGTGATCTGCCCGCCTTGGTCTCCCAAAGTGCTGGAATTACAGGTGTAAGCCACCAGGCCAGCCTCAGAGTTTTTATTTTTTTAAAAGACAAAGTCTAGCTGTTATCCAGGCTGGGCTGCAGTGGCATGACTGTAGCTCAATGAAGCCTCAAACTGCTGGGCTAAAGGAGTCCTGCCTCAGCCTCCCAGGTAGCCGGGACTTACTGGTGTGTGCCACCATACTTGGCTAATTTTTTTTTTTTTTTTTTTTTTTGTGGGGGAGAGATAGTTTCTCAGGCTGGTATTGAACTCCTGGCCTCAAGCAATCCTCCCACCTTGGCCTGCTAAGGTGCTGGAATTATAGGCATGAGGCATTGCACCTGGCCAAAAAGTTTTTATCGGGTTGCTGATGGCCACAGAAGCTACAAGCCAGGAAAGTATGTGGATGGGTGTGTCTGCATATTTTCCTTTGAAAAGGGGTAAAAAACATCTTTAAAAATGTAAGTAAGGCTGGGGGCAGTGGCTCACGCCTGTAATCCCAGAACTTTGGGAGGCCAAGGTGGGCGGATCACGAGGTCAGGAGTTCGAGATCAGCCTGGCCAATATGGTGAAACCCTGTCTATACTAAAAACACAAAAAAGATCTGGGCGTGGCGGTGCTTGCCTGTAGTCCCAGCTGCTCAGCAGGCTGAGGCAGAAGAATCGCTTGAACCTGGAAGGTGGAGGTTTCAGTGAGCCGAGATCGTGCCACTGCACTCTAGTCAGGGTGACAGAGTGACACTCCATCTCAAAAAAAAAAAAAAAAAGTAAGTAAATATGTATTTTGTACACCTTTATTATCTTCTTTAAAAAGAAACCAACAAAAATTACTTGGTTATCCATTTATAAACCATGATTTTTAAGAGTTCATAATTTTTAAATATCAATTTTCAATTATATTGATTCTATTAGTTATGTGATTCTTGTGCAAGAGCAAGGTATTATTGTTCACTACATATGGGATAGTGAGAAAATACCATGAACTTACTATTGGACAACGAATTTACTCTGATCATTTGCCTCTATCTCTAATATGAGCAAGTCAGGGAGAGAGAGAGGTGGGAAAGAGGAGGGAATGAAATAATTTTCTTCTGTAAAAAAGGGGAGGCCGGGTGCGGTGGCTCACGCCTGTAATCCCAGCACTTTGGGAGGCCGAGGCGGGCGGATCACGAGGTCAGGAGATCGAGGCCATCCTAGCTAACACAGTGAAACTCCGTCTCTACTAAAAATACAAAAAACTAGCCGGGCATGGTGGTGGGCTCCTGTAGTTCCAGCTACTCGGGAGGCTGAGGCAGGAGAATCACTTGAACCGAGGAGGTGGAGGTTGCAGTGAGCCAAGATTGGGCCACTGCACTCCAGCCTGGGCGACAGAGCGAAACTCTATCTCAAAAAAAAAAAAAAAAAGGGGGCGGGGTGGTGGAAGACTACATCCTTAATCTTACTGAGGTACATCTTTCCACATTAGATTGCACTTAACATCAGAGATACTCGGTATTTCTCTGCATTGCCATCAGAAGTACAGAACTATTAGTGAAATGATAAAGATTACTGCATTAACCAAAAAAATTCCTTTCTCCTTTTTTGTTATTTTTCTTCTTAAGTACGGGAAAAATAGAAAACCTCTGTTGTAGCCTAACCTATGGCATCATTCCCCCATGAACTGCTATTCTGTGGCATACACGATACCTGCTGAAAAAGAGGTATTGTGAGCATTACTTAGGCCTTTATGTATTTTTGACATTCACAGATTAATTAAATACACTTCTAACCAACCTCTAGAGATTCAAAAATGCTGCTACCAAAACTGTATCTGGTAGGAAGACAATTCAAAAAATTTTACTTTCCAATAAAATCAGGGAAGAGAGAAATATGTGAATAGGATATAATTACAACAATTCATCTCTATTAATGTTTTAAAATATTTAAGAGAATTCAATCTGTTTCTATACAATGGCAACCAAGAACAGATTGGAAAACAATGCAAAAGAGATTTGACTAAGTTAAAAGGTACCTTTATTCTGTCAGTGAGCAGGTATTTTTTTATGACCATTTCCTGCAATTGGCGAAAAGTCTCCTTTCAATTCTACTCCATAGAGTTGCACTGCTGAACTGGAAAGATAACCCTAAAATAGGAAGATACGCTATGATGCAAATGAATGAACTCTTACCCATGGATTTATTTCTACTTGAAATTTTAAAAATCAAGCTTTAAAAAATATAGTTTGGCCAGGCATGGTGGCTCACACCTGTAATCCCAGCACTTTGGGAGGCCAAGGCAGGTGGATCACCTGAGGTCAGGAATTCCAGACCAGCCTGGCAAAGGTGGCGAAACCCCGACTCTATTAAAAATTCAAAAAATTAGCCAGGCGTGGTGGTGGGCACCTGCAGTCTCCACTACTCGGGAGGCTGAGGCAAGAGAATTGCTTGAATCCGGGATGCAGTGGTTTCAGTGAGCCAAAATCACGCCACTGAACTCCAGCCTGGGCAACGGAGTGAGACTCTGTCTCAAAACATATAAATAAAAATAATTTGATAAAGTAAAAATAAAATGAAAGTAATATCTTGTAGTTTATGTAAAACTTACAACTTCCTGAACTGAAAAAGGCTCTTACTGATCAGAGCCTTGATTATAGTTTATTAATTCCCATTATCTAAAATAGTTATATTTTTAAAGATGGGTTTCCTTTATTTTTTGAGACAGGGTGTCACTCTGCTGCCTAGGCTGGAATGCAGTAGCATAATCACAGCTCACTGCACTCTCATCTTCCCTAGGCTCAGGTGATCCTCTGAACTCAGCCTCCCAAATAGCTGGGAAGAGGAGTGCACACCACCATGCCTGGCTAATTTTTGTATTGTTTTGGAGAGACCGAGTTTCACCATGTTGCCCAGGTTGGTCTCGAATTCCTGGGCTCAAGTGATCCTCCAGCCTTGGCCTCCCAAAGTGCTGGGATTACAGGCATGAGCCACCATGCCCAGTCGGCCACATGTTTTAATAAATCTACTAATGACAACCAGAAATCCTATTTCAGATTTTGGTAAAACCATTTAAGATCATAAGAAATAAACACTCATGATTTAATTTTAAAAAACCCACACTGAAGTGATGTTTTAGAAACAAGCATTCAAACTTAGGATCACAAAAAACTGGAGCAAGATGTGTCCTTGGATAGCATTTAGTTTGCTCATTTAAAATGAGGAACTAGAGGCCTAGAGGTGTTAAGTGGTTTGCTTATGGCCATACAGTAATATCCTAGGTCAAGTAAATTTGTCAGCTTTATAAAAGCTCTTATCAAAGTTCAACATACTATTTCGGTACAGTACCAAAAAAAGGGGTTAGAAGGCAGTAGTGACTGATAAAATAGCAAAGTGTTACAAGAAAGAGTCATACACTTCTGTTTTGTTGATATTCCTTAATTTGCATTGCAGAGACAAAGTAGTAAAGGAAATCAGACACGTGGTCTTTGAAATCCCAAATTCCATTGTCATCATAAACTAGAATATAAGTGTCTACCTATGTCATAACTTATTATTCTTTTACTTTAATAAATAAAGCCACACTGTCACCTTGGATGGTGACAGGCAAAGCTGTTGCTAGCAGAAGAAAATGCTTTCCAAATGTTGATGTCTGCAAGCTGGACAGTACCCCATAAAGGACTATGCTAGGCCTGGAGCTGATGTCAACCAACACCTTTCCTGATATGTCAGAGAGTACATGATGATAAATGAATTTCATTTCCATGAGAGAGAAGTAATGAGAAATAAATCCCAGAGAATTAGAAGAGTGAACATCAAATTTTGCTTGGGTATAAGTAATTGCATTCTGGACTTCTAATTCTTTCATCTATATTTCATCTGTAAAGTATATTTCATGTTTTTGTTCCTTAATCAATGAAAATCATCCAGAAGTTATTTGGAAAAAATTCGTGTGATAATTTTTTACTCATCCACTCTGACTTAGAACAAATATTAAGTCTGACATTTAAGAGGCCTTTAGGGAACAACTACTTAGAAGACCGTCTCTATTCCTGTGCCCCTCATTTCCTTCTTGCTGCTGCTTTAGAGTCCTGGGTTTTTTTCCTTTCTCTACTTCCTATGGCCTGTTGTGCCTGGGACAGCGTCATAACTTCCATACCATCCGGCTTTCTCACCTTACACCAGAACTAACCACAGAAGTACTATGTATTGCTGCATAGACTGTAGACTACGAAATGTATGACTGGCTCTGGAGCTATACAGAGTGGCAGCCCTCATCAACCTGGAATAGATTCTGGAGGGCAAGAGAGGAGTGGTGTGAAAGATTCACATACACCCATAAATTGCTTTTATCCCACTTAGTTTAACTGCCACCATTTCTAGCCTGGTAATCTATCTTCTCATCCTAGTTTCTGTCATGAAATATCTGAGATAGCCTGAGTCTGGTTTTCTTCTGATATGTAGGTAACCCAAAGACTTATCTTATGTTCTATGTAATAATGATCAGGAAGGGGAGAAACCTTGGTCCTAAGTAACAGAGGGTGAAAAGTAAAACAGAAGCAGGTAGGCCTATCCCTTAGAAGAGAATAAAAGGTGTAACTAGGCCTCTGGAGTCATTCTTGGGGGTTGGGCTGTAAGCAGTGTAGTCGTTATCTCCCTAGGATCCTCATCTTCTCTATCCTCTTTGCCACACTAGTGCTTCTTTGGGTTACAGAGTCACCACTACAGTCTTGTAGCTAGACATGCCCCTTGTGACAGAGAGGGGGAAAGTCCCTTATGGTGATAACTGTTTCAGATTCATTATAGTTCTCTACAATGGGGAGGCTGGCCTGTTTACCCAGTAATTAAAAATAAGATTTTTACGGGAAGACACATCCTAATCTTCGAATTTTTATCTGTCAGACATAGCTCTTCTATAAATATTTTTAACAGGATGTTAACAGTTATTAACTTTTTTTCTGAGATGTCTCACTTTGTTATCTCACTTTGTTGCCCAGAATGGAGCGCCAGTGGCAAGATCTTGGCTCACTGCAACCTCCGCCTCCCACGTTCAAGCAATCTTCCCACCTTAGCCTCCCATGTAGCTGGGACTACAGGCGTGTGCCACACCACACCCGGCTAATTTTTGTATTTTTATTAGAGATGGGGTCTTGCCATTTTGGCCAGGCTGGTCTCAAACTACTGACCTCAGGTGATCCACCTACCTCAGCCTCCCAAAGTTATTAATAACTTTTTAGTGTTTCTTCTATTATTGTCCAAATCCTTTTCGTTCTGTGAATTTTAACTACCTCAAATGGAAACTAGAAGTATTATTGAGAAATAGGATCTTTTTTTTTTTTGAGACGGAGTCTTGCTGTGTCGCCCAGGCTGCAGTGCAGTGGTGTGATCTTGGCTCACTGCAACCTCCGCCTCCCGGGTTCATGCCACTCTCCTGCCTCAGCCTCCCGAGCAGCTGGGACTACAGGCACCCACCACCATGCCCAGCTAATTTTTTATATTTTTAGTAGAGACGGGGTTTCACCGTGTTAGCCAGGATGGTCTCGATCTCCTGACCTCGTGATCCACCCGCCTCGGCCTCCCAAAGTGCTGGGATTACAGGCTTGAGCCACCGCGCCCGGCCTGAGAAATAGGATCTTAAACTAATAAATCAGAGAAGTTTAATCTCAAATTATAATACAGATACAATATATCTGTTTAGCAACATATTCCAAATTTGGTATTTAATCTTTGATAATGATATCATCTAAGATCAGTAATATAAGCCACAAGATTATTTACCCAGAGGGGTAGCCCACTCTATGTAATAATCCTAAATGTAAGTGAGCAGGGAAATACATGTCTAAAGCAACATGACTAGACAAATCTACCCAGCCTGAACAAAGACAGAAGGCTTTCTGTCACTGGAGAAGTTCTCTAATATGGATTGGGATGCTTCACTGGGTCAAATTATAGCCTGAATGAACGATTTCTCAAGATTATCTATCTCTGTCTTCTGCGTCCATGCCTGCCCAATAATATCTCATCACTATCTGATTTCTTAAGGAGATTTTTTTTTTTTTAGACAGTCTTGCTCTGTCACCCAGGCTGGAGTGCAGTGGTGCGATCTCAGCTCACTGCACCCTCCACCTCCTGGGTTCAAGCGATTCTCATGCCTCAGCCTCATGAGTAGCTGGGATTACAGGTGTGCGCCACCACACCCTGCTATTTTCTGTATTTTTAGTACAGACGGGGTTTTGCCATGTTGGTCAGGCTGGTCTCGAGCTCCTGGGCTGAAGAGATCCACCCATCTCGGCCTCCCAAGTGCTGGGATTACAGGCCTGAGCCACTGTGCCCAGCCAGATGTTTTTCTTTTAAGTGACTGGGTCTCCTGTTGTCCAGGCTGGAGTGCAGTGGCTATACACAGGCCCAATCATACTGCACTGCAGCCCTGAACTCCTGGTTTTAAGCAATCCTTCCACCTCAGCCTCCCAAGTAGCTGGGACTACAGGTACACACCACCATGCCCAGCTCAAGTAGATGTTTTTATGGGGAGAACATTTCAGCCTCCTTGGAAATTATAGTTCTCATTGTAAATCAATCAGTGTATAGTTTACCAATCTCTGTTCAATATGTAGAGTATGAGTCAGTTCCTTTGTATTGTCACCTCTGTTTAGTTTCTGAACCTGCAGAGTTGCCTCTGATTACATAGTTTCTAGATGTGAAAAACATCTCACTGCCTTACTTGACTAGGGAAAAAAAACTGTGAAAAACAGTTTCTAAGCTGGGCATGGTAGCTCATGCCTGTAATCCCAGCACTTTGGGATGCTGAGGCAGGCGGATCACTTGAGGTCAGGAGTTCGAGACCAGCCTGGCCAACATGGTGAAACCCCGTCTCAACCAAAAATACAAAAAAATTAGCTAGGTGTGGTGGCGGGTGCCTGTAATCCCAGCTACTTGGGAGGCTGAGGCACAATTGCTTGAACCCAGGAGACAGAGGCTGCAGTGAGCTGAGATCGTGCCACTGCACTCCAGCCTGGGCGATAAAGCAAGACTCCGTTTCAAAAAACAAAACAAAACAAAACAAAGTTTCTAAATATATCCTGGGGGACATTAAGTGACCTATTCTCCTGAGATAATATTCGTTTACTCTCCCTAACTGCAGTATTTGGTAATAACCATGCCACAGGTTGGCCTTTTGCTTTCAGAAAACATTGAATAGCTTAGTCCAAACTTTGCATACTCATGACATGTAAGAAAAAATACACATAAAGTCATCAGATTTGCATACCTAAGTGCCTACCTAAAGTTGCTGTCTGGTGTGAGCTGCACATCATACAGTAGTTTCTGCTCATTTTTCCTTTCTCATATAATGAATCAATAAGTCTTCATCATAAAGGAATGCACCAAGGTGAACTGTGGGTTCCGGCTGCTGCTGCATCTGGTGGAGAGAAAAACATCAAAAGAAACAAAGTACAAAGAAGTATCTTTTTATTGCTAAATAAAGCAAAATGTCAGTGGTCTATATGCTAACATTCTGAGAGCAACAAAAAGGCACAGTAAGACATGTTTTGCTCATGCAAGTAACTGCTCTACTTTCGTTTTATTTCTGAGACCCTAGCAACTTTTTGACCTGGAATGATGCAAAACAAGCCATGAGAAATACATAAAACTCTAGTTGAAAGGAATCTCATAGATCATTTTGTTTATCCTAAGTAGCATATTTTACAAATACTTACCAGAAACATTTCTTCAAAGAAATTATATTAGTTAATAATAGGGGAAAAAATTTAAACTAATACCAGGTCTTCTGAGTCCTACATGTCAGTGACTTACCATTAAAACATTTAACAAGTAATCTTTTCCCAGAGTGCAGTTTTCAAATAATAAAATGCTATTAAAACTTCATGCTTATAAATAGTAGTCATTTGTTAATATTAGTGGTATAGGATATACTAGCAAGTGGTTACAAAGAAACAAATACTTGATTCCTTTTACCTTAACTATAATAAACCATGAATACCTAAAAATGTGTCTACATTTAAACAAAGAAACCTTGGTTGGTACATAAAAATCAGGTATGGATATATAAGGATCAGAAGGAAATTTAAGATAAAAAGTTGGGCCAGGCGCAGTGGCTCATGCCTATAATCCCAGCACTTTGGGAGGCCCAGGCGGGTGGATCACGAGGTCAGGACATCGAGACCATCCTGGCTAACACGGTGAAACCCTGTCTCTACTAAAAATACAAAAAAAAAAAATTAGCCAGGCGTGGTGGCGGGCGCCTGTAGTCCCAGCCACTTGGGAGGCTGAGGTAGGAGAATGGTGTGAACTCGGGAGGCAGAGCTTGCAGTGAGCCAAGATTGTGCCACTGCACTCCAGCCTGGGCGACAAAGAGAGACTCCATCTCAAAAAAAATAAATAATAAATAAATAAATAAAAAAGACAAAAAGTTGAAGTTTGTGGGTCAATTATTAACATACAAGGATTACTTTTCTCATTGTATACATCGTGGATTTCACAAAACTGATTATATGCATAGCACTATTAAGAATGTGCAGATGGCTGGGCGCGGTGGCTCACGCCTGTAATCCCAGTACTTTGGGAGGCAGAGGTGAGTGGATCACTAGGCCAGGAGTTTTGAGACCAGCCTGACCAACATAGTGAAACCCCATCTCTACTAAAAATACAAAAATTAGCCAGGCATGGTGGTGGGCACCTGTAATCCCAGCTACATGGGAGGCTGAGGCAGAAGAATCACTTGAACCTGGGAGGCGGAGGTTGCGGTGAGCTGAGATCGCACCATTGCACTCCTGCATGGGCAACAAGAGCAAGACTCTGTCTCAAAAAAACAAAACAAAAACAAAAGAGAATTTAGCTCCTTTATGCAGTTATTTATAGTCTGAAAACCACATGGAGAATTGCTGTTTTCAGGTTAGTGGGTGGAAATTTTTTTTTAATAGAGATGGGGTCTTGCTATGCTGTCCAGGCTGGTCTTGAACTCCTAGGCTCAAATGATCCTCTCACCTCAGCCTCCCAAAGGGCTGAGAATATAGGTATGAGCCACCACACCTGGCCAAGAAGAGATTATTAGCCTTGCTTTACAAAACAATATTCATAACATAGGTTTCCCATAAGGGTTAGGATTTGAAGGAACTTGAAAGAGTTCTGGAGAAGAAAAATGAGACCTAATTCTTTTTTTTTCTTTTGAGACGGAGTCTCACTCTGTTACCCAGGCTGGAGTGCAGTGGCGTGATCTTGGCTCACTGAAAGCTCCGCCTCTGGGGTTCAAGCCATTCTCCTGCCTCAGCCTCCCGAGTAGCTGGGACTAAGGCACCTGCCACCATGCCCAACTAATTTTTTTTTGTTTTTTTGTAGAGACAGGGTTTCACTGTGTTAGCCAGGATGGTCTCAATCTCCTGACGTCGTGATCCACCCACCTCGGCCCCCTAAAGTGCTGGGATTACAGGCGTGAGCCACCGTGCCCGGCCAAAAATGAGAACTAATTCTAAAAATAAAGGAATAGAAGAATAAGTAAAAGTGTAAGGGGCAAATGTAGAAGAAAGAAACAAAAAGGTGAGCTTCATCATTAATACAAGTGAGGGAAATGGAACAGAGGAAAAAACAAGGACATGGATGTAGTTAGGATCACATCATTGGCTCTTGTTGGGCCTTGATTGTTTTTCCAGAGCCTGGCAAACAGGATACTCTCAAAAAATATTTGTTGAATGAATAGTACTGATGAGTCAAAGGGTTGAGGACTCAAAAGAATTGGGGACATGGCTGAAGCACTACATGAAAAACTGTTTAAAACCAAATTTAGGGCTGATTAGGCTAAAGAGACTGTGGGGTTAGGAAGAATAGGAGAAACTTTAAGAAGCACTCACAGTAAATTTAACATATTTACTTTTATTTGTCTCTTCATGAACTATCCTCAGTCAATGATGTCAGACATTCACTTCTCCTCTTGCTTTTTGATCTAAGTGTTGCATTATCAGAATGCACATCAGGTGCATTCTGGTGTGACACCATAAGCTGAGACTTTCCCATTGCTCATCAGTGAATGCTAACTGACCTGATCTCTTAATTTTCTTTCTGTATGCTCCCTGCAGTGTGGTCTCTGGAATCCCTCCTGGTGTCGGCCAGTCCTGGTGGTAGTTTTGCATAGTTGAGCTGGTTTCTGCAGTACGATATAATGCTGCAGAGGCAAGGTGCAGGAATGTTGTTGCTGTTATTTTTGAGGAAAAAGGATGACGTGCTGCCTTGGCATAAGGAAACCACTCGGGCCCGACTGCTCTGTCAAATGACTTCCACACCTCTCTGAACTTGAGTATCTCATCTATTACCCTAGGGATTAAGATTAAAGCAGAACCAAAATACTAAAGAAAATTGTTTTTTATGAACACCATCATCTTCTGGGGTTCTTTTGTGACTGATGAATCTGAGCTATGAATGGTTGCGCAGTTCCACTAACCTTAATGGAAAGTATCCTGATGAGAGACTAGTGGCACCATCTATACCCTGCCATTTTAGATACATAAGTAGCGATGTCAATTCAAGAGTAGCAGACATGCAGCCAGGTACAGTGGCTCATGCCTGTAATCCTAGGACTTTGGGAGGCCGAGGCGGGTGGATCACCCGAGATTAGGAGCTCGAGACCAGCCTGGCCAACATGGTGAAACTCCGTCTCTACTAAAAAAATACAAAAACTAGCCAGGTGTGGTGGCAGGCACCTGTAGTCCCAGCTACTTGGGAAGCTGAGGCAGGAGAATCGCTAGAACCCGGGAGGCAGAGGTTGCAGTGAGCCGAGATTTGTGCCACTGCACTCCAGCCTGGGCGACAAGAGCAAAACTCCATCTCAAAAAAAAGTTGTTATGCTCTATTTCTAAAAATAGTATATTATTATTTTTGAAATACTTTCAATTCTCTGCTGGATCAATGTACAAATGTACAATCTGTGGACATGGAGAACCCACTGCATATCCTAAGCATTTACGCTATGTCATTAAAATTAAAATTAGTGGAAACTTTACTTTTGAAGGCTGTGTAGTCTCTATTTAACCATTCACTGCTACCCTGAGACAGTTAAATATAGTTATAATTGTGTAAAACTGAGAATACTGCAACAAACATTTTGACAAACATCATCTCTTTGCATCTCTGATTATTTCCTTACTATAAATTCTTAGAAGTGCTTCAACATTGAAAAGGCTTTTCCTACACATTTGCACATTTCTTTCTTTCTTGAAGGACATCAGTTTAACAGAAATAAAAAAGAACACGAGTCTCTGGCTGGGCGTGGTGGCTCACGCCTGTAATCCCAGCACTTTGGGAGGCTGAGGCAGGCAGAGCACTTGAGGTCAGGAGTTCGAGACCAGTCTGGCCAACATGGTAAAATCCTGTCTCTACTAAATTACAAAAATTAGCTGGACATGGTGGTACATGCCTGTAATCTTAGTTACTTGGGAGGATGAGGCAGAAGAATTCCTTGAACCCGGGAGGTGGAGGTTGCAGCGAGCCGAGATGGCTCCACTGCACTCCAGCCTGGGCATGAGACTCCCTCTCAAAAAATAAAAAATAAAATAAAAAAAAAGAACACAAGTCTCATCAAACCCTCACAACACTGAATATTACCATAAAAACAAACTTGGGCAGGGTACGGTGGCTCACACCTGTAATCCCAGCACTTTGGGAGGCCAAGGCAGGCAGATCGCTTGAGTCCAGGGGTTTGAGACCAGCCTGGGCAACATGGTGAAACCCCATCTCTACAAAAAAAATTAAAAAGTAGCTGGGCATGGTGGTGTATGCCTATAGTCCCAGCTACCTGGGAGGCTGAGGTGGGAGGATCACCTGAGCCTGGGAGGTCAAGGCTGCAGCGAGCCGTGATCACACGATTGCACTCCAGCCTGGGCAACCAGAGTGAGATCCTACCTGAAAAAATAAAAAAACTAAAAAACCTGGTTAATTTGCATTTATTTAATTACTAGTGAGGTGGAACATCTCTTAACACATAAACAGCAAATGTGTGGTAATACTACGTTGCTTGGAAAAAGATTAAAGGAAGGTGCTAATCAGCTGCCTAAAGGAGAGTAGAGCTTTCCTCAAATTACATATGTAGAGGGGAAGGGAATGGAGAAAGAAGAGCTTCTCTAAAGGGCAAAATCAATTCTTTAAAATTTCCTACTTACATCTAATTAATTATATGAGGAAAGAAAAGTCCCCAAAGCTGACAGCCTATGAATCAAACCTCACTTTTTGTATCTAGTCAGGTATTCAGTCCCACCACTTTTTCTTTTGAAACCTATTTTCCCTTCATTCTCAATTCAACTATCTCATAGCCATAGTCATCATCTCACACTCTGAATACCATTACAAACTCATAACCAGTTCCTCAATATCAGCTTCTCCCCACTATAAAATACCTTGTTCACCTAAACGAATCTCGCTTAAACCTCACTTTTATATCACTCCCTCTCCTTACAAACTTTTAATGATCTTCTATTTTTCAGTGTATCAAATCTTGAGATTTTTAAGGCCCTCCATATCACAAGTCTACTCAGCCATTTTCTTAAAATTTTATTTTTAATTGACAAATAATAATTGTATATATTTATGGGGTAGAATGTATACATTGTAGAATGATCAAATCGGGCTAACATATTCATCACCACATATTTATTATTTCTTTGTTTTTCTTGGGAGGGAGTTTTGCTCTTGTTGCCCAGGCTGGAGTGCATTGGCGTGATCTCGGCTTGCCGCAACCTCCACCTTCCGGGTTCAAGCGATTCTTCTGTTTCAGCCTCCTGAGTAGCTGGGATTACAGGCATGCGCCACCACGTCTGGCTAATTTTGTATTTTTTTTTTAGTAGAGATGGGGTTTCTCCATGCTGGTCTCGAACTCCCGACCTCAGGTGATCTGTCTGCCTCAGCCTCCCAAAGTGCTGAGATTACAGGCATGAGCCACTGCACCTGGCCAAATTTATTATTTCTCTGCGTCGAGAACATTTAAAACCCACCCTCTTTTTTTTTTTTTTTTTTTTGAGGCAGAGTTTCGCTCTCATTGCCCAGGCTGGAGTGTAATGGCATCATCTCAGCTCACCACAACCTCCGCCTCTCAGGTTCAAGCAATTCTCCTGCCTCAGCCTCCTGAGTAGCTGGGATTACAGGCATGTGCCACCACGTCCGGCTAATTTTTTGTATTTTTAGTAGAGATGGGGTTTCTCCATGTTGGTCAGGCTGGTCTTGAACTGACCTCAGGTGATCCGCCCATCTCAGCCTCCCAAAGTGCTGGGATTAAAGGCTTGAGCCACCGCGCCTGGCCAAAACCCACTCTCTTAACAATTCTGAAATACGGTCACGTACTACATAATGACACTTCCATCAATGACAGACTGCACACACCATGGTGGTCCCATAAGATTACAATGTCATATTTTTACTGTACCTTTTCTATGTTTAGATACACATATACTAACCATAGTGTTACAACTGCCTACAGTTGCTACAGGAACATGCTGTACAGGTTTGTAGAAGGTGCAACAGGCTATACAATCTAGGTTTGAGTAAGTACTGTACATTCCATGATGCTCGCACAACAATGAAATGGCCTAACAGTGCATTTCTCAGAATCTGTCCCTGTTGTTACATGATGTATGATTGTATGTATGTTTTAGCAAATTTGGTGAATTACATTGATTTTCTAATGTTAAACCAACAGGACATTCCTGAGATAAACCCACTAGCCCATGATGTATTATTCTTTTCACATATCCTGGCCATTTTTAATAGACAACAAATGCGATTGAGAGAAAAGTACAATTATATTCATTTAGTAGAACCTATAAAAGCTCTGTAGCTACTGCTCAGCAACATGTTCAATTGAGGTGTTTACAACAAAGGATACAGAGAATCTCCTGTAAGTGTCTAGTCACCTCTTGTTATTTTAAGCATTTAAATATTTCTTGACTATCTGGTTAATTTCCTTCCTGCAAACCTTAATTTTCTACCCTCTGTACCTTGATCCTTAATAGAAACTGTATGAGCAGTTGGGCGCAGTGGCTCACACCTGCAATCCCAGTGCTTTGGGAGGCTGAGGTTGGTGAAATAATTGAGCTCAGGAGTATGAGATCACCCTGGGCAACATGGTGAAACCCTGTCACTACCAAAAAATGCAACAATTGGCCAAGTATGATGGCACGCACCTATAATCCCAGCTACTTGGGCTGAGGGAGGAGGCTCACTTGAACTTGGGAAGTTGAGGCTGCAGTGAGCCCTGTGTTCACACCACTGCACTCCAGCCTGGGTGACACAGCGAGACTGTCTAAAAGAAGAGGCCCAGCACGGTGGCTCATGCCTGTAATCCCAGCACTTTGGGAGGCCAAGGTGAGCGGATCATCTGAGGTCAGGAGCTGGAGATCAACCAACATGGTGAAACCCTGTCTCTACTAAAAATACAAAAATTAGCCAGGCATGGGCCAGACACGGTGGCCCACACCTGTAATCCCAGCACTTTGGGAGGCCGAGCGGGGCGGATCAGCAGGTCAGGAGATCAAGACCATCCTGGCTAACACGGTGAAACACCGTCTCTACTAAAAAAATACAAAAAAATTAGCCGGGTGTGGTGGCAGGCGCCTGTAGTCCCAGCTACTCAGGAGGCTGAGGCAGGAGAATGGTGTGAACCCAGGAGGTGGAGCTTGCAGTGAGCTGAGATCGCGCCACTGCACTCCAGCCTGGGTGACAGAGTAAGACTCCATCTCAAAAAAAAAAAAAAAAAAAAAAAAGAAAAGGAGAGACTTTGTATGAGTTATTGGTTTAATGTCCTCATTTATTTCTATTTTGCATATTCAGGAAATACTGAGAGCCTTCAGAGTAGAATTTGTTAATAGACTGCTGTTGCATTGTATCTTTTCTATTTGCCCTATTGGGGACCCCATTTGCAGATCTGGTTCTCAACTCCCCTCACTTAATGGATTGCAATCAGTCTCCTACACTTTGAAATCTAGGTCAAGAGCCCACTTCATACACATCAGGAAAATAGTAGGGAAAAGATACTCTGCCAGAGGATCAGAATCAATGAGTTCCAGTACTGCTGTATTTTAACTGCTTTTTATCTTTTTTTGGGGGGAGAGGAACTTGTTTTTGCCTGCATTGCCCCTCAGACTTGGTTTACCTGTCTGACACTAGTGCTCATTATTTCCTAGCCTAAGCTGTACAAAGAAACATCTAGGCTCCCACCTTTGTTTTATGTTTCTTTTTTCCTTTTTTTTTTTGAGATGGCGTCTCACTCTGTTGCCCAGGCTGGAGTGCAGTGGCGCAATCTTGGCTCACTGCAACCTCAGCCTCCTGGGTTCAAGCAATTCTCTTGCCTCAGCCTCCCGAGTAGCTGGGACTACAGGTGCACACCATCATGCCTGGCTAATTTTTTGTTTTTGTATTTTTAGTAGAGACAGGGTTTCACCATGTTGGCCAGGCTGGTCTCAAACTCCTGACCTCAGGTGATCTGCCTGCCTTGCCTCCCAAAGTGCCAGGATTACAGGCGTGAGCCACTGCACACAGCCATGTTGTCTAGTTTTAATAAACTCTTATGAAACTCAAAACCAAAGCCATACTCAACATCTAGCGTTGTCTTTTGTTATTCCATCAAATGGTATAAAAATTCAAGAAGAGTTATAATTTAAATTAAAAGTCTAGGCAAATGTCATGCAAGACATTATTTAAATGACTTAATGCCAGAGGTTTAAAAATTTATTTAAAAATTATAGGAGAGGCCAGGCACAGTGGCTCAGGCCTGTAATCCCAGCACTTTGGGAGGCCGAGATGGGCGTATCACCTGAGGTCAGGAATTCGAGACCAGCCTGGCCAACATGGTGAAACCCCACTTCTACTAAAAATATAAAAATCAGCCGGACTTGGTGGCATGTGCCAGTAATCCCAGCTACTCAGGAGGCTGCACTCCAGCCTGGGCAACAGAGCGAGACTCCGTCTCAAAAAAAAAAAAAAAAAAAAAACAAATTTCCCCAGGCAAAAGGAAATCTAATTAGGAAAATGAAAAATGGTTGTTTAGAAGAATATTTTGTGCTGTACTTAGACCACTTCATAAAAAGGTATACTAAGAGTTTCAGTTTGGGAAGACAAGAGTTCTGGAGATTAATAGTGATATTTACAAAACAACGTGAACATATTTAATGCCACTTAACTATACAGTAAAAAATGGTCAAAATGGTCTGGCCGTGGTGGCTCACGCCTGTAATCCCAGCACTTTGGGAGGCTGAGGTGGGCAGATCACGAGGTCAGGTGCTCGAGACCAGCTTGGCCAACATGGTGAAACCCCATCTCTACTAAAAATACAAAAATTAGCCAGGTGTGGTGCACGCCTGTAATCCCAGCTACTCAGAAGGTTGAGGCAGGAGAATCGCTTGAACCTGGGAGGCAGAGGTTGCAGTGAGCCGAGATTGTGCCATTGCACTCTAGCCTGGGCAAAGAGCAAGACTCTGTCTGAAGGAAAAAAAAAAAGGTCAAAATGGTAAATTTTATTTTATACATATTTTACCACAATAAAGAAGGTATACTAATACACTACTTTTTTTAAGGATTATAAATAACCATACTCCTTTATTTTAAGTTCAGTGATACTCTCACTTCTTAAAATTTTTTTTAATTTTTAATTTTTTTTTTTTTTTGAGACAGGTTCTCACTATGTTGCCCAGGCTGGTCTCACATTCCTGAGCTTAGGCAATTCACCTACCTCGGCCTCCCAAAGTGCTACGATTACAGGAGTGGGCCACATGCCCGGCCTCACTTCTTAAAATATTCGGGTTAATAAACATTCTTCAGAAACTCAAGTTATTTTTTAAATTGTTTAACAAATTGCTTGAGCTTCCTCACTACAGGATCTGCTGAAGAGAGGCACAAGAAGTACCTTTAGATCAGGTACGATGGCTCACACCTGTAATCCCAGCACTTTGGGAAGCCAAGGTGGGAGTATCTCTTGAGGCCAGGAGTTTGAGACCAGCCTGGGCAACATAGTGAGACACTGTCTCTACAGGAAATTTAAAAAAGCTGGGTGTGGTGGTTTGCACCATAGTCCAGCTACTCAGGTACTCAGGATGCTGAGGTAGGAGGACTGCTTGAGCCCAGGAGGTCAAAGCTGCAGTGGGCTATAACAGTGTCACGGCACACCAGCCTCCAGCCTGGGTGACAGAGTGAGACCCTTTCTTTAAAAACAACAAAAAGTACCTTTAAAAAAAGTAAAAATAGGGCCGAGCGCGGTGGCTCACGCTTGTAATCCCAGCACTTCGGAAGACCGAGGCGGGCAGATCACGAGGTCAGGAGATTGAGACCATCCTGGCTAACACGGTGAAACCCCGTCTCCACTAAAAATACAAAAAAATTAGCCAGGCGTGGTGGCACGTGCCTGTAGTTTCAGCTACTCAGGAGGCTGAGGCAGGAGAATCGCTTGAACCCAGGAAGCGGAGGTTGCGGTGAGCCAAGATCGTGCCATTGCACTCCAGCCTGGGCGACAGCAAGACTCTGACTCAAAAAAAAAAAAAAAAAGTAAAAATATATTCTTTAGCCAGTGATATTGGCTCTTGTTTACAAAATTATCCAAAACGTTCTTTCAAGTCTTCCTGATTTTGAAAAATAGAGTCTCAACTGATATCTCTAAAATTTGAGGCTGGGTACAGTGGCTCATGCCTGTAATTTGAACACTTTAGGAGGTTGAGGTGGGAGGATCCCTTGAGGCCAAGAGTGTGAGGCTGTAGTGAGCTATGATGGTGCCACTGCACTCCAGCCTGGGTGACAAAGACCCTATCTCAAAAACAAACAAAACACAGGAAAAAAAAAATCAAAATTTAGATTGCAAATGGCTCCACAAAACAAATCTTGAGGGCAAAGATGTTTTAGTAATTTTACAATTGCCAGCTCTAGGCAGTATGTGACATCTTTCTAGGCACTCAGTGCTTTTAGAATAAATGACCTTGTGCTGAGGAATGTGAAAAAAAAGATGTAAATCGGTGCTGTTTTATTGACAAATGGGATATGAAGAATGAAATGTGCGGCCGAGCACGGTGGCTCACGCCTGTAATCCCAGCACTTTGGAAGGCGGAGGCGGGCAGATCACGAGGTCAGCAGATCCAGACCATCCTGGCCAACACGGTGAAACCCCCTCTCTACTAAAAATACAAAAAATTAGCCGGGCGTGGTGGCGGGCGCCTGTAGTCCCAGCTACTCGGGAGGCTGAGGCAGGAGAATGGCGTGAACCCGGGAGGCGGAGCTTGCAGTGAGCCAAGATTGCGCCACTGCACTCCAGCCTGGGGGACAGAGCGAGACTCCGTCTCAAAAACAAAAACAAAAACAAAAAAGAAATGTGCAACATAGGGTTTAGATGAAGTGACAGGAGACTCAGCATATTATGGAAATTATTATCTTGATTTTGTGTATATAGAAATAAAGCTGTATCCGGCTGGGTGCGGTGGCTCATGCCAGTAATCCAGCACTTTGGGAGGACGAGGAGGGCAGATCACGAGGTCAGGAGTTCAAGACCAGCCTAGCCAACATAGTAAAACCCCGTCTCTACTAAAAATACCAAAATTAGCTGGACGCGGTGGTTCGTGCCTGTAATCCCAGCTACTCCAGGGGCAGGAGAATCACTTGAATCCAGAAGGCAGAGGTTGCAATGAGCTAAGATCGTGCTACTGCACTCCAGCCTGGCGACAGACTGAGAATCCGTCTCAATAAATAAATAAATAAACAAAGCTGTGTATCTGGTTTTCTATACTTTCCAGGTCAAATCTCACTAGCAGATGTTCCTGTTATCTTCAGTTTGACATCTTATCTAAAATGACTCCTAAAATGTGTAATAATGTTAATTATAATATCTAAACCTACTGACTCTAACATCACAAAGAATTTTAAGAGGTCGAGGTTAAAAATCTAAAATTGTAAGTCATCAGCTAACAATGACATTTCAAGTCATGAGCTTGGATAAAAATAACCATGGAAATCACCATTCAGCAAAATACAGGCATAGTGGCCAGGCGTGGTGGCTCACGCCTGCAATCCCAGCACTCTGGGAGGCCCAGGCAGGAAGATCACCTGAGGTCAGCAGTTTGGGACCAGCCTGGGAAACATGGTGAAACTCCGTCTCTACTACAAATACAAAAATGAGCCGGGCGTGGTGGCGGACGCCTGTAATCCCAGCCACTCAAAATCGCTCGAATCAGGGAGGTGGAGGTTGCAGTGAGCTGGATGGCGCCACTGCAGCCCCGCCTGGGCAACAAGAGTGAAACTCTGTCTCAAAAAATAAATACACACACATACACACACACACACACACACACACACACACACACACACACACTCTCGCATACAGGCATAGGATAGTTTGCTATAGTTAACAAACATAAGAATATCCTATTTTCTTGAGCTTTCATCAGGCTTTACTTTGCCAGAATACATCTATCCCATTTTTCAGTAACTAGATCTAGCTACCACATTTCCTCAGTTTTAACGTGTGTGTTTAAAGAGACAGGGTCTTGCGTCGCTCAGGCTGGAGTGAAGCAGCGGGATCAAAGCTCACTGCAGCCTTTTTCTGTCTATAAATCTTCAACACTTGGCTGCGCTGCAATCTCTCTGAGCCTGCCCGATTCGTGAATCATTCTTTGCTCAAAATGTTAAATTTAACTTGGCTAAGGTTTTTCGTTTAACACTTCCTACTAACGCTACAGCCTAAAACCTCTCCTGCAAAATGCTTTTTCAGGTGGCAACGTACCAATTCTAACAAGTTTGTGGGAGTAATGGGGAGGAGGGCTAACCCTCTATTTTCTTTCAGAAAAAGGGTTAGGCACAAGGAGCTCTAAAGGCTTGTCCGAAGTCTGCTGAAAACTCACAAACCACTCAGAACCAGGTTTCCCACACCCAATTAATTCCAAGTGGTACTGTATCCGATTACCCCCATTTTCCAAGAGATAGTTTATTTTTTCCCCTCTTTTCCCCTCCCCACTACACTTTCCACTTAGCCCTTTTTGAACTGCAAAATAACCTCTCAACTCCCCTCACCAGACCATTCTCTACAGAGCAAATTCATCTACGAGATCCAAGACGCAACTCCCACCGCCAGGCGGTCGCCTCAGAAGGGTAAGCAGAAAGCATGCCCACTTGGCCACTTTTACAACTTATTTCTGCTCAGAAATGCACCAACTCAACTACCCGGTAGATAAGGCACCAGCTAGCAGAGACCTCTTGCTCATTTCCTCTTGTACCTTATAAAATGCCCGCTTTTTTGCTCCAAAGACGAAGCGGGCTGGCTTCAGAAATAAAATCCCTCTTCTTGTATACTAGGGCTCGCTCTTGTTAATTGGTGTCTACGTGTGGCGAGCAACTAACTCTCTTTTCCGTTAGAGCACTCAAAGCCCTGGTCAATCTACCCCCCAAGACAGCAGAGACCAGCACAACGATCCCAAGGAAGGCTGTTGGCTTCACCCCGCTTAAGTCCTCAAAGTCAGCGCCTGCAGCATATCCTTGCCCCCACCACCTGCCTCTAGCTCTGGTCACTTACACTTACGGTTAGTTCGCATCCACTGTAACAGCGCCTGGCGGTCGGCAGGAGCCACAGTGCGAAGCGGCCGCAGCATCACTGCCTGCCTCGCAGTGGGAAATTTTACCTTGCTGGAGCAAGCCGCGCAGGCACTGGCTGGCATTGCGCATGCGCAAGCAGAGACCGCCCCACCCTCCGCGGAACAAGCCTCCGGTCTGCAAAGCCCTAAGCCCCGCCCCTCTACGGAGGTCTCACGTGCGCCTGGGGATCCCTGCCTTCAGTCACACCTCTATCTCTCATCTTTCCGCTCTTAGCTGGGAGTGCTCCGCCTAGTCACTTTTCTTAAGGTGGCTCGTCGAGGCCTGACTTCTTCCCCGAAATCACGTCCCTAGACAGCCTCCTATTTTACCACTAACTTTACTCCTGCAGTTATTCAGCGGTAGGAAACTGAAACCAAAAACCAGTGTAAGCAAGTAAACATCTAAACTGTTTCAGGAGCCGCGTAGAAGGAACGCGGCGGTGTGCCCCGGAAGCGGAAGTAGATTCTCCTATAGAAAGGCTGGACTACGCGGAGTGGTGACGTTTCCTCATTGGGCGGAAGGTTCGCTGGCACTCCGTTGGTCTTCCAGCTGGTGGGAGTTGACGACGTGGTGCTGGGCGTTGGGACCCTACTTTATCTAGTTCGGGAAGTTGGGTTGTGGGGTCATACCTGTCTGTCTGCTCCCAGCTTTCTTGGGTTTCTTCCGACGGCGTGGGGCCTCGCTAAGGAATTCCCGGCCCCTCAGGGCCACGGCTTTAGCGGTGTCTTTTGCGGTAAGTGTCTGCTTTTTCCCGCCCCAGACTACGGAGGGGGAGCGAGGGGCAGCCCCAGCGCTGCTCAGGAGGCGAGAGACTCCGGGGGAAGTCGGCCTCCGTGGCCACCGGCCATCGTTACCGAGACTGAGTTTCTGTGGCTCTTTATCTCGTCTTCCATGAGAAGTTTTATTAAAGATGCGCTGTGCCCCTTTTGAGTTGTCTTCCGATTTACCTGAGCCAAATAAGATGTAGGCAGTTGCAGGCCTGAGTCTTCGTTTTGCTTTCCTGAGCAAGAATTTAGATGAAGCTACTTCCCCGAAAATCCTTTTACTTGTACGAGACTTTTATTTTTCCTATGTGTTTGTAGTGCTTAACACAATGTCCTGCGTGTAGTAGACGTTCAATAAACGAATATGGAATATCAGTTGAATGCCAATGATGATTTAAGATAGACTGATAGCTCTCTCTGTACCATTTGACGCTGCTGACCATCCATTTCTTGAAACTTTCCCCTGCTGCCTTTCTTCATGCTATCCTCACCTGATTCTTTCACATGCTTAATTTAACAAAATATATACTTGTTCTTGGCTACAAGGATACAGAAATGAATAACACTAACTCTGCCATTGAGAAGCTAACGCACATAAATACACATTATATCAAGATGGGTAATGAGAAACACTAGTTGCATATAAAGAGCTGTAGAAAGCTGTGGGAGAGCTAAAGTGCTCCTTAGGTGCTTTGTGACCCTGAGCCAGTTTCTATTCCAATCTAGCCTCAATTTCCTCATCTACTTAATAGGCTTGTTTTGAGGAAGAAAGGAGATTAGGTAAGAGGTTTGGTTTGGTTTAGTGCCTAGAATACAGCAATCGTGGTGCCAAAGGGGAGGGAAATATTTCCCTCAAATCGCTTTTTCTCAGTTTTTTGATATGGCCAACTGGTATTTTCTACCTTAATATAGAGTACTATGCAAAAGCATCTTCAAGTCTTCCTTCCAGATTACTCCTCTGTCCCCATCTATTTGGAAATTCTGGACCTGCCACAGGATTACAGTAAGATAACCATAAATGTAGCTTTTTAAAAATTGATTTTCTCCTATGTGCCATGGAGAAAGGGAAAGGGAATTAGTAAAAGCTCCTATCTCTTTGGTTATTTTCAGTCTTGGTTAACGCCGTCCTTTTAGTTGGCCCTCAGTCATTGCTATAACCCAAATGGTCTTCCACAGGCTCTCCTCGAGGCTTCTCGCTTGCTTCCATGGCATTGTCCCTATATGCCAACCATGTCCAAACCTTATTCTTTTCATTTCCAAACCTTGTTCTTTTCCAAACCTTATTTGCTCTGTCGCCCAGACTGGAGTACCGAGGCACCATCTCGGCTCACTGCAACCTCCGCCTCCCAGGTTCAAGCAATTCTCCTGCCTCAGCCTTCCGAGTAGCTGGGATTACAGGTGCCTGCCACCACGCCCAGCTAATTTTTGTGTTTTTAGTAGAGATGGGGTTCCACCATGTTGGCCAGGTTGGTCTTGAACTCCTGACCTGAAGTGATCCGCCTGCTTCGGCCTCCCAAAGTGCTGGGATTACAGGTGTGAGCCACCATGCCCTGCCTAAACCTTATTCTTTAGCCTCCATCTCATGAGTTGATAGTTCTGTACTTTCCCCTAAAACTTGCAAACTCATTAGGTCCAAAACCAAATGCACTGTCTTCACCTTCCTTTTTTTTTTTTTTTTCACTATGACATATGTCATGCATACGAAAGTGTATAAAAGCAGTGATTGTCAGTGCGTTTTTGAGTTTTGACCTCTGGTTGAATTTTGTGATACAAGTAGGTTAAATTTTTAAAAGGATTATAAGGGCTGTGAGCAATGGCTCACGCCTGTAATCCCAATACTTTGGGAGGCTGAGGCTGGCAGATTGCTTTAGCTCAAGAGTTCGAGACCAGCTTGGGTAACATGGCGAAACTCCCTGTCTCAACAAAAGAGACAAAAATTAGCCAGGCTTAGTGGCGCCGCCTGTAGTCCCAGCTAGTTGGAGGGATAATGAAATGAACATCTATGTACACATCCTTCATAAAAAGTGAAACATTAAAAATAATACATTAAGTCCCTTTGACCTCTTCTCTATTAACTCCTCTGACTTTCAAACCACCTTCCCTTTTTGCCTTCCATTCATTGGTTAATGGCATCACTAGCCATCTGGTTATAAAAACTAGAGATATTGGAATCATTTTTGCCTCTTTTTTCCTTCACTTGCCATAACCATTTGGTCATTAGATTCTGCTTCATGAATTAGCCCTTAACCCTAGTTTCTTTTTCTCTAGTTCAAGGCCACATCTTGTCTCAACTAGCCTTATGGAGTATGGGTAGTGCATGTAGTGTCCTGGCTCTTCAGTTTTTTCCCTCCAATGTATTTGTTACACTGTATCTAAAGATGTTTCTAAGGTATAGAACAGATTTCTCATTCTGTTGTTTTCTTTGGGACATGTTATTAAATACTTAATATAGTGATTATGAACCCTTGCTGCACATCAATATAGCTAGTGAAAGTTTTCAAAACATAAATGTCTTGTTTTGCACTCCAGATTAAGAATTTAGATGAAGCTACTCCCCCTAAAACTTTTTTACCTTACTATCTCTGGAGAGTCTGATTGAGCATTTAATTTTTACTGATAGGCATTATCTAAATGTCATTGAAATAACGCATTGCTTGAGCATATGCCTCTTATCCCTCCTTTTCCTTTTTTATTTTTCACTTTTCCTTTTTCTTTTCAATGTTAAGGCCAACTTTCCAAGGAATTCTTTTGATTTTCGTTTTAATTTTCTTCTTGGTAGCATTTTATGTAAAGATTCTTTTTATGGTTGACCTCATAGCCAGAAAGTATCGTAAAGAAATGATTCCCAGTGTTCCTGAGTTATTACCTCTTGTTGCTAATTGACTTTTTTTTTGGTATACCTTTTTTGCTGCAAAAGTACGAATTGGTGCTGTGATATTATTTTACATAAAATGAGTTTTAAAATTTGAAAAACAATTACTTTAATGAAGAGAAAGTTGCTTGATACTTCTTGATATAATTGAATATAATCTTTGGTGCTAAGTTAAGACAGAGGTGGTATGATGCATAATTTATCTTTTGAAGGGAGTCTTGTGTTAAACTGTTATATTTGATTAGGAATTAGAACTTCTCTCATGCTGGGACAATTTCTGGAGTACATAGTAGGTGTTTAATGAATGAGTAAATGAATACAAGTGGCAGCTCCATCCCAACCTCTAGTCTGTTGACTAGTTGCACTCTAATTCTCACAAGGAACGCTTTGGAAAATAATTTTCCCTTGACTTAAAAAATAGTGTTCTCAGTCATTACTAAAAAATTGGAAATTAGAAAAAGATATAAGAAAATAAAAATTGCTGGTCGTGGTGGCTCACGCCTGTAATCCCAGCACTTTGGGAGGCTGAGGCGGGTGGATCATGATGTCAGGAGTTCAAGACCAGCCTGGCCAAGATAGTGAAAACCCATCTCTACTACAAATATAAAAAATTAGCTGGGTGTGGTGGCAGGCACCTGTAATCCCAGCTACTTGGGAGGCCAAGGCAGGAGAATCGCTTGAACTCGGAGGGCAGAGGTTGCAGTGAGCCGAGATTGTGCCACTGCACTCCAGTGGGCACAGAGTGAGACTCTGTCTCAAAAAAAAAAAATTGCTAGTTATTCATCATCCAGAGATAACAAATGTTATTTTAACAGTTTATTAAAATATAATTCTTGGCTGGGTGCGGTGGCTTAAGCCTGTCCCAACACTTTGGGAGGCCAAGGCAGGCAGATCACAAGGTCAGGAGATCCAGAGCATCCTGGCTAACAAGGTGAAACCCCATCTCTACTAAAAATACAAAAAATTAGCCGAGCATGGTGGCACTCCATGTAGTCCCAGCTACACGGGAGGCTGAGGCAGGAGAATCGCTTGAATCCAGAAGGCAGATATTGCAGTGAGCCGAGATCTTGCCACTGCACTCTAGCCTGGGTGACAGAGAGACACTACATCTGAAAAAAAAAAAAAAAAATATATATATATATGTGTGTGTGTGTGTGTATATATATATACACACACACACACACATAATTCTTAGTTCACCTAAAGTGTACAATTGAAAGGATTATAGTGTATTTACAAAGTTACGCAACTATCACCATAATCAATTTTCGTACATTTTTATTATCCCATGAAGAAACCCCATACCTATTAGCAATCATTCCCTATTTTACTCCATCTCCTGAGCCCTAAGCAACTATTAATCCACTTTCTGTCTCTGTAGATTTATGTATTCTGAACAATTCATGTGGAACCATAATATGTGATCTTTTGTGACTGGGTTTTTTCACTTATGTTTCGAAGATTAATCCATGTTGTGGCATATGTTCAGTACTTCATTTCTTTTTATTGCCTAGTGATATACCTTTGTATTTTATTCTACATTTTACTTATCCGTTCATAAGTTGAAGGATATTTGGGTTGTTTCTACTTTTTGGCTATTATGAATAATGCTGCTCTGACCATTCATGTACAAGTATTTGGATGATATCTTATTAAGATTTTGATTTACAATTCCCTGATGGCTAATATTTTTTAATACTTGTTTTTAGACTGTGTTTAACAAAATATGGATTATACTACATATGCAGTTTTGTAGTCTGCCTTTTGCATTTAAGCCTGTTTTTAGCATTAGCAAGCATATTTTACAAAAGAATTTTCCTAATTTTTGCTCCCCTCTTTACTCCCCGCCAAAACCATAAATTCTTGGGAAACCTTGCTTAAATTAATATACCTAGAAAATACAATCCATATTAATATATACCAGATTATTATTGGTTGTTACCATGGTATGGGAGTGGGTAGAATTAGGGGAATTATATTTTCTACCTTAAATATTTCTGTAATGTTTTAACTTTTACAGTGAAGATACATCATTTTGTAATCACAGAACATAAAGGTGAATTATTTCCTTGGGGAATAAGTAGATTCAGCATGAAAAACAGTTCCTAAATTTGAAAGTCATAATTAACATTGTAAAATTAGTCATTAAAATATATTTCACTAAGCTGGGTGCGGTGGTTCACGCCTGTAATCCTAGCACTTTGGGAGGCTGAGGTGGGTGGATCACGAGGTCAAGAGGTCGAGACCATCCTGGCCAACATGGTGAAACCCCGTCTCTACTAAAAATACAAAAATTAGGTGGGTGTGGTGGCATGCGCCTGTAGTCCCAGCTACTCAGAAAGCTGAGGCAGGAGAATCTCTTGAACCCAGGAGGTGGAGGTTGCAGTGAGCTGAGATCACACCACTGCACTCCAGCCTGGCGACAGAGTGAGACTCCATCTCAAAAAAAAAAAAAAAAAAATATATATATATATATAACATATATATATATAATGTATATATTTTACTAAATACAATACCTATAGGCCATTTTGTTAACTAAATTTACTTTTCTGTGGTCCTAGACTGTGAACACATATGCTGTGCAGAATTAAGAAAAATATTTAGTATTAAAGTCAGAAAAGCAAATACTGGTTATTAGCCTTTGACTGCTTTATAGAAAAGTATACAGTTGTCTCTTGCTATCTGGGGGGGATTGATTCCAGGACCAAAATCAGAGGATGCTCAAGTCCCTGATGTAAAATGGTGTAGTATTTGCATATGACCTATGCACATCCTTCCATGTACTTTAAAGCATCTCTAGATCAATACCTAATACAAAATGTAAATAGTTGTTATACCATATTTATATCCTTAAGAAAATACTTGTTATACTGTATTGTTTAGGGAATAATGACAAGAAAAGTCTGTACATGTTCACTAGAGACACAATTTTTTTTCTGAATGTTTTGATTTGTAGTTGGTTGAATCCATGGTTGTGAAGCCCCAGATACAGAAGGCTGACTGTACTATGTAGAAGTAATTTTTCTAAGTATATTTAGTTCTTGAGGCTAATATTGATTCAAAAAGTCATTGACAAGGACTTAGAAGAAAGGACTTTTGGCCAGGTGCAGTGGCTCATGCCTGTCTATAATCCGAGCACTTTGGGAGGCCACGGTGGGTGGATCACCTGAGGTCAGGAGTTCAAGACCAGCCTGACCAACATGGTGAAACCCTGTCTCTACTAAAAATACAAAAAATTACCTGGGCGTGGTGGTGGGCACCTGTAATCCTAGCTGCTCGGGAGGTTGCAGTGAGCTGAGATTGCCCCATTGCACTCCAGCCTGGGCAACAAGAGCAAAACTCTGTCTCAAAAAAAAAAAGAACTTTTTTGTAGGGATTATGTTGTAATAGGATTTGACATAGCTAATCATTAGACTCTGTTTATATAATCTCAGATCAGGCAAATCTGGCAGGAATATTTATAATTGTTTATGTAGAGAAAGGTGGGTTTTTGGACACTGCAGCTTCTGTTGAATAATAATCTGGCAGTTGTAATTGCCACTAAATTTTAAAGATTCCAGGAGTGGTTCCTGAATGATGGGACAGACACTTCTGTAAGATTGTTCAGAAAATTTCCAGCTTACTTACACTCCATATAATACAGAGAGAGATAGTTGGTATCATTAAAAAAAGAAAGGAAGTTAATAGTTAATATGCTAGGTTTTTGAAGACAGCTTTATATGTATTGTCTCATTTAATCCTCACAACAGCCCTTCAGGGTAACTACCTTGGTAATGGTATCTTCATTTTGCAAGTGAGGAAAGTGAGGCTCAGAGAGATTAAGTAACTTGCCCAAAGTAACACAGCCAGTATGTAACAGAGCTAGGATTTGAATCTAAGTCTGTCAGACTCCAAAATCTATGCTCTTTCCAGTACTTCACACTGCAGCAAGTAAGTGTGATACTTGGCCCTGTGATTGCCTTACTTAGGGCACCCAAAACTTCAGCCTGTTTCTATTGCTTACTATCCAAATCCTAGTCAGACCCCAGTTAGAAGACCCTGTGACTCGAGCCAGGATCAGTCCTTGTATGTACTGGTCTGATTGCAGTGATAGTTATCATTTCTTTCTGAACGTTGCAATTACTCCTCCACAAAGAGGAATATACATCTTTAAATATGATTAAAATGTGATTTCTTCTATTATAGCATAGCAGCAAAATTTGTCCTTGCAGTTTCCAGCAGGTGTATTCAACCCTATAATTTAAAGCTTCATTCATACTCTAGCCAAAGGACTATGGGAAGTCATTTTGCTTTTTTTTGGCAGGGAACGGCTGTTCTATTCCCTATCCTGCTTATATCATAAAATTGTTGTAAGAGTGAAATGAGATAATAGATGTTCAACTGTAAGAAAGTACTGTGTGGTAATCTCTTACCTTTCTAAAAGCCCCATCTAAGTAGAGATTCTTCCTTTGTGAAATTCTAGCATATACAGATTTATTTCTATAAATCGTTTTAGTTAGGCAAGAGAATCTTGAGAGTGTACTTGAATTGTAGATTACTCCAACCTGAGATTTAGGCTTAGCTATTAACATACAAAAGGTATTTTTCACTTTAGTGTACATATTAGAACAAGGTGAGGTTAATTTTTAAGTATCTTGTTGGAAATGCATGGCAGGGAAATTCTGAAGAAGAATTATAAGTAATGACAAATAAATATATTTAATGTACAGTACAAATTACCCAAGTTATTGTTTTTCTTTTGATTCATCATATTATCTTCATTGATTTATTTTAGTGGCTTTTAAAGATATTTGCAGTGCCTTTCATGACTTTAGTTCTCTGGTCTCGCTTTTTCCCTAAGGCCTTAAATACATCATTTCATTCATTCATAATGTTCATTTTTATTAAGGATTTACTGTATAAGGCTGAGGATAGATAAAGCAGTGAGCTCACAGGAGAAAGCAAAAGAGGCAAAAATCCCTGCCCTTGTGCAGGTTAAATTTCTTTTCTTTTTTTTTTTTTTTTTTTTGTTGTTGTTGTTGTTGTTGAGATGGAGTTTTGCTCTTTCACCCAGGCTGGAGTGCAGTGGCACGATCTGGGCTCACTGTAACCTCCACCTCCTGGGTTCAAGCGATTCTCATGCCTCAGCCTTCTGAGTACCTGGGATTACAGGCATCTGCCACCGCGCCTGGCTAATTTTTGTATTTTCAGTAGAGATGGGGTTTCACCATGTTGGCCAGGCTGGTCTCGAACTCCTGACCTCAGGCAATCCACTCACCTCGGCCTCCCAAAGTGCTGGGATTACAGGCATGAGCCACCACACCTGGCCACAGCTTACATTTCAATAGTGAGATTATAGGTGACAAATAATATAAATAAGCCATATGTCAGTTGATAATAGAACAATAGGAAAAAATAAAGGGAAGAGGGTTGCAGTTTTAAATAAGTGATTAGGGAAGACCTCATTGAGAAATGGCATCTGGACAAATCTGAAGGAAATGAGGGAGGGAGTTATGTTGTCAAGCAGAGGAAGAGCATGCTGGCTAGTACCGAGACACTGAGGTGGAAATGTGTAGCAGCAATAGCAAGGAGGTCAGTATGATTAAAATCAGTCATGCGTGTGTGTTGGGGGTGGGGGGTGGAGGGGGCCTTACAGTCCATTCTGAGGACTTTACATCTGTGTGCAATGGAAGTCATTGAGATTTTAAGCAAAATTCTAACACGGAGTTTTCAGGAACACATCATCCTTGGACATTGTAGAGGAAACACTGTAAGTTAAAGGTATTATTAGATGTTCTTACTCCTCTACTGAAATGCAGGATTTTATTTTGTTTTTGTGTTTTGTGTTTTAAGACGGAGTTTTGCTCTTGTCATCCAGGCTGGAGTGCAGTGGCACCATCTCGGCTCACTGCAACCTCCGCCTCCTGGTTCAAGCAATTCTCCTGCCTCAGTCTCCAGAGTAGCTGGGATTACAGGCATCTGCCACCAAGCCTGGCTAATTTTTGTGTTTTTAGTAGAGATGGGGTTTCGCCATGTTGACCAGGCTGGCCTTGAACTCCTGACTTCAGGTGATCCACCCGCCTTGGCCTCCCAAAGTGCTGGGATTACAGGCGTGAGCCACTGGGCCCGGACAGATTTTGTTATTTTATATATTAAAACTATATGTATTCATGTATTATATAATAAAATATATTTTTTAAATTTAAGGCAAAAATGTTTTAAAATACACACTGCCAGTAACTACTTGCAGAAGGAAAAGTATATTGGAAAACCTCACAGAAGTTTTTAAAATTTTTAAATTTAAAACAACCAGTTAACATGGAAAGTTAGATTTATATTTAAGAATTTACTAGGCAGCCATAAAAAGAATGAAATCATGTCCTTTGCAGCAACATGGATGGAGCAGGAGGCCATTATCCTAAGAGAACTAATTCAGAAACAGAAAATCAAGTATCTCATGTTCTCACTTATAAGTGAGAGCTAAACATAGGTACCCATGGACATAAAGACGAAAGTAGTAGACACAGACCATTCCAAAATGGAAGAGTTTGGGAGAAGACTGAGGATTGAAAAAGTACCTCTTGGGTTCAAGGTTCAATATTTGGGTCATGTGTGTATAAGTCCAGTCCCCACCATTACACAGTATACCAGTGTAACAAACATACACATGTACCCTCTGAATCTAAAATAAATTAATTAAAAAAATTAAAGACACTTCCTAAAGTTTGCCCCCCCAAAAAGTTAACTAGTATGGCTTATTTATTTATTTATTTATTTATTTATTTGGAGATGGAGTCTCACTCCATCTCATCACAGTGATGTGATCTCGGCTCATTGCAACCTCCACCTCCTGGGTTCAAGTGATTCTCCTGCCTCACACTCCTGAGTAGCTGGGACTACCGGAGTGCACCACCATACCCGGCCAAGTTTTGTATATTTTGTAGAGATGGGGTTTCACCATGTTGGCTAGACTGGTCTTGAACTCCCAACCTCAAGCAATCTGCCTGCCTTGGCCTCCCAGAGTGCTGGGATTATAGGCGTAAACCACCATGCCTGGCTTAGTATAGCTTTTTAAAATGAAAGATGATCTGTTTATGACATGACCTCTAAAAAAGTTAATTGTGGTGTCATAAATAGGATTCTATCACTCCCAGTACCACCATGGTGAAGGATATAAACTGAAACATCTGAATCTTATTTCTTAAATGAAGAATATTAATTTAAGGATCAATAATTATTTTGTATAATGGGTATGGCATAAGAAATAAAAAGTCCTGGATCTTTTCCATGAGGTGGTTGGCTCTCAGGTTAAGTAACAATGTAATTGTAAAAAAATCTTATGGTAAGCAATTTTTTTTTCAATTTCATCAAGTATTGGTAGTAAGTTTTTTTTAAGTTCTAAATTACCAAATTGTACTTGAGTGAAAGTGTAGTGTTTAATTTGTAGCTCAGCCTGGGATATCTGTTTGCCAGTGATAGGTCCTCAAATGCATTTTCCCTTCCTGCCTTTTTATGATTCCTCTCACCTCTTTACTTTCTCTATGGTGAATGAGTCAGCTATTTCATCTTCCTGTTTGTCTTAAAATTAATTAATTAATTTATTTATTTATTGAGATGGAGTTTCACTCTTGTTGCCCAGGCTGGAGTGCAATGGCATGATCTCCAGCTCACCGCAATCTCCACCTCCCGGGTTCAAGCGATTCACCTGTCTCAGCCTCCCAAGTAGCTGGCATTACAGGCATGTGCCACCATACCTGGCTAATTTTGTATTTTTAGTAGAGACGGGGTTTCTCCATTTTGGTCAGGGTGGTCTCGAACTCCCAACCTCAGGTGATCCGCCTGCCTCGGCCTCCCAAAGTGCTGAGATTACAGGCATGAGCCACCGCACCTGGCCCAAAATTTATTTTTTTTAATACGGACTTTCTCTCTTGTTGCCCAGGCTGAGTGCAGTGGCGCGATCTCAGCTCACTGTAACCTCTGCCTCCCATCTTCAAGCGATTCTCCTGCCTCAGCCTTCTGAGTAGCTGGAATTAAAGGTGCCTGCCACCATGCCCAGCTAATTTTTTTTTTGTATTTTTAGTAGAGATAGGGTTTTGCCATGTTGGCCAGGCTGGTCTCGAACTCCTGACCTCAGATGATCCACCCACCTCGGCCTCCCAAAGTGCTGGGATTACAGGCGTGAGCCACCACGCCTGGTGCTGTTTCTCTTATTTTTAATCTCCTGTGTATTCTGTAGAAGGGATCTAGTCTGGATAATCTTGGTTGACTAAATTAGACTACATTAGTTTGGAAGGGTTACCAAAACAGTTGTTTTGAAGAGTTACCTTTTCTGCTAATATTGTTCATATTGGAAAATTGATATTCCCCAGACCGTGTTTTTAGAGCCCTTTGAAATCTCTGTTTCCTTCTAACTGTATACACCTCTGTCCTAAGCAGAATGTTTTGTTTCCTGTCCCCTAAATAATGCTCAGTGATCCATAAGTACAGTGCATATATAAGGCATAAGTATGTCCCAGACTTACCTCTCTCTCCATTTCTGCTTATGCTATTTCATCTTCCTCAAATTCCCTTTTGTCTTCTCCACTTACTCAAATTCTACTCTTATTTCAGGACCAAATTCATACTCAGTCTTTCCAATAAAGCCTATACTCTCTGCCTTAGTCTAAAATTCTTCCTTTTCTGTTTTCTTTTTTTGTGGAGACAGAGTCTCACTCTGTCACCCAGGCTGGATGGAGTGCAGTGGTGTGATCATGACCTCCTTGGCTCAAGCAATCCTCCCCTCACCCTCCCGAGTAGCTGGGACTACAGGCACATGCCGCCATGCCTGGCTACTTTTTTTTTTTTTTTTTTTTTTTTTTTAAGAGTTGAAGTCCTGCCTGCTATGTTGCCCAGGCTGGTTTCCAACTCCTGAGCCCAAGTGATCCTCCTTCCTTGGCCTCCCAAAGTGCTGGGATTACAGACATGAGCCACTGTACCTGGCCTTTTTTTTCCTTTTTTTTTTTTTCTTGTTCCAGAGAAGCAGAATCAATAAAGGGTGTGTGTGTGTGTGTGTGTGTGTGTGTGTGTGTGTGTGTGTGTGTGTGTGTGTAGAGAGAGAGAGGGAGAAATGGATATAAAGATATGTATTTATTATAAGGAATTGGCTCAGGCCGTTATGGAGACTTAAGTTTCAAGATCTGTAGGATGAGTTGGCAAGCTGGAGACCCAGGAGAGCCCATGGTGTAGATCCAGTCTGAATCTGAAGGCCTGAGAACTCAGAGAGCCATTGATGTAGTTTTAATCCAAAGGCTTGAGACCCACAAAGAACCAGTGTTTCAGTTTGAAGGCAAGAAAAGCTGATGTCCCTGTTAGCAGTCAGACAGGAGGAATTCTCTCTTAGTGTTTATTTTAGTGTTCATTTGTGTGCCTTGTCTTACCAGCTAGTAGGTAAGCATCTTGAGGGCAGGGACTACAAATCATATTTGCTTGTTTATCATCCATAAGCCCTTGCATCCTTACAAGTAGTAAGTACATCTAATATGTAATACTTTTATAAAACAGTAAGATTTTAGAGCTGGAAAGGGTTTTTGACTCTTAGTTAACTGAAACAGAAAGTCTGTTGCATGTGACTATTTTTTGGAAGAACCAGGATCAGAATTTTATTTTCGGTTCCTCATCAAGGGCTTTTTCTAATAATTCTTATTAATAATAAATGATAACTTAAATCATTATCCTATTTTAGAGTTTTCCTGGAATCAGAAACAGGTTTAAAATGGGAAGAGAACCAGCCTTGGCAACATAACATAGTGAGACCCCGTCTCTACAGATAATAAAAATTAGCTGGGCATGGTGGCATGCACCTGTGGTCCCAGCTACTTGGGGGGCTAAGGCAGGAGGATTTCCTGCGCCCAGGAAGTTGAGGCTGCAGTCAGCTGTGATCACACCACTGCACTCCAGCTTGGGTGACAGAGTGAGACCCTGTCTCAAAAAAAAAAAAAAAAGAGTAAAATAATATACCTCTTTCCTTTGTGGTTAGAAGAATAAAATGAAATAATGTATGTGGAATCACTTAGTATAGCGCTTCGATATAGCTGATAGCTGAACAGTTGCTTTTTTTGTACTAGAAAAGTTATTAAAACCTTTTTTCTTTTTTTTGCTTAGGAGCAAGAATCAAAATAGTTTGCAGAGTCCTTTAATGTGGGAAATTAGGCAGTATTCCTGGAGATTTCACCTTTTTCTCCTCTTTTAATTTAAAAATGTGCATGATACATAATTCAGTTATTCATAAGTATTGTGCCAAAAAAAGAACATATTTAATGTGAGATTATGTCATTATTTCCTCAAAGTATGGTATTTGACATGTTAAATTTGCTGATTCATATACAAGATTCCAATTAAGTATTCAAATATAAGGCATCATAACCAAGTAGCAGTTTTATCTTTATGACATGACTGTATTTAAGCACAGGTTGAGGCTATGGAAGGTGATCTTACAGTATCTAAACACTAGAGTAATTTGAACTTAAATACTCTTTAGAACTCTTCAGTCATGGGAAGTGAAATTGATTATTCTCACTTAATTTTTTTTCTGCTGTAGAGTTCTTCGTAAGTACATCTTAAAGCTGTCAAGATGGTTCTAGCAGACCTTGGAAGAAAAATAACATCAGCATTACGCTCGTTGAGCAATGCCACCATTATCAATGAAGAGGTATGTAAAATATTGTATGAAATATATATGATTGTATATTGTCACTAGCATTGGGAAGATGGCTTATTCATAATCCCTGTATTTATATGTATTTTGATGTAGACTTAATACTTGTAGATAAAAGCCTAAAAGTGGATACAGTAAGTAGTGTTTTATTGAGAAATTAACTACAACTTCAAATTTACTTCAACTTTCTATAAAGAATTTTCCAAAAAAAAATCGAAAAAAACCTGACCTTAACTTACATGTAAAAATAACATATTTTATCTTTTGAAAGTGGCTTAAATCTGGAACTGTACTTTTGTTTTCTTTATTGATATAGACCTAAAATTTCATTACTCTGCTTCTTTCTTCTTGGCTAGGCCTGTGCTTATCTGTCCTTTTCTTTGTGACTTTTATTTAGCATTTTTATAAAAGGCTAGCATTTCCATCTTGTCTGTTTTGATTCATTTTCTTTGAAATCTTCAGTTTTTTGGAGATTTTGTAAGCCACTCCTTAGATGATATTAAAATACTTTTCTTCCCGGCTATATTATTTTAAGATATTTCTTTGTTCCATTTGTCCCCCACAGATTGTATCTTAGTGGTTTATTAATTGAAAAAGTTGACTGTGGTTCACAAGTATACTTTATATTTTGTATCAACAATGGAAAAGTACTGAATTTGGTGTTAGAAGACATTGGTTAGTCCCACTGTAGCTATTTAGCAGCTGTACGATGTAAATTGGGGCAACTAAACCTTAGATTCCTTAGTGTATAAAATAGGAAAAATAGCATTTACCATAGAAAATGGTTTTAAGTTTCAAATAAACTTTCTAACTTGGAGGTTAGAAAACTTACGTAGAATTCTTACATGGAATTTGATCTCAATACTAAGCTAACGGAATTAAATAATTTTGAGACCATCTTAGAGATCATTTAGTTCAGCCTCTTATTTAACAGAACCAAAGTCAGTTTCATGTGATTATTTATTTGGAAGAACCAGGATTAGAACCTTTTTTTCCTAGTTCCTCATACAGGGCTTTTTCTAATACTGCTTATTAAAAAATAAATCATAACTTAAATCATTGTTTGGTCTTGTAATTCCAAATATATAAAACGACTTTCCAAACAGTTTTCCCTGTTGTGTAGCCCTTATGTTCTTTGTGTTTATAGTAGAAAGGAAAGGAAACCAGGGGAGGAGTTCTTGGTGGGAGGTAGAGTAACAGCTGTTGCTTAAATTGGCAGCTTCTCTGTTCTTGATACTGTGCTGCTAGCTAATTAACAAGGAGAAAGCCCTCTAGTGAAAGATCAGTTCGAATTTTAGCAGACCCGTTTAATGAGGGATAGAGAAAACTGGTAAGCCTCTCTCTGTAGGGCATATGAAGTGAGTTGAAGGAGAGAGAACATTCAAGAAATATTTGAGGGCCTATGTTTTTGCAGACATTTTTGCTGGCACCAGAGATACAGCGGTGAACAAAATAGACTAAAATTCCTAACCTCATAGAGTTTACATTCTAGTGTGTGAGCACTTTATATACATGAGTGGCTAAAGCCTCATCTTTTCTTAAGACTTTTAATTTTATGACCTTTTAACTACAGTGCCTTGCAATTCAACAAACATATGATGATAATAAGTTATTAATGGAGAGTAGCCTCCTTTCCACCTGTATTCTGCTGCTCTAATAAAAATGACAAGACTGGGTAACTTCCTTCTGTCACATTTACTTCCATAATTGTCCAGTTTTTAAGAAAAGCAATATTAAGCCGGGTGTGGTAGCTCACACCTGTAATCCCAGCACTCTGGGAGGCTGAGGCGGGCGGATCACCTGAGGTCAGGAGTTTGAGACCAGCCTGGCCAACATAGTGAAACTCCATCTCTACTAACAATACAAAAAATTAGCTGGGCGTGGTGGCAGGCGCCTGTAATCCCAGCTACTAGGGAGGCTGAGACAGGAGAATCTCTTGAATCTGGGAGGCGGAGGTTGCAGTGAGCCGAGATCACGCCATTGCACTCCAGCCTGGGCAACAAGAGCGAAACTCTGAAACTCTGTTCCAAAAAAAAAAAAGAAAAGCAAATATTGTAACTATATACCACTACATAATAGTGACAGGAGCTCTTCAATAAAGTAGAAAACATCAAAGGCAACATCTATTTGTAGTAACTTTTTTTGGCTTGAATATTGTCTTTATTATTACTTTGTGTGTATGTGTGTGTGTGTGTGTGTGTGTGTGTGTGTGTGTGTGTGGTTTTTTTTTTTTTTTTTTGAGACAAAGTCTCACTCTGTCACCCAGGCTGGAGTGCAGTGGCACTATCTTGGCTCACTGCAGCCTCCGCCTCCCGAGTTCAAGTGATTCTCCTGCCTCAGCCTCCTGAGTAGCTGGGATCACAGGCACGTGCCACCATGCCCAGCTCATTTTTGTATTTTTAGTAGAGATGAGGTTTCGCCATGTTGGCCAGGCTGTTCTTGAACTCCTGACCTCAAGTGGTCTGCCCACCTCGGCCTCCCAAAGTGTTGGGATTACAGGCGTGAGCCACCATGCCGGGCCTATAATTACTTTTATATAGGAATAAAATTGTGGCAATTAATACTTGGGTGTAAAACTAAATGGGGTCTCTTATTTTGACAAAATGACTAAACATTTAATAAAATTATCTCTCCAAGAACTAACTGAAAAACCCAGTAGTGTGGTATTACTAAGCTGTGGTTATGTAAGTGATCAACAATTGTTTTTATGGAACTGAAATGAAACATTGGGTGCTTTAAATTTCATTTATTTCTTTATTTTCAGGTATTGAATGCTATGCTAAAAGAAGTCTGTACCGCTTTGTTGGAAGCAGATGTTAATATTAAACTAGTGAAGCAACTAAGAGAAAATGTTAAGTAAGTTAAATCAATCAGGTAAAACACAGGCACAGTTTAGTTTAGTTTACTGGAAAGAGGTGCTAACTGGAAGTGTTTGCTGTATCAGGAATCATTTCTGCTCTGCACCACTGGAAAAGTGCTGTGTTGGAGCTCATATGTTGGGCGAGAGCATGTGTAGTACGTTTCCATAATGATGGTTCAAAGAATAAACTACATGTGATTTTCATTTAATTACATATTTTTTTCTATTTTACTAGTCTTTTATTTGAATGGATTTGATTAAATACTGTATAGTATTTTAATATATAAAGCCTTTTAACAATTCAGGCTCTTCATAGAAAAGTACTGCCATTTTATTCTTTTTAGGCTTAAGATGATCTTAATCAACCTTCATTATTGGAGGACTGTATTCTCTTTTGTTCTCCTTTTGGTTTCTCTGTTTCATATTTGAATGAAGAATTAATGTGTTTGGTCTCAGTTATCATATTCATTGGGAGAGGCACTGAGTTGGTAGGACACACAGAGCAATACAGGTAGCTCAGTTAACTGCTTGAGTCTTATCTCTTACCATGCTTTAGACATCTCTCCTTGTATTGTTAGACTGAGATTAGTTGTGGGACTACCAGCATTTAAGCATTTAGACATAGAGGAAGTAGCCGGGCGCAGTAGCTCACGCCTGTAATCCCAGCACTTTGGGAGGCTGAGGTGGGTGGATCACGAGGTCAGGAGATCGAGACCAGCCTGGCCAACATGGTGAAACCCTGTTTCTACTAAAAATACAAAAAATTAGCCGGGCATGGTGGCACACGCCTGTAATCCCAGCTACTCAGGAGGCTGAGGCAGGAGAATTGCTTGAGCCTGGGAGACAGAGGTTGCAGTGAGCCGAGATCATGCCACTGCACTCCATCCTGGCTGATAGTGAGACTGTCTCAAAAAAAAAAAAAGAAAAAAGAAAGAAAAGAAATAGAGAAAGTAGTCCTGATTTCTGTTGTAAAGATATATAAAATATATAAGCTGCAAGAAAAGTAAATAAAACTAGTTCTTTGTGGTAATATTAGGACAAATTTATATTTATACTTTCAAGTGTAATCCTTGAAAACCAAAGTCTTGCATCTAATACTTCATGGGAAAACTCTTTATGATATAGACTTACGAGTCTGTAGTAATTACATGCATGTTAATTGGAAGACTATTAATATGAATGACTGAATGTTGTACATTCTTTGGAGCAGAAGCTTCTTTTTCTTAGAGTTTCTTAACTGATTTTCTCCTCCCCACCCCAATCACCAACCACCATCATAAAGGTCTGCTATTGATCTTGAAGAGATGGCATCTGGTCTTAACAAAAGAAAAATGATTCAGCATGCTGTATTTAAAGAACTTGTGAAGGTAAAAGTATATGAAGATTATGCTGTGATTCTATACTCAGTGGATAAAAAAGCGTTAGCACTACAAATATTTCAGAATTTTTAAATATGTTTTTTATGGAATATTCATCTGTATTAAAATATTAATGAAAGGATTATTGAGTTTTCTTAGGGACCTTTTTTTTTTTTTTTTTGAGAAGGAGTTTCACTCTTGTTGCCCAGGCTGGAGTGCAACCTCCGCCTCCCGGGTTCAAGCAATTCTCCTGCCTCAGCCTCCCGAGTAGCTGGGATTACAGACGTGCACCACCATGCCCGGCTAATTCTGTATTTTTAGTAGAGACGGGGTTTCTCTATGTGGGTCAGGCTGGTCTTGAACTCCTGACCTCAGGCGATCCGCCCGCTTCGGCCTCCCAAAGTGCTGGGATTATAGGTGTGAACCACTGCACCTGGCCAGGACCTATTTTTATTGTAGACTTTACTGAATATACATAATTCTGAGTGCAGATATGAAAGCTAGTACTATTCCTGCAAAAAATGCCAAAGCCAAGATGCGATGAGTGAAATTTCACTACAGATTTGTTGATGGAAGGGCCTAAGTTTTTCCTCGTTCACTATCATGTTTTGCCTAGTGATGGTCCTGCTTTTGTATGGCAAAGTCACATATAGCAAGTATTCTTTTCTACACTGTTCGTTGTGTAAGGAATTCCCTTTGCAAAGACCATGTATCCCAATTCTTGCCTAGATTATGAGCAATTTTGAATTAGTGAAAGTTTTATTTTCAAATAGTAAATATAGCCAGTTGCCCTGCCTCACCTTATTGCTGATCATGCAAATTATGGTGAAAATCTTAGAGCTTAAAAAATATATATGGGCTCAGTTGTAGAAAAAAAAAGAAAGGAGCTGTTAAAAAAATTATTTTAGTCCAGGCATGGTGGCTCATGCCTGTAATCACAGTGCTTTGGGAGGCGGAGGTGGGAGGATTGCTTGAGGCCAGGAGTTTGAGACCAACCAGGGCAACATAGTGAGAACCAGTCTCTATAAAAAAAAAAAAAATTGATAAAAATAGCTGGTGCAGGCCGGGTGCAGTGGCTCACATCTGTAATCCCAGCACTGTGGGAGGCTGAGATGGGTAACCACCTGAGGTCAGGCGTTCGAGACCAGCCTGGCCAACATGGTGTAACCCCATCTCTGCTAAAAATACAAAAATTAGCCGGGCATGGTGGTGCACATCTGTAGTTCCAGCTACTCCGGAGGGTGAGGCAGGAGTATTGCTTGAGCCCAGGAGTTCGGGGGTGCAGTGAGCCGTGATTGTGCCACTGCACTCCCGACTGGGGGAGAGGGTGAGACCCTGTCTTTAAAAAAAAACAAACAAAAAAAATTTTTTAGAGCATTAGATGCCCACTAGTTCTACAATCATTTTTCCCCCACATTGTTTGAATATTTTCTTTTTTTTTTTTTGACTCTCCCTCTGTCACTCAGGCTGAAGTGCAATGGCATGATCTCTGCTCACTGCAACCTCTGCCTGCCAGGTTCAAGCAATTCTCCTGCCTCAGCCTCCCAAGTAGCTGGGATTACAGGTGTGTGCCACCACGCCCAGCTAATTTTTTTTTGTATTTTTAGTTGAGATGGGGTTTCACCATGTTGGCCAGGATGGTCTCTATCTCTTGACCTAGTGATCTGCCTGCCTTAGCCTCCCAAAGTGCTGGGACTACAACCATGAGTCACTGTGCCTGGCCTCCTTTTTTTTTTTTTTTTTTTTTTTTAAGAGACAGTCTGACTCTGTTACCCAGGCTGGAGTGTAGTGGTGCAATCATGGCTCACTGTAGCCTCAACCTCCTGGGCTCAAACAATCCTCCTGCCTCAGTGCCCCCCAAGTAGCTGGGGCTACAGGTACATGCCACCACGCCCAGCTAGTTTTTGCATTTTTTGTAGAGACAAGGTTTTGCCATGTTGCCCTAGCTGGTCTTGAACTCCTGACCTCAAGTGATCCACCTGCCTTGGCCTCCCAAAGTGTTAGGATTACACATGTCAGCCACTTTGCCTGGCCAGAAATTTTTATTGTTAGGGGCTCGTAACTGTAGGCAATTCTGGAGCATCAAGTGCTTTATTAAGAAGCATTTATTGAGTACCTACTTTATTTCAGGAAGTATGCCAAATGCTGCTGATAGCAGAAATAAATGAGACTGGTTCTTATACTCAGATGCTTATGGTCTAGAGGAATGGTGTACAAAGCAAGGTCAAAATTATTTTCATAATACTAAGACATTATTTGACTTTTGTACTATGTTGACATTTGCACTGAAAACAATGGTAGGTAAAACTCCCTGGTATGAATCAAGGCAGTGGCACCAGATGATACTAGTAGTTTCTGGACTCTCTATTTATTTATTTATTTTTGAAGACAGAGTCCCTGTCATTCAAACTAGAGTGCAGTGGCGTGATCAGAGCTCACTGCGGCCTCAAATTCCTGGGCTCGAGCGATCTTCTCTCCTCAGCCTCCAGAGAAGCTAGGACTACAGGCATGCACCACCATGTTTTTTGTTTGTTTGTTTTTTGTTTTTTTGGTTTTTTTGGTTTTTTTTTTTTTTGAGACAGGGTCTTACTCTGTTGCCCAGGCTGGAGTGCAGTGGTGTGATCATGGCTTGCTGCAGCCTCATCCTCCCTGGGCTCAGGTGATCCCTACACCTGAGCCTCCTAGTAGCTGGGACTACTACTCTTTGAGCCCAGGAGTTTGAGACCAGCCTGAGCAACATGGTGAAACCCCATCACTACAAAAAATACAAAAATTAGCTGGGAACGATGGCTTACACCTGTAAACCGAGTTACTCGGGAGGGTAAGGTGGGAGAATCGCTTGAATCCGGGAGGTGGAGGTTGCAGTGAGCCGAGACCACGCCACTGCACTCCAGCCTGGGTGACAGAGCGAGACCTGTCTCAAAATAAATAAATAAATAAATAAATAAAGCTTCCAGGCATGGTGGCGCATGCCTGTAATCCCAGTACTTTGGCAGGCCAAGGCAGGTGGATCACCTGAGGTCAGGAGTTTGAGACCAGCCTGACCAACATGGTGAAACTCCGTCTCTACTAAATAAAAAAAAAAAAAATTAGCCATGTCTAGTGGCACATGCCTGTAATCCCAGCTACTTGGGAGGCTGAGGCAGGAGAATGGCTTGAACCTGGGAGGCAGAGGTTGCAGTGAGCTGAGATGACACCATTGCACCCAGCCTAGGCCACGAGAGCGAAACTCCATCTAAAATAAAAATAAAAAGGACTTGTATCTATCATCTGTCTCTATCATGAGTTTGACAGTATCCCAGTACTTAGTTTTCTGATGAGGGTCAGTATTGATATTAATGAATAAAGTTTTTTGATTATGTATAGTGAAATATGTCAATGACGAGAGATCTGCCTAACTCAGTGAACCAATGTTTTGTGAATAGCTAGTGCGTGATGTTACAAGATCATTTACCAGTATAAGATTCATTTAAAATGCAAGATGGAATCACAGATTTTAATGTAACGAGTATAAAAGTTTATATGGTTTCAGATTCTACATTGCAGCTAACCTTTACAAACTACCATGATTATAAAGAAGCCCTGAGACCAAGAAGTTGAAAACTGCTGTTCTTGATGGTGGGAGGAAGAGAAGACAAATTTATAAAATTATTTACTAAAACATATATGTTCCAAATAATGGGTCCATAGAGAGCTGGGAGTTTTTGCCATGACATGTAGAAAATGGAGATGAATGTGGAGCAGCATCAGTGTACTGAAAGGATCTATGAGGAAGGGAAGTGGATTTATGTTTAAGACAGATTTTGCCTATTTCAAAAGTTTGCCTAAGGGTAGGTTGATGCCTAGGAAAGGTATAAGAAAATGTATTTTCCTCTCTTCTCTACCTCATGGCTTTCCTTGAAATTCAAGTATAATATAGATGATGTAATTTTTATGGATGGCTTGGCAGACTTTCTCTCAAAGGTTTAGACTTTGTGGACCACGTGATTTCTATTGCAACTACTCAGCTCTGCTGTTGTGGCACAAAAGCAGTAAATGGGTCAGGCACAGTGGCTTATACCTGTAATCTCAGCACTTCAGGAGGCCAAGGCTGGAGGATTACTTGAGGCCAAGAGTTCAAAACCAGTCTGGGCAACATAGCAATACTCCATCTCTACAAACAAATACTAAAGTTAGCCAGACATCATGGCATATGCCTGTAGTTCCAGCTACTCAGGAGGCTGAGATGGTAGGATCGCTTGAGTCCAAGAGTTCGAGACTGCAGTAAGCCATGATTGATTGTACCAGTGCATTCTAGCCTGGGTAACAGAGTAAGACCCTGTCTCAAAAAAACAAAAAAAGTGGTAAATGAATGGGCATGACTGTATTAGATTGAAATTTTTTTCAATGTAATAACTAGAAATGTAATAACTTTACAGCCTGTTGCCCAGGCCGGAGTACAGTGGCCTGATGATAGCTCATTGCAGTCTCAAACTCCTGGGCTCAAGCAATCTTACTGCCTCAGCCTCCTTGATTAGCTGGGACCACAGGTGCGTGCCACCACACCTGGCCAATTCTTTAAATTAGTAGAGACAAGATCTTGCTATGCTGCCCAAGCTGGTCTCAAACTCCTGGTCTCAATGAATCCTCCTCCTTTGTCCCCCCGCTGAAAGGGCCGGGATTATAGGCATGAGCCACCACACCCAGCCTCCATTGAAACTTTATTTGCACATAGTTTACCAACCCCTGATCTAGGACATTAACTATTATAGATTTATTATTTTATCATACATTTCAAGCTCCAAACAACTGACCCCCAAGTGAATTATTTTTTAAATGTCCCATGCTTTTTTTTGTTTTTGTTTTTGAGATGGAGTCTCGCTCTGTCACCCAGGCTGGAGTGCGGTGGCGCGATCTCGGCTCACTGCAAGCTCCGCCACCCGGGTTCATGCCATTCTCCTGCCTCAGCCTTCAGAGTAGCTGGGACTACAGGCGCCTGCCACCACGCCCGGCTAATTTTTTGTATTTTTAGCAGAGATGGGGTTTCACCGTGTTAGCCAGGATGGTCTCAATCTCCTGACCTTGTGATCCACCTGCCTCTGCCTCCCAAAGTGCTGGGATTACAGGCATGAGCCACCGCGCCCGGCCCTAAATGTCCCATGCTTTTTTAATTTGGAGACTGTCCCTATATGAACCTCAGTTTTCCACTGACTGATTTTAAAGTTGATTATTATTTTTTACTAGCCCTCTAAATGTAGTAACTTTACAGTAAATATTTGGCATTGGAGAATTTACAGTTTGACCTGGAAAATCTTTCACATATAATCTGTAATTTTGTTAAGTAAATATTTGTCAAATTGAATATGGACATTAGCACTCTCGAGTATGGCATCCACTAGCCACATGTGGTTATTGAGCATTTGTAATGTGGCTAGTCCAAACTGAGATGTGTTTTACATATAAAATACACACCAGGTTTTCAGACTTGGTATGGGAAAAGAAATGTAAAATATCTCATTAATTTTTTATATAGATTACATATGAAAATGATAATTTTTTAGATGTATTGGGGTAGATACTAAAATTAGTATCACCTGTTTTTACTTTTTAAATGTCAGTACTGGAAATTTTAAAATTCATGTGTAGCCTTCATATACATTTTTGTATTACATTTCTGTAGTGCTGATGTAGATTCCTCCTGTGGCTTAAATTTGGTTTCACATTTTATACTCCAGCTTGTTCTAAAAAATGCTGTGAGATCTTTACCTCTGAATTGGTTTGGAGTATAGACTTGATTATGACTTCTTAAATTTATGTTCTTAAATTTTACTCTGTCTTTACAAAGGGGAATAATTGTATTATAATAGCTTATGGTAGCTTTTACATGAAAATGTCCTTATTTATATAATTTAAAAGTTGTGGCAGCACAGTGGCTCACGCCTGAAATCCCAGCACTTTGAGGCTGAGACAGAAGGATTGCTTGAACCCAGAAGTTGGAAACCAGCCTGGGCAACATGGCAAGACCCTGTCTCTACAAAAAAAAATTTTTTTAGTTAACTAGGTGTGGTGGCGTGTGCCTGTAGTCCCAGTTACTTGGGAGGCTGAAGTGGGAGCATCATTTGAGCCCAGGAGGTTGAGGCTGCAGTGAGCTCTGATTATGCCACTGCACTCCAGCCTGGGTGACAAGAGTGTGACCCTGTCTCAAAAAAGGAAAAAAAAGTTGTGGGGAAGGGGTTTTGAATTTATATGTATGTTAACCTGATTTTATTTTTAATTTATTTTTGGTATTTAGCTTGTAGACCCTGGAGTTAAGGCATGGACACCCACTAAAGGAAAACAAAATGTGATTATGTTTGTTGGATTGCAAGGGAGTGGTAAAACAACAACATGTTCAAAGGTAAATTGAACTTAATTTAAAAAGAAGTCATATGGAAGATAGGTTTGTATAAATCAAGTTTTGTATTTAATATAAAAATGTAAAGCCTGGCTTTATAATGTTGAAATATATATTTTATTAATTATAATTATTAGAATGCATTTATATATTATAAATAATGTTATTTTATATAAAATATATTTACATAAAATATATTTATATTATAATAAAATATATTTACATAAAATATATTTTATTAAAATATATTTATATTATAATAAAATATATTTACATAAAATAGATTTTATTAAAATATATTTACATAAAATAGATTTTATTAAAATATATTTACATAAAATAGATTTTATTAAAATATATTTACATAAAATAGATTTTATTAAAATATATTTACATTAAAATATATTAATAACATATTAAGATATAAAGCCAGGCTTTATAATATTGTTGCTTTATAATTTTGTGTTACTTGATGTATGTTTTTAAATAGTTTTTTTTAGGATAAGAGGAGAGGTCCTCATAGTTTCTTATGATTTTTTTTTTGTAAGAAGGTAGACATCTGTAACTATGCTATTTCTTTTATTAAAAAAAGACCATTCCTATCCTTTCAGGAAGTGAGTGTGTGATTTTTGGAGAAGAGAACATGGAGTTTACTTTATCCTCTATGGCTCAGGACTCCTTTTTCAGGTTCCCACCCAGCATACTATAGATCTTCATTTTGTGTATCCTTATGCCATATTTTTTTAGACAGAGTCTTACTTTTATTGCCCAAGCTTGAGTGCAGTGGCACGCAAACATAGCTTACTGTAGCCTTGACCGCTTTATGCTAATTTTTAATTCAGTTTACCACTCCTTTCTCCCAAATTGCATGTCTCAACAATATTACAAGATTTTTCCACAAGCTTCACGTATGTTACAGTTTGAGAGGGAAAAAGAGAAAAGGATGATTTTTAGATCGTTTTGTTGTTGTTTGTTTTTAATTAACATTAATAGTAGTTAACATTTTTTGCTATGATCATTTGCTACTTGATCATTTTATATTTGAATGCTACTGCATGACAATTAGAATATAAAACTTTGTAGGAAATTTGCCACATTCAAAAATCTTTAATAATATTTTCAGGAGAATTATAAGCAGTTTTATTTTACTCCTTAGGTAAATAATAAGGAAAAACAGAAAAAATTATATGTATAGTTTGTTATATTTTATGATATTATATTTTTAAATCTTTTCTCACCCAGCTAGCATATTATTACCAGAGGAAAGGTTGGAAGACCTGTTTAATATGTGCAGACACATTCAGAGCAGGTAATGTCTTGAAATTTGAAAATTGTTTTATATAATTTTTATTTTCAAGTTTGAGGATTCATGAACTCTTTATCTTCCAGGGGCTTTTGACCAACTAAAACAGAATGCTACCAAAGCAAGAATTCCATTTTATGGAAGGTAGGTTACTGTTTTTTATTTTAACACTTATATCCCTCTTCTTGTCTGTCAGCTTTTTTTTTTTTTTTTTTTTGAGACGGAGTCTCCCTCTGTCACCCAGGCTGGGGTGCAATGGTGCGATCTTGGCTCACTGCAACCACCACCTCCTGGGTTCAAGTGATTCTCCTGTCTCAGCTTCCTGAGTAACTGGGATTACAGGTGCCCACCACCATGCCCATCTAAATTTTTGTATTTTTAGTAGAGACAGGGTTTTACCATGTTGGCCAGGCTGGTCTCGAACTCCTGACCTCAGGTGATCCACCTGCCTCAGCCTCCCAAAGTGCTGGAATTACAGGCATGAGCCACCATGCCTGACCATGCCCTGCTAATTTTTTTAAAAACTTTTTGTAAAGACCCTGTCTTATAAAATATCCTTTGTTGCCCAGGCTGGTCCCAAGCTCCTGGGCTCAAATGATCCTCCCACCTCAGCCTCCCGAAGGGCTGGGATTACAGGCTTGAGCCACTGTATGCAGCCACACACATGTTCTTATTAAGTGTATTTCTATCTGAGTTTTTGGTGGTGGTTCTTAATTTAGGGGAAAAACTTTTTTTGTAACATTATGTGTCTTTATTTGATAATAGTGATCTGCATATAAAAAGTTGCCACTAATCAGAAGAGTGCAAATTAAAATATCTCATTTCTTGATTTTCAAGTTGACAAAGATTGTATTGGGGATTGTGAAAATGTAGTGAAATAGGGATGAGATTAAACTTTTATGGAAGAGATTTGCCTCATAAAAGCAAAAAGCCTTAAATGGTCATACCATTTGTTCCAAATTCAGCTTATAAGAGGTGTCATAACATAGTGTCAAAGAAGAAACATTTATGTACCAATTATATTGGCGGTATTTTTAATATCAGGAAATTGGAAACACTGCCATGCACAGTGGCTCATATCTGTAATCCCAGCACTTCGGGAGGCTGAGGTGGGAGGATTGCTTGAGCCCAGAAGTTGGACACCAGCCTGGGCAATATAGCAAGACCTCATCTCTACAAAAAATAAATTTAAAAAATTTTCAGGCTGGGCGCACCACGTTGGGAGGCTGAGGCGGGCGGATTATGAGGTCAGGAGTTCGAGACCAGCCTGGCCAACACAGTGAAACCCTGTCTCTACTAAAAATACAGAAATTAGCTGGGCGTGGTAGTGGGTGCCTGTAATCCTAGCTACTTGGGAGGCTGAGGCAGAAGAATCGCTTGAATCTGGGAGGCGAAGGTTGCATTGAGCCGAGATCGTGCCACTACCCTTCAGCCTGGGTGACAGAGCTAGACACCGTTTAAAAAAAAAAATTTTTTTAGGCCGGGCACAGTGGCTCACACCTGTAATCCCCGTACTTTGGGAGGCTTAGGCGGGTGGATCACCTGAGGTCGGGAGTTCAAGACCAGCCTGACCAACATGGAGAAAGCCCGTTTCTACTAAAAATACAAAATAACTGGACGTGGTGGCGTGTGCCTGTAATCCCAGCTACTCAGGAGGCTGAGGCAAGAGAATTGCTTGAACCCGGGAGGCAGAGGTTGCGGTGAGCTGAGATGGCATCATTGCACTCCACCATGGGCAACAAGAGCAAAACTGTGCCTCAAAATAAATAAATAAATAAATTTAAAAAAGAAATTGGAGGCCAGGCATGATGGCTCATGCATGTGATCCCAGCATTTTGGGAGGCCAAGGCGGGCATATCATGAGGTCAGAAGTTTGAGACCATCCTGACCAACATGGTGAAACCCCGTCTTTACTGAAAATACAAAAATTAGCCAGGCCTGGTGGCAGGCGCCTGTAATCCTAGCCACTTGGGAGGCTGAGGCACGAGAATCCCTTGAACCCAGGAGGCAGAAGTGGCAGTGAGCCGAGATCGCACCACTGCACTCCAGCCTGGGCAACAGAGTGAAACTTTGTCTCAAAAATAAATAAATAAATACATAAAAATTAAAAAAAAAATTGGAAAAACGTCAAATGTCTAATAGTAGGGCGTTATTTAATAAATGATACAGCCATCTGATAGAATGCTGTATAACCTCAAGGTTATGTGTTACAGAAATATTTTTTCTTTTTTCACCCGTGTTAATTTTTAAAGAGACATGCCATGGTCTTGCTCTGTTGCCCAAGTTGGAGTGCAGTTGCATGATCATAAGCTCACTGCAGTGTCGAACTCATGGACTCAAGTGGTCCTCCTGCCTCAGTCTCCCAAGTGGCTGGGACTATAGGCATATTCCACTATGCCAGCTAGTTTTTTTTTTTTGTAGAGATGGAATCTCACTATATTGCTCAGGCTTGTTACAAGAATATCTACTGGTTTTATAAAATGCTTCCAAATGGATGTTAAATGGAAAAATGTGTGAAACACTGTGAGCATGAGTTCAATTATTAAAGAAGATATAAAAAATAAATTTGAAGGAGACACAATTCATTCAAAAAAGACATGCAGTAGAATCATACTGGGTTTTGGAATTGGAAAATTGGATAATGCTTCATGCTTTTTTAGAAGTAGATTCTGTATTTAATACTTTATAGATTTTCCTCTTCTAAATTGAAATTGGGGTCATTTTGGCTTTTTCAAAATAGATTATAGGTAAATTAACTTTCCGAATTAGTAGTATTTGGAAGTTTTGTCGTTTTGTTAAATCATTTGTCCATGTTATATAGCTATACAGAAATGGATCCTGTCATCATTGCTTCTGAAGGAGTAGAGAAATTTAAAAATGAAAATTTTGAAATTATTATTGTTGATACAAGTGGCCGCCACAAACAAGAAGACTCTTTGTTTGAAGAAATGCTTCAAGTTGCTAATGCTATAGTAAGTAGCTTTCAATGTAACACTATTATTAGGACTTTGGTTAATTTAATTATAAAACCAGGTTGAGTATATGACCAATATAAATTATTCTTTGCCTGTGAGGCAGATCCCCAGTAATTTATTTTTGTTTTGGGCACCTATATCTATGTGGTAGGGACTTAATTTCATTATTTTTGTTCTCCATTAAATATAAAATTTTCATAAGTATGAAAAAGTAATTTCCTTTCTCAGTCATCCTATTAGTATGCATAAGAAAACATTTAAAAATTAGTAATTAGGCCGGGTATGGTGGCTCACATCTATAATCCCAGCACTTTGGGAGGCCAGGGCGGATGGATCACAAGGTCAGGAGTTCAAGATCAGCCTGGCCAACATGGTGAAACTCCGTCTCTACTAAAAATACAAAAATTATCTGGGCATGGTGGTGGGTGCCTGTAATCCCAGCTACCTGGGAGCTGAGGCAGGAGAATAGCTTGAACCCGGGAGGCAGAGGTTGCAGTGAGCCAAGATCACGCCATTGCACTCCAGCCTGGGCAACAAGAGCAAAACTCCATCTCCAAAAAAAAAAAAAAAAAAAATTAGTAATTAGCCTTTAGTTTCTGTTGAATTTCCTTTTTAAAAATTCAGTTGGAAATACTTAGATTTTTAAATACTTTAAAAAATATTAATTATCATTTTGTGTCTCTTTAAAAGTGTGATGGAAACAATTTGGGGGAGGAGAAGCAGTTTATAGATATCTGCAGCATATATTATTAGGAACCCACGTCTTGACATTGGAGTGTTAGCAGTAATTCTTTGGTTTGTGGTTAATGCTAATAAGTTTCTTTTCAGTTATGTTGTTATTTTGACCAAGTTGAGCAGATCTAAGGGAAGTAGCCTCAAGTATATTTTATCCGTTTTCAGTATACACTCTTCTACTTTGATTTGCCTTTGTACTTTTTTTGCCTAGATTGCCATTCTTTCAAATCTTTGCATATAACCTTTTCCTCTTTATTCAGGCCTCAGCTCAAACATTAGGTCCAGAGAGGCCTTCCCTGACTACCTTACTAGAAAATGCCTCCCATACTTCAAAACTGATACTCTGTATCCCATTTTCGTTGTTATACATCTGAAATGTTTATCTATTTATTATATATGTCCTCTGACTAGAATGCAAGTTTCTTAGGACAAATATTTTCTCATTTACCTTTTTGTTCTCATGACCTAGATGGTACCTGATAATACATAGTACTTCAACAAATATTTATGGATTGAATAATTATTTATAGTGTAAATGTTGTAGTTTTTTTTTTTTTTTTTTTGAGATGGAGTTTCACTCTTGTCGCCCAGGCTGGAGTGCAGTGGCATGATCTCAGCTGACTGCAACCTCTGCCTCCCGGGTTCAAGTGATTCTCCTGCCTGAGCCTCTCAAGTAGCTGGGATTACAGGCACTCGCCACCATGCCTGGCTAATTTTTGTATGCTAATTTTTGTATTTTTAGTAGAGACGGGGTTTTCACCATGTTGGCCAGGCTGGTCTTGAACTATCTCAGGTGATCCACCTGGCTCGGCCTCCCAAAGTGCTGGGATTACAGGCATGAGCCACTGCACCTGGCTCTAAATATTGTTTTATAGCTTCTAATGATGACATTTGCTTAGGATCAATAAAAATCTTTTCTAAAGTATCTTTTCTATTTAAACTTTCTAGCAACCTGATAACATTGTTTATGTGATGGATGCCTCCATTGGGCAGGCTTGTGAAGCCCAGGCTAAGGCTTTTAAAGATAAAGTAGATGTAGCCTCAGTAATAGTGACAAAACTTGATGGCCATGCAAAAGGAGGTGGTGCACTCAGTGCGTAAGTATCATTGATACTGTTGTCCTCTGTCTTGGGATTATATGGGGAAGGATATGTGTTTATAGCTTTCATATTGATCATTTAAAATATGTTTCAATAGTGAGCCTAATATGGTTTATAAAGAAAGTTTAAATAGAAACAATTTTGGAGCCTGTCTGATATAGGTCTATTATAACTTGTGAAATGAAACTTGAGTTTTGTACCTTTGTCTAATTAGCTTTGGAGGCGGATTCACTTCGAATTTCAGATCTGCTGGAAATTTGTGGGGTTCTTTTGAGGTTATTTTATATTTTCTTTTTTTTTCCAGAGTCGCTGCCACAAAAAGTCCGATTATTTTCATTGGTACAGGGGAACATATAGATGACTTTGAACCTTTCAAAACACAGCCTTTTATTAGCAAACTTCTTGGTATGTACAGTGGTGGGGATATAGAAAAATCTCCAAGAAATACGATGTATCTTTAGGACAAAATAGGATTTTAATTCTGTCCTCACTAATTTAAGCACATCATTTCTTTCTGTGACTTAGTTTCCTTACCTGTAAAATAGAGATAATGGTTATCTGCCCTCTGTGGTGAAAGTGGTAAAATGAGGTATCTAGTAGAAAGTTCTTTGGAAAAGTTTTAGAGCACAGTACAAAAACAAGTGGTTTTAATAATAGTGGATGTAAGGGCAGTAATACTTTGGCAATGTCTCAAGGTGGTATAGTTAGAGAGCATGGAATTTGGAGTTAAACCCTGGGCTGCAGTCCTTGCTTTGCCACTTGTTTGTTGCCACTTAACTTTTTTTTTTTTTTTTTTTGAGACGGAGTTTCGCTCTTGTCACCCAGGCTGGAGTGCAATGGCGGGATCTCAGTTCACTGCACCTTCAGCCTCCCGGGTTCAAGCGATTTTCCTGCCTTAGCCTCCCAGGTAGCTGGGATTACAGGCGTGCACCACCAGGTCCAGCTAATTTTTTTTTATTTTTAGTAGAGACGGGGTTTCACCATGTTGGCCAGGCTAGTCTCAAACTCCTGACCTCAGGTGATCCACCCACCTTGGCCTCCCAAAGTGCTGGGATTACAGGCATGAGCCACCGCTCCTGGCCATGCCACTTAACTTTCTTAGCTTTGGTTTTCTCATTTGTGTAGTGTAGTAAGAATACCTAACCTATTATAACCTCACAAGGTTATTATGTATGTGAATGTGTTTTGTATAATGTGAAGCAGGGTATAGTATTAGTTGTTAATTTTTCTTTTTTGTATCTTATAGGTATGGGCGACATTGAAGGACTGATAGATAAAGTCAACGAGTTGAAGTTGGATGACAATGAAGCACTTATAGAGAAGTTGAAACATGGTATATGAGTGACAAAAAAGCACTTCATCTCAGATTTCTTCCATTGATTTTTTTTATAAAGTTACTATTAAGTTATTTGAAATGTAATATCTGTTAGAGTCAGATCTTCCACTGCTTATTATTTTAGATGATTTATATGCAAATCATTTAAAATCTCAGGTACCTGAGCAGTTACAGAATTCAGTGTTTTTATTTTCTTTATTGTAATAAAATTAAGATTAAAATAAGGCTTTCACTAGGTTCCTTGAAGTTTTTCTGTTTTTTAAGACAGAGTCTCACTCTGTTACCCAGGCTGGAGTGCAGTGGTGCAATCTTGGCTCACCGCAAACTCCACCTCCTGGGTTCAAGTGATTCTCCTGCCTCAGCCTCCTGAGTAGCTGGGATTACGGGCACGTACCACCAGGCCCGGCTAATTTTTGTATTTTTAGTAGAGATGGGTTTTGCCATGTTGGCCAGGCTGGTCTTGAACTGCTGACCTCAGGTGATCCACCCACCTCAGCCTCCCAAAGTGCTGAGATTACAGGTGTGAACCACTGTGCTTGGCCGGTTCCTTGAAGTTAAACAGGTTAAAAGTAAGTTAGAACACAAGGATGAAATTAAATATACCACATTTTCTTTACCCCACATGAAAGACCACTCCTGTAGAGAAGGATATTATTCTGATTAGGAGCTCAGGTTCTTAAATATAACATACCTGTTTTTGTATCTCTGATCTATTTTTTAGCTTTATAACTTTTTAAATTACTTAGCCTCAATTTTGTCATCTATAAAACGTACATAATACTAACTACTTCATATGGTTGTGAAGATTGCATTCGCTGATGCATGTACAATGTCTGGCACATCATAAACACTCAATGTATATTATTCTCAACCATTCCAGTTGTTCTAAAAATAATCTTTAATTACCGTAGCAACTATTCTGCCTCTTTGCTTCTTCTCACTCATCTTACCAGATAATTGTGCCTTTACTTTTCTCTTAAATGCTGGTGTTTCTCAGGGATCATTCGAAGTTATCTTTCTCAGGAGCTTCAGACTCATGTATCTGTGTTTACTAGACCATTCTTGGATGTTTCATAGACATCTCAAATTCAGCATATCCTTATTCCCATCCCAACCTCTCACCTCGTTGTCTTATCAATGAATATTAATATCATTTATATTGTTGCCAGAGTCAGAAACTTGGGTGTCATTATTATTTCTTCCTCACTCTGCCCACTCCTTTCTCCATCAGTTAACTAGTCCAAGTGTTTCCACCTCCTAAATATCTCCATTCCATCCCCTTCTCTGTAGCTGCCCTTCAACTATGCTAGTTCATCTCTTTCCTAGATCTTCTTATTGTAAGTCTTTCAACAGATCTTCCATCTTCCTGTACTCTTCCCCTTTGATGTATTTTTTCATACTACAGCCCAGAATAATCTTTCAAAACTGCAAATCTGATCCCATTACTGCTTTTCTTAAAATTCTTTAGTGGCTTTCTCTTGCCCTTTTAAAGTTTTTAACTGATTTTACTGTCTAGCTCACATCTTCCATGTTGTGTTTTAGCATTGTTGTTCTTAGTATTCTGTGTGCCAGCTATGCTGGACTTCTTTTAGTTTCTCAAATGTACATTCCTGTCTCTCACATCTGGGCTGTTGCCTTTGCCAGTCCCTCTATCTCTCTTCTTACCTCTGCCATCATCTCCTCTGGCCAAGATGGCTAACTGCTACTTGCACTTCAGATTTCTCCTTAAATGTCCTTCTTCAGGGACATTTCACCTGAACCCTAGACTGAGTTGGAACCTTCTGACAGATGTTTCTATCACTTCCTACAATTAATTTTTATATTATTCAGCACAATTATTTGATGTCTGTTTTTCCTGCTTGAAGGTGAAGGTAGAGGTCATAGCTGGGTTACTCATTTTTTATGTTCACAGTACCTAGCACAGTGTCTGGCACATAGTAGGCCTTCAGCAACTATTGAATGAATGAATTTATCCTTTGTTGCCTGTCTCTTTGCCCCTTTTTTTTCTTTTCTTTTTTTTTTTTTTTCTTCTTTTTTTGAGACAGAGTTTCACTCTTGTTGCCCAGGCTGGAGTGCATTGGCACAATCTCAGCTCAGTGCAACCTCCGCCTCCCAGTTTGAAGCAGTTCTCCTGCCTCAGCCTCCCCATTAGCTGGGACTACAGGCATGCACTGCCACGCCCGGCTAATTTTTGCATTTTTAGTAGAAATGGGGTTTCACCATGGTGGCCAGGCTGATCTCGAACTCCTGGCCTCAGGTGATCTGCCTGCCTCGGCCTCCCAAAGTGCTGAGATTACAGGCATGAGCCACCTTGCCTGGCCGCTCCTTCCTTTTTCTATCTTGGATAATCCTACCACTGTTTCTGCTACCACTATGAAGCTGGGTGTATATTCCTACTCTGTTTCCTTTCTGACTCCTGACTCTCCTTAAGTCTCTACATTTTTGTTTCTATTTCTAATATTCTACTCATTCTGAGATCTCCAAGGGTCTCCTAATTTCCACATGTAGTGACCTTTCTTGTTTTCCTTGGTTCCTAATATTTAAGTGTTTTCTGCCTTTTCTGTTTTCAGACTCTAAGTTCTATGTCTGTGGATTTCTTATATTATTCTAGCTTTAATTATCACTTCTGTATAAATGGCCAAATATGTATTTCAACCTTAATCCTCTCTTCCACTGTTTAATTCTGCGTTTCTAGTTGACTGCTATAACATTTCTTTTAAGATACTGTACTGCCACTTCACATTCAGAATGCCTGAACCAAATACCTTTTCTCTTTTTATCTTTAGGACATAAATAGAAAATACTTTCTCTTTTGGCTTGTTCCATCCCTGTTTTTAAACCTTAGGTTAGTATACATACAATGAAATGCTCAAATCCTAAGGATACCTTTCTTTTTTTGACAAATGCACAGTAACCCACACCCAATCAAGAAACAGAACATTTCCATTACTCTAAAAGGTTTGCTTGTGCCCTTTCCCGGTAATACTTCATATTATAGAAGTCCTGGGCTGTGCATGGTGGCTCACACTGTAATCCTAGTGCTTTAGGAGGCCAAGGTGGGAGGATCATTTGAGGTCAGGAGTTTGAGACCAGCCTGGGCAATGTAGTGAGACCCATATCTCTTAGAAAAATCCAGTGGCATGCATCCATAGTCATAACTACTCTGGAGACTGAGGCAGGCGGTCACTTGAGCTCAAGAGTTTGAGGCTACCAGTGTGTGATGACTGTACCACTTCAATCCAGTCTCAGTGATAGAGCACAACCCTCTTAAAAAAATAAAGAAATTCTGAGTATATCGTTTTTCTTCCAATCTGTTTTCTTTGACTAAGCATATTTTGATATTAATTCATGTAGTTGTACTTATCTATAGTTTGTTCTTTTTATTGCTGAATAATATTTTTTCCACAGTGTATCCATTTTCCTGTTCATAGATACCTAAGCTATTTAAGAAACTCCAAACAATCTTCTAAAGTGTCTTGCTATTCTATATTCTCACCAATATATGGGAGTTCTTTGTGGTCCACATCCACTTTAACTTTTGATATTGTCAACCTTTAAAATTTTACTCATCCTAGTAGGTGTAGTTTATGTGCCTTGTTTTCAGGTTTCTTGTGTGTTTGTATATGTGTCTTCTCAGATAGAATGTAAGCTTCTCTATGATAGGACCTGTCTTTGTCTATGTATTCTCCCCAGCATTCATCCTGTCATCTTGCACATGGTAACTGCTTGGTGAATATTTATTGATGTATATTTTATAAATATGCTTCAAGATGAATTCATGATTAAGGAATAAATTAGTTTTGTTGAATGGAAATGTACATACTTTAATATATCCGAATTATTTACATTGTATTTCAGGTCAGTTTACGTTGCGAGACATGTATGAGCAATTTCAAAATATCATGAAAATGGGCCCCTTCAGTCAGATCTTGGTTAGTTATCCTTAAAACTTTATACCTTCTTTTGTTTTCATTAAATTTTCTAAAATAGATACACTTGCTTTAATTATTTTTACATTCGGGTAAAAATATATCTAAGACTTAGTGTCAATATTAAACCTAATAGTTAAATGTGGACATTTTGAACCATTAATCTTAAGCTACTATTGACTTTATGTTTAAATCTGTTGTAGGGGATGATCCCTGGTTTTGGGACAGATTTTATGAGCAAAGGAAATGAACAGGAGTCAATGGCAAGGCTAAAGAAATTAATGACAATAATGGATAGTATGAATGATCAAGGTAAGATGGCAGATTATTTTCCTCAGGCAAAAATGTTCTGAGTATCAGTAAGATGAGAGTTTCACTGTATTCTTGTGGACAAGATGGGGAGAAATTTAGCCTGAAAGATTATTTTTAGGTAGATTTGTAATAGCTTGAAAGCTCTTACTCAAAGGGTTATGATTATTGGATTGCCTTCATCGTTGAGAGAAATGTCTAGTATAATACTTCTCCAAATGAGTTACAAGGAAAGAACACTAGTTCTTCATGATGTTCATAGAGTTAACTTAAAAGGAGAACTCTGAGTCAAATGTGGTGGAATGCTAGTTTTTAAAGAGTTAAATTTGGCTGGGTGAGGTGGCTCACACCTGTAATCCTAGCACTTTGGCAGGCCAAGGTGGGAAGATTACTTGAGGCCAGGAGTTTAAGACCAACCTGGCCAAACGTAGCAAGACCCTGCCTCTATGAAAAAAAATTATTTACTGAAAGTCTCTTCACGGAGCTTTAATATTGCTAACATACATTGGGAAACTAAGAAATGGATAGCTTAAGCAATGCTTAGAAAATTCTTTCTGTCTGAAACATAAGAATTCAGTTTTCTCAGTATACTGCTCTGTTCCCCTGACCCTATAAAGGCATGCCTCAGAGATACTGTGGGTTTGGTTCTAGACCACTGCAGTAAAGGAAATATCATGCAATAAAGTCAGTCATACAGATTGTTTTGGTTTTCCAGTGTATATAAAAGTTATGTTTACAAATACATATACTGTAGTCTATTAAGTGTGCAAGAGCATTATATCTAAAAAACAATGTATATACCTTAATTTAAAAATAGTTGATTGTTGGCCGGGCGCAGTGGCTCACGACGCCTGTAATCCCAGCACTTTGGGAGGCTGAGGCGGGCGGATCACCTGAGGTCAGGAGTTTGACACCAGCCTGGCTAACATGGTAAAACCCCGTTTCTACTAAAAATACAAAAAAATTAGCCGGGCGTGGTGGCACACACCTGTAATCCCAGCTACTTGGGAGGCTGAGGCAGGAGAATCGCTTGAACCCGGGAGGCGGAGGTTGCAGTGAGCCGAGATTGTGTCATTGCACTCCAGCCTGGGCGACAGAGTGAGACTCTGTCTCAAAAGAAAAAAATAAAAAAATATAGTTTATTGCTAAAAATGCTAATGATCATCTAAGCCTTCAGTGCATTATAATCTTTTTGCTGGTGGAGGGCCTTAGCTTGATGTTGATGACTGCTAACTGATTACAGTGATGGTTGCCAAAGGTCAAGGTGGCTGTGACAATTTCTTAAAACACAAGAATGAAATTTGCCCCATTGATTGACTCTTCTTTTCACAAAAGATTTCTCTGTAGTATTCGATGCTGTTCGATAGCATTTTACCCACAGTAGAACGTCTTCCAAAATTGGAGTCAGTTCTGTCAAACCCTGCTGCTGCTGCTTTATCAACTAAGTTTATGTAATATTCTAACAATTTGAACAATTTTTCATATCTGTGCTTTATCTACTATCTGATTTATTGTTATTTTTTTGTAGTCTCTTTTTCCTGAGCTCCAGGTTTTCATAGTAGCCCAAATAAGACTGTCTTTTTCTTTTAAGGTTGTTTTTTTTCCTCACTGTCTTTAACACTGCAAAAATGTTTGCATGTAGAATTCATAATTGCAGCATATCTAAAGTATCCATTCTGTGCCAGGCACTGTCCTGAGCACTTTAAATATATTAATTCATTTTATCATCATAACAACTCCTATGGCATATTCAGTTATTATCTGCCTTTTTCAAATTAGGAAACTGGGATACAGGGAAGTTGAGTAATTTGCCCAGTATAGAACCTTTCCTGACTTCCTTCCTTCTTTGAATTAACGCCCCTTCCTCTATTTGCTTAACTCTGTCGTATTACTTGCCACGATGTGCTGCTATTAGTTTATCTTCTTTCATTTGATTTGAGCTGTTGGAAGGAATATAATATATATGTTTCATAAATCTTTTATAAGGAAGATGTGGCTTAAAAGCTGCATTTATGAAATGGATTTGGAGGTTTTGATCGTGACTTTATTTTGAGATATTGTATCTTTGTTAGTATTGCATTGATAATTAGACTTCACCTGGATTTCAGTTCACTTCTGGACAATATACTTAGAGGGTATGTATAGACAAATTAAAAGATGTAGGAAATCAGGATGATAAATGGGGTTCTAAACCATGTTAGAAGAGTCAGAGGTGGATATTTGTCATCCAGCGAAAATTCACAGGAGACATGGTAGCTCTTATGCATTTGAAAGCTGGCCAGGTGCGGTGGCTCTCAACTGTAATCCCAGCATTTTGGGAGGCTGAGGTCGGTGGATCACTTGAGGTCAGGAGTTCGAGACCAGCCTGGGCAACATGGTGAAACCCTGTCTTTACTAAAAGTACAAAAAAAATTAGCTGGCTGTGGTGGCGTGTGCCTATAGTTCCAGCTACTCAGGAGCCTGAGGTGGGAGAATCGCTTGAACCCTGGAGGTGGTGGTTGCAGTGAGCGAAGCTTGCACCACTGCACTCCAGCCTGAGGGACAGAGCAACACTCTGTCTCAAAAAAAAAAAAGATTTTGAAAGCCTTATTTTTTATGCGTAGCAAGGAGACATATACATGAATAGGAATGGAAGTGCCACGTAAATGGATTTCAATTTAATATGTGTAAAGAAAAGATTTTTCCCTAAGTATAACAGAATGGCATAGACAGCCTTACATTAGATAGCAGGTCATCTCTCCTGGGGATATTAAGACCAAGGCTAGATAACCATTTATTTGGGGGATATTGCAGAGGGAATGCAGACATAATGGACATTTTGACTAAAGTCCATCCCATTCCTGAGATTGCATGCAACTGAAGCTAGAAGAAATGCACCTGATATTCTAAGAGTGATCAAACAACTGCGGGAATTAATTCACTATATGCTACTGAGAGAATTAAAATACTAGTAGTAGTAATTACTTGATTATAGGAAATAATTTTTCTGTTGATTATGGATAGAACGTACCTCTTTCTGCTTGCTTATATAGTCTACATTATGAATTTATGATTAATATTTAGGGTAGAGCTAAAGTGAGCATTTGTGTTCATTTTTTAAATATACCATATACCTCTGATGTTTGGAGGGCCTGGAGAGGGTAGACATATGAAGTATGGAAATGTTGGACATGGGGTCTCGAAACATTCTATTAATAGTTTACTTAAACTGTAGGGAAAGTACATGTTTGTTTCATTGTTTTTATAGCTTATGAATACTATAAATGTTCTTTTGAATATATTCCGTATTTTCTTTTTTTTTTTGAGATGGAGTCTCGCTCTGTCGCCCAGGCTGGAGTGCAATGGCGCAATCTTGGCTCACTGCAACCTCTGCCTCCCAGGTTCAAGCGATTCTTCTGCCTCAGCCTCCCGAGTAGCTGGGACTACAGGCACATGCCACCATGCCCAGCTAATTTTTGTATTATTAGTAAAGACAGGGTTTCACCATATTGGCCAGGCTGGTGTCGAACTCCTGACCTCATGAGCTGCCTGCCTCGGCCTCACAAAGTGTTGTGATTACAGGCATGAGCCACCACGCCTGGCCTCCATGTTTAATTTTTAAAACTCAAAAGCAAACATAGCGAATGTTAACATTTGTTAAATCTGGGTGGTAGTTTGACTATGTATTATGTCTGTTTTTCTGTATGTAAGATATTTTGTAATATAAAAAGAAAAATGAGATAGTTATCACTTTAAAAACATCTGCTAAGCTCTTTGAAGTTATATATTGCCCATTTGCACATAACTGCTTTGATGGTGAATGATAATTGTGTGTGAGAGTAACTGACCTTGTCTACAGAACTAGACAGTACGGATGGTGCCAAAGTTTTTAGTAAACAACCAGGAAGAATCCAAAGAGTAGCAAGAGGATCGGGTGTATCAACAAGAGATGTTCAAGAACTTTTGACACAATATACCAAGTTTGCACAGATGGTAAAAAAGATGGGAGGTATCAAAGGACTTTTCAAAGGTAAGAAAAATAAGCTTGTTATTAGTTAACAGACGGAAAAGAAAGGAAGTTGAGAAAAAAGAGTGCTGCCAGTATTGGAAAATTCACAGCTGAATTTCATGTTATTTTCAAGTACTTCCAGGATTTATGTGACCTGTGATTTATCTGTTTTCATATTCAAGGTAATATTAATATTTAAAAAAAAACTTTACATCTGTGTAGTGTGGGTAAATGAAAAAAAATTAATAAAGCAATGATTTTCTTTTTGTGAACACATTATATTAAATTTAGATAATATAAGGAAAAAAAAAACACATTACCTTTACTCCCCAGAGAATCCAGTGGATCCTACTGCAAATAACAGTTGCTATAACTAAGTTTTCTTCTGATATATCATAACTGTTTTTCCATGTTGTCAAATATTCTTCAAAACATAATTCTTGGCCAGGCACGATGGCTCATGCCTGTCATCCTAGCACTTTGGGAGGCTGAGGCGGGCGGATCACTTGAGGTCAGGAGTTCAAGACCAGCCTGGCCAGCATGGTGAAACCCTGCCTCTACTTAAAATACAAAAAATATCCGGGTGTCGTGGGGTGTACCTGTTATCCCAGCTACTCGGGAGGCTGAGGCAGGAGAATCACTTGAACCCAGGAGGCGGAGCTTGCAGTGAGCCGAGATTGTACCACTGTACTCCAGCCTGGGCAGCAGAGTGAGACTCCGGTCCCCAAACACACACACACACACACACACACACACACACACACTTCTTCTGAGTAATACTGTTTAAGTTATGCATGTATCTTTGTCTAATGTAGTGCCACTTTTTTGGACAGTAAGGCTGATTCATTCACTTCTATATCAGATCAGTTTTTGTGCAGTTCCATGAGACCAGGGATTTTTGCCTGTTTTGATCAGAAACATAGTAGAAGCTAAAAAAATTTTGTAGTAATATAATTTCCATTATATTTCTTTATTTATATTATTTTGAGACAGAGTCTCTCTCTGTCACCCAGACTGGAGTGCAGTGGCACAATCTCGGCTCACTGCAGCCTCTGCTTCCCAGGCTCAAACAATTCTCCTGCCTCAGCCTCCCGAGTAACTGGGATTAAAGGCATGCACCACTACCGCCTGGCTAATTTTTGTATTTTTAGTAGAGACGGGGTTTCACTATGTTGGCCAGGCTGGTCTTGAACTCCTGACCTCAAATGATGTGCCCGCCTCGGACTCCCAAAGTGCTGGGATTACAGGCTTGAGCCACCACGTCCGGCCTCACTTCCATTTTAATGGTTGAATATTTTCTCAATATGTGTTTTTACATTATTAAGTTTAACATTTCTTTGTACATTTACTGGTTTGAATTTACTTTGTGAATCACCTCTTCATGTTCCCTGTCCAGTTCTTCCATTTTTCCCCCTTATATCTTTGTAATAGCTCCTTAAAATCTTTGGTTTATGTCTTCAAATATTTTCCCCCAGTTTTTCATTTACCTTTTATTTTTATTTATATTTTATAATGAACAGTAGTTGCCCTTTTTAATGTAGCCAGCCTATCTTTTTTTATTTCTTTTATGCTCATAAACAGCTTCCCCTTGTTTATTTTTTCCTTTTTTTTTTTTCTTTACAGAGGTAATCAAGTTAACCTTCTCCATGTTGATACCACAGTTGTCACCATTTTCTTCTTTTTTTGAGACAGAGTCTTGCTCTGTCGCCCAGGCTGGAGTGCACTGGCATGATCTCAGCTCACTGCAACCTCCGCCTCCTGGGTTCAAGCTATTCTCCTGCCTCAGTCTCCCGAGTAGCTGGGATTTCAAGCACGTGCCACCATGCCCAACTAATTTTTGTATTTTTAGTAGAGACTGGGTTTCACCATCTTTACTGGCCAGGCTGGTCTCAAACTCCCAACCTCAAGTGATTCGCCCGCCTTAGCTTCCTAAAATGCTCTGGGATTACAGGCATGAGCCACAACACCTGGCTTCTACTTGTTTTTGTTTTTATTTTGTGTTTGACTTTTTAATCTCAATTGAATTTATTTTGCTGTGTATTATGTATCGTAAAAAGATAAGGTTTTCCAAAGACTTCCAACTGTTCCAGTCCTCTTTTTGATTTTTTTCTATAATGTAAACAACTAATTCAGAGTCTGTGAAAATTTGCCTTGAAACCCATTAAAATGAATTTATTGTTTCCAAAAATATTAATTAGACAAGCTCTGAATATGAACAATACCATTGAATAGCTTCTAAAAGAATGAGTATTTCCAGATGTTTTAAATTACCTTTTGTCTTTGAAGCTTTCCTTATTTTCCTTGCGATATCCTATTTTCTCTTTTGTGACAAAAAAATTAGACAAACATGTTGAAAATTGGTTATAATTCCTACCATCACATGCTATTTCAGATAGTGACTAATAAACACATTACATCACTGTAATGTCTTTCCCATGTAGTCCTGACTGTTCTTGATAGAACAGATTCACCATCCAGATCTTATCTATGCATTGATCCCTCAATAAAGGAATAACCCAAGATGAAGTTGGCAGTGGGTATACACACAGCTATGTCACACCAAACTTGAAATACTTTTTAGAAGTTTTAAATGCTGATAAACAAACTCTTAGGACAAATCACTAATGAGCATGGAATTCCCATCTTCTTCAGATTTATTCATCATAAATGGTTTTCACAGATTTTATCATAAAAACATAATCTTCTCTTTCATTCATAGTTTATAATTCACATGATTTATTCACATTAACCAGCTGTGATTGGAGAATCAGGAGGAGCTTTGAGTCCCATATTTTATAAATGCTTCTGAGAAGTACCATAGTTAATGCCCCTTTCAAATAAATAATTTTGGATGGTTGTGGTGGCTCATACTTGTAATCCCAGCACTTTGAGAGGCCAAGGCAGGAGGATCCCATGAGCCCAGGAGGGCAAGGCTGCAGTGAGCCATGATCAGAGCACTGCATTCCAGCCTGGGCGACAGAGCAAGAGCCTGTCTCAAAAAAAAAAAAAAAAAAATTGTTGAAGCAGTTCTATTCATTGTTGTAGTGATGATCTCTTGCTTTCTTTTATGAGTACAGCTGTTGTCTAAAGGGTGTTTTTATCTATTCTGTTGTTGTTTTTTTATTTATTGTTGTTGTTTATTTTTTGTTGTTTTTTGTTTGTTTGTTTTGTTTTGTTTTGAGACAGGGTCTCGCTGTGTCACCCAGGCTGGGGGCTGAAGTGCAATGGCATGATCATGGCTCACTGCAGCCTTGACCTCCCAAGCTCAAGCGATCCTCCAATCTGAGGCCCCCAAGTAGCTGAGACTACAGACGCATGCTATCACACTGAGCTAATGCTTTTTTTTGTTTTTTTTGTAGAGACAGGGTTTCCCCATGTTGCCCAGGCTGATCTTGAACTCCTGGGCTCAAGTAATCAGCCTACCTTCGCCACCTGAAGTGCTGGGATTACAAATGTGACCCACCTCACCCAGGCTGCATCTCTTTCATTGACTGCCCTTTTTACTATGGTGTTTTGACATAGTGTAGAAATTCCTTGACAAGTGAAGTTGCATTATTTGTCTTTGTATTCTCTGAAGGTTTTCATTACTTAAAGAAAACTTCTGGCCAGGCGCTGTGGCCTACGCCTGTAATCCCAGCACTTTGGGAGGCCAAGGCGGGCAGATCATGAGGTCAAGAGATCGAAACCATCCTGGCCAAAATGGTGAAACCCTGTCTCTACTAAAAATACAAAAATTAGCTGGGTGTGGTGGCTCATGCCTGTAATCCCAGCTACTCGGGAGGCTGAGACAGGAGAATGGTGTGAACCCGGGAGGCGGGGGTTGCAGTGGGCTGAGTTCGTGCCATTGCACTCCAGCCTGGGTGACAGAGCTAGACTCCATCTCAAAAACAAAACAAAACAAAAAAAACTTCTTAGATACATACACATCTTCACGTTCTCTCAGACTCATACTTTACTTTCTACTTTCTTTTTTTTTTTTTTTTCTTCTGAGACAGAGTCTTGCTCTGTCGCCCAGGCTGGAGTACAGTGGTGCGATCTTGATTCACTGCAACCTCCGCCTCCCGGATTCAAGCAATTCTGCCTCAGTCTCCTGAGTAGCTGGGACTACAGGCGTGTGCCACCATGTCTGACTAATTTATTTTGTATTGTTAGTGGAGACGGGGTTTCACCACGTTGGCTAGGCTGGTCTCGAACTCCTGACCTCAAGTGATCTGCCAGCCTCGGCCTCCCAGAGTGCTAGGATTATAGTTGTGAGCCACCACAGCCAGCCCAACAGACTCATACTTTCATATTCATCTACCAGCCATCCAGTCTCTTTGCTAATTAACCCATGTCTATAAACTCAGCTTTTTGTCCAGCATTCCCCTGTATCACTATTAAGCCGTTGTTATAGCTTACTATTAAAAACTGCTGGCTGACCAGGTACGGTGTCTCACACCTGTAATCCCAGCACTCTGGGAGGCTGAGGTGAGTGGGTCACGAGGTCAGGTGTTTGAGACCAGCCTGGCCAAGATGGTGAAACCCTGTCTCTACTAAAAATACAAAAATTAGCTGGGTGTGGTGGCGGGCACCTGTAATCCCAGCTACTTGGGAGGCTGAGGCAGGAGAATTACTTGAACCTGGGAGGTGGAGGTTGCAGTGAGCCGAGATCACGCCACTGCACTCTAGCCTGGGTGACAGAGCAAGACTCCATCTCAAAATAAATAAAAAATAAAACACTGGGTACAATTTTGCTAATAGTGGCTTATTCACAGATATAAATAAAGTATTAGCATAAATCGTAGCCTTAAAAAAGCCTTTTATATGTCCTTTTATATAGAATTTTACATGGTCTTCAAAAAATAGTATGTAATTGAGAAAAAGATTAGAAGGGAATATGTAGAAATAGAAAGAATTATGTTAGAGTGATAGGATTATGTAATTTTTTCTTAGTATTTTCTCAGTTCATCAAACTTTCTATTATACCCTGATTATACTGATTATATTACCTCCTACGCTGACTCAAAATCTTTTTTTTTTTCCCCTCAGGTGGCGACATGTCTAAGAATGTGAGCCAGTCACAGATGGCAAAATTGAACCAACAAATGGCCAAAATGATGGATCCTAGGGTTCTTCATCACATGGGTAAATACCAAGTTGTTGGCAGTTGCTAATGCAGTTTAATTTATAAGGGTTGAGTTTTAATGATAAGCCTTTTATTGTAATATTATGAAAATATGTTCAAAAGGTGTGTGATTTCAGGGAAATGGTCATCTGAATCCTAAGTTGAATTCAATTGTAATAGGGCTTATTAGCTGAGGTCTTATTCACTCCTCTGCTGCCATCTGTGTGATGTTTGAGCAAGCTATTTAATCATCTTTTGTTTGTTCTGGTGACTTTTTCCCTTATTTTAGAACCTGGATATTTTTACTTATATGACTGAGGATTTTTAACCTGAGTTCTACTTTGACTATATAACCTTTACAAAGTTCCTTAAACTTTCTGAACCTCACTTTCCCCTTCGGTAAAATCACAGATCATATCTCATCAAGAAATTGTGACAATTAAATGAGATAATATATATGAAGACATTCAGTACAATTCTGGGCATATAGTAGATGTTCAATAAATGAATTATTTTCTTTTTGTAAGTCCTATGAAATAATCCCCTATTGATTATTTTTTATGTAACTTAGAGTAAGACCCTTTTGGATTTATAAGAAAAAAATTTTTTGTTTAGATTTATTGACTATGTGACCGGTAGTATCCTAAGATCTTTTTATGTATCACCTCATTTATTCCTCGCAATAACTCCGTAAGATAGGCTATTCATTCTCTTTTATTGATGAAGATAACTGGTGATAATACAAATTTTTAGGTGGTACGTTCTTTAAGGCTGATGACTAAATTGCAATCAGAATTCAGTATTTTTAGAAGTACTTATTAGGCAAAAGTAATAAATGTTTCCAGTTCTGCTTAATAATTCTCTGTTTTTAACTCTACTTCCCTACTTTTGCTCTAGGTGGTATGGCAGGACTTCAGTCAATGATGAGGCAGTTTCAACAGGGTGCTGCTGGCAACATGAAAGGCATGATGGGATTCAATAATATGTAAAGAAAATGCCTTAATATAAACTGACTCAGTTGAATACCTAATTTGCTGAGACCTCAGCGTTTCCCTTCTTTTTGCGAATTGGGGGGAAAGTGTATTTTTCTTGCTTATCATGCACTCTTTCCTTTTCTTCTCGCCCGCTTTTCCCCTCCTTTTCTTTTTCCTTCCTTCTTTCCTCCCTTTAATATAAGGGAGAAATACATGGTTTTTGTGGAAATCATTATATGTTTGCTTTAGATTTTCTTCTGTTTTCACCATCATAACACTTAAGTTAAATCATGATGTAAAATTTTAGTACTTAAAGGTTTTTAATTATCTCGAAGGCCAAGCATTGCATTTGTAAACAGTCCTGGTCAGTAGTTAAATAATGTTTCAATTAAAGTGCTGTAAAATAAACTTCAAAGTGGTTATAAGTTAAGGGGTTGTTAACTTTCTTTATGGTTAAACATTATCAGTTTATCACACTAAAAACTCAATGGAAAAGCCAGTAGATAAATGTCATTTAAAACTATGCCTGGGGCCGAGCACGGTGGCTCACGCCTCTAATCCCAGCACTTTGTGAGGCTGAAGTGTGGATCTCTTCAGCCTGGGTGACAGAAGGAGGATCACCTGAGGTCAGGAGTTCAAGACCAGCCTGGCCAACATGGAAACCCCGTCTCTACTAAAACTACAAAAATTAGCTGGGCGTAGTGATGCATGCCTGTAGTTCCAGCTACTCGGGAGGCTGATGCATGAGAATCTCTTGAACCCGGGAGGCAGAGATTGCAGTGAGCCGAGATCGCGCCTCTGCACTCCAGCCTGGGTGACAGAGTGAGACTCTGTCTCAAAAGAAAAAAAAAAAAGAAGAGGCCAAGCATGGTGGCTCATGCCCAGGCTGGTCTGGAACTCCTGAGCTCAAGTGATCCTCCTGCCTTGGTCTCCCAAAGTGCTGGGATTACAGGCCTGAGCCAGTGCACCCAGCCAATCATTGATTTTTTTTTTTTCTTTTTTGAGACAGGGTCTTGCTTTGTTGCCCAGGCTGGAGTGCAGTGGCACGATCTCGGCTCACTGCAACCTCTGCATCCCAGGTTCAAGTGATTCTCCTGCCTTAGCCTCCTGAGTAGCTGGGATTACAGGCATGTGACAAGACACCTGGCTAATTTTTTTTTTTTTTTTTTTGAGACAGAGTCTCCTTCTGTCACCCAGGCTGAAGTGCAATGGCATGATCTCGGTTCACTGCAACCTCCACCTCCCAGGTTTGAGCAATTCTCCTGCCTCAGCCTCCCTAGTAGCTGGGATTACAGGTACGCACCACCATGTCTGGCTAATTTTTGTATTTTTAGTAGAGATGGGGTTTCGCCATGTTGGCCAGGCTGGTCTCAAACTCCTGACTTCAGGTGATCCACCTGTCTCGGCCTCTCAAAGTTCTGGGATTACAGGCATGAGCCACTGCGCCTGGCCAATTTTTGTATTTTTAGTAGAGATGAGGTTTCACCATGTTGGCCATGCTGGTCTTGAACTCATGGCCTTGAGTGATGTGCCCACTCTGTCCTCCCAAAGTGCTGGGATTATGGGCATGAGCCACCATGCTTGGCCTAATCTTTCATTTTTTTAAAGCCATTTTTGTTATGTTTTCTACATACCAAAAATATACTTGAAGAACTTGATATACTTCGATGATAATAGCTAATGTATACATCTTCTAAAGGAAAAATAATTGCAAGTATTAGGTTGTCACTATTATATATTAAAAATAATGACCTGACAGGAGTTCGAGACCAGTCTGACCAACATGGTGAAACCCTGCCTCTATTGAAAGTATAAAAATTAGCTGGGCATGGTGGCAGACACCTGTAATCTCAGCTGCTCGAGAGGCTGAGACAGAGGAGTCGCTTGAACCTGGGAGGCAGAGGTTGCAGTGAGCCAAGATCGCGCCACTGCACTCCAGCCTGTGTGACAAGAGCAATACTCTTGTTTCAACAACAACAAAAAAAGAAAAGCCAGGCATGGTGGTTCATGCCTGTAATCCCAGCACTTTGGGAGGCCCAGGCGGGTGGATTATGAGGTCAGGAGTTCAAGACCAGCTTGGCTAACATAGTGAAACCCTGTCTCTACCAAAAATAAAAAAGAATTAGCCAGGTATGGTGGCACTCACCTAGTAGTCCCAGCTACTTGGGAGGCTGAGGCAGGAGAATCACTTGAACTCGGGAGGTGGAGGTTGTGGTAAGCTGAGAGTGCGCCACTGCACTCCAGCCTGGGCAATGGAGCGAGACTCCCGTCTCAAAAAAAAAAAAAAAAAATGACCTGAATTCTAAAATGAAAGTTAAAAACATAAATCATGAGACCGTGACAAAGTTGATTTGGTTTCTGGTTATCTTGGATTGCTGCATGGTTCATTTAGAACAATGGCTTTTAAATAAATTAAGGAATTGAAAATACTGGAATAATTTATTAATATTATGCCTATTCATTATTGACATCAAGTAGATAATATATATGGTATAACAGTGTATTTTGAATTAGTGTGAACTGATCTTCAGCAAGTGATTGATTTGTAGAAGTAAGAATGAAAGAAACAGTTTTTATGGTGCTAATTTTTTATGACTCTTGTTTAAAAAAGATCTTGTCGCCAGTAATCCCAGCACTTTGGGAGGCCGAGGCGGGTGGATCATGAGTTCAGGAGTTCAAGACCAGCCCAGCCAACGTGGTGAAACCCCGTGTCTAATAAAAATAAAAATTAGCCGGGTGTGGTGGTGGGCACCTGGAATCCCAGCTACTTGAGAGGTTGAGGCAGTAGAGTTGCTTGAACCCGGGAGGCGGAGGTTGCAGTGAGCTGAGATCGGACCACTGCACTCCAGGCTGGGCAACAAAAATGTGAAAATTCATCTCAAAAAAAAGAATGCAATTGAGATATTCTTGTTAACTTGGGCAAAGGTTTTATATCCCTTTAAAAACTAAAATAAAAAGGTTTTAGCTAGTTTTTCTGCTAGCTAAAGACTAGAATAACCCTGTAGAAAATTATATACCATATTAAAATGATGTATCTTGTGTTCTGCAGAAATCTTACTAAGCTATAAACATTTGACAACAGAGAAAATCCTGTTCTCCAAAGTAGTTTCTTACTAACTGATGCATACTACCTTTTCTAGGTACACGTTTGTGACTCTATTCTCAGGGTATCAATTTTGCATTTTGACCAAAAAAGGAAATTGAAATCTTTGGCCATAATAACCTTGATGGCTTCAGGCATAGTTTTAAATATTTGTGTGTCTGACACAAACAATATTTTTTAATATATATATATATATTTTATATATTTTTCAGAAGCAAAAATAACAATAACAAGATAGGCACAGCGACAAGACATTGACACACACCTGTAGTACCAGCTACTTGTGAGGCTGAGGTGGGCAAATCAGTGAATTGCTTGAGTCCAGGAGTTGGTGGTCACAATGAACTATGATTATTTATGAATAGTCACTGCTGATGAATAGCCACTGCACTCCAGCCTTGGCAACATAGGGAGGCCTCATCTAAAAAACAACTGAATGCAGTAGCTCATGCCTGTAATCCCAGCACTTTGGGAGGCTGAGGTGGGCTGATCACTTGAGCCCAAGAGTTCCAGACCAGCCTGGGCAACATGGTGAAATTCCACTACAAAATACAGAAATTAGGCTGGGTGTGGTGGCTCATACCTGTAAAACCAGCACTTTGGGAGGCCAAGGCGGATGGGTCACCTGAGGTTAGGAGATTGAGACCAGCCTAGCCAATAAGGTGAAACCCTGATTTTACCAAAAATAGAAAAATTAGCTGGGCATGGTGGCCGGCACCTATAATCCCAGCTACTCAGGAGGCTGAGGCACGAGAATCACTTGAACCTGGGAGGCAGAAGTTGCAGTGAGCCAAGATCACACCACTGCACTCCAGCCTGGGTGACAGAGTGATACTCTAATATCTAAAAAATAATAATAATACAGAAACTAGCCTGGCATAGTGGTGTGCACCCATAGTCCCAGCTACTTTTGGGGCTAAGGCAGGAGGATCACTTGAGCCTAGGAGGTCAAGGCTGCAGTGAGCCAAAATTGCGCCACTGCACTCCAGCCTGGGTGACAGTGAGACCCTGTCTCTAAAAAGTAAGTAAATAAATAACTAAGAGAACAACTAAAGGTCTAGGATACTTTGTTCAGCTTCCCTTTATGTTTCTTTTTCTGCTAAAATGAGGAAATTGAAAATGTTCTTTAAAATTCTGATTCCATTAGGTCCTCAAATTGGCATTTTAGTTAACAAAAGCTGTCCTTCAGTTCTCACAGTTTTCATTGAAGTGATGTTTCACAGCATAAATACTATATACCTGTATTAATCTGTTTTGATGCTGCTGATAAAGACATACCCAAGACTGGATAATTTGTAATGAAAATGAGGTTTAATGGACTTACAGTTCCAGGTGGCTGAGGAGGCCTCACAATCACGGTGGAAGGCAAAAGGCACATCTTACATGGCGGCAAGAGAGAATGAGAACCAAGCAAAAGGGGTTTCCCCTTAAAAAACTATCAGTGCTCATGAGACTCATTCACTACTATGAGAACGGTATGGGGGAAACCGCCTCCATGATTCATTTATATACCACCAGGTCCACAGCCAAACCATATCATTCTGCCCCTGGTCCCTCCCAAATATCATGTCCTCACATTTCAAAACCAGTCATGCCTTCCCAACAGTCCCCCACAGTCTTAACTCATTTCAGCATTAACTCAAAAGTCCACAGTCCAAAGTCTCATCTGAGACAAGGCAAGTCCCTTCCACCTCTGAGCCTGTAAAATCAAAAGCAAATTAGTTACTTCCTAGATACAGTGGGGGTACAGGCATTGGGTAAATACAGCCATTGCAAATGGGAGAAATCGGCCAAAACAAAGGGGCTACAGGCCCCATGCAAGTCTGAAATCCAGTGGGGCAGTCAAATCTCAAGGCTCCAAAGTGATCTTTGCCTCCTTTGTCACACATCCATGTCACACTGATGTAAGAGGTGGGCTCCCACAGCCTTGGGCAGCTGTGCCCCTGTGGCCTTGCAGGGAACAGCCCCCCTCCCGGCTGCTTTCACAGGCTGGTGTTGTCTGTGGCTTTTCCAGGTGCACAGTGCAAGCAGTTGGTGGATCTACCATTCTGGCGTCTGGAGGATGGTGGCCCTTTTCTCACAGCTCCACTAAGTAGTGCCCCAGTAGGGACTCTGGGGGGCCTCCAACTCCACATTTCCCTTCTGCACTGCCCTAGCAGAGGTTCTCTGTGAGGGCCCTGCTCCTGCAGCAATCTCCTGCCTGGACATCCAAGCGTTTTCATATATCCTCTGAAATCTAGGTGCAGGTTCCCAAACCTCAGTTCTTGACTTGTGTGCGCTCACAGGCTCAACATCACGTGGAAGCTGCCAAGGCTTGGTACTTGCATCCTCTGAAGCCGTGGCCTGAGCTGTACCTTGGCACCCTTTAGCCATGGCTACAGTGGCTGGGACACAGGGCACCAGGTCCCAAGGCTGCACACAGCAGGGGGCCCTGAGCCCAGCCCACAAAACCATTTTTTCCTCCTAGGCCTCTGGGCCTGTTATAGGAGGGGCTGCTGCAAAGGTCTCTGACATGCCCTGGAAACATTTTCCCCACTGTCTTGGTGATTAACATTTGGCTCCTTTTTTTTTTTTAAGACAAGAGTTTCGCCCTTGTTGCCCAGGCTGGAGTGCAATGGCACAATCTCGGCTCACCGCAACCTCTGTCTCCTGGGTTCAAGTGATTCTCCTACCTCAGCCTCCTGAGTAGCTGGGATTCCAGGCACATGCCACCACACCTGGCTAATTTTGTATTTTTAGTAGAGATGGAGTTTCTTCATGTTGGTCAGGCTGGTCTCAAACTCCCAACCTCAGGTGATCTGCCTGCCTAGATACAGTGGGGGTACAGGCGGCAAGAGAGAATGAGAACCAAACAAAAGGGGTTTCCCCTTAAAAAACCATCAGTTCTCATGAGACTCATTCACTACTATGAGAACAGTATGGGGGAAACCGCCTCCATGATTCATTTATGTACCACCAGGTCCACGGCCAAACCATATCATTCTGCCCCTGGTCCCTCCCAAATATCATGTCCTCACATTTCAAACCCAATCATGCCTTCCCAACAGTCCCCCACAGTCTTAACTCATTTCAGCATTAACTCAAAAGTCCACAGTCCAAAGTCTCATCTGGGATTACAGGCATGAGCCACCGCACCTGGCAGCTCCTCATTACTTACGCAAATTTCTGCAGCCAGCTTGAATTTCTCCTCAGAAAATGGGTTTTTCTTTTCTATCACATAGGCTGCAAATTTTCTGAACTTTTGTTCTGTTTCCCTTTTAAAATGGAATACTATTAACAGCACCCAAGTCACCTCTTGAATGGTTTGCTGCTTAGAAATTTCTTCCTCCAGAGGCTGGGTGCAGTGGCTCATGCCTGTAATCCCAGCACTTTGGGAGGCTGAGGCTGGCAGATCACAAGGTCAAGAGATCGAGACCATCCTGGCCAACATGGTGAAACCCCATCTCTACTAAAAATACAAAAATTAGCTGGGCATGGTGGCATGCGCCTGTAGTCCCAGCTATTTGGGAGGCTGAGGCAGGAGAATTGCTTGAACCCGGGAGGTGGAGGTTGCAGTGAGCTGAGATCATGCCACTGCACTCCAACTTGGGTAACAGAGCGAGACTCCATCACAAAAAAAAAGAAATTTCTTCTGCCAGATACCCTAAATCATCTCCCTCAAGTTCAAAGTTCCACAAATCTCCAGGGCAGAGGCAAAATGCTGCCAGTCTTTCTGCTAAAAGATAGCAAGAGTCACCTTTACTCCAGTTCCCAACAAATTCCTCATCTCCATCTGAGACCACCTCAGCCTGGATTTCATTGTCTATGTCATTATCAGCATTTTGGTCAAAGCCATTTAACAAATCTCTAGGAAGTTCCAAACTTACCTACATTTTCCTGTCTTATTCTGAGCCCTCCAAACTGTTCCAACCTCTGCCTGTTACCCAGTTCCAAAGTTGCTTACACATTTTTGGGTATCTTTACAGCAACACCCCACTCTACCAGTACCAATTTACTGTATTAGTCTGTTTTCATGCTGCTGATAAAGACATACCCAAGACTGGGTAATTTATAATGAAAAGGTTTAACTGACTTACAGTTCCATGTGGCTGGGGAGGCCTCACAATTATGGTGGAAGGCAAAAGGCACATCTTACATGGCGGTAGACAGGAGAAAATAAGAACCAAGCAAAAGGGGTTTCCCCTTATAAAACCATCGGCTCTCATGAGACTTATTTGCTACCATGAGAACAGTGTGGGGTAAACTGCCCCCATGATTCAGTTACCTCCCACCAGGTCACTCCCACAACACGTGGGAATTATGGGAGCTACAATTCAAGATGAGATTTGGGTGGGGACACAGCCAAACCAAATACCAAAATTAAATCCTTTAATAATTTGAACACATTTCCATTTGTTTTTCACTAGTGTTAAAATTGACTCCATTTTTTTTATATACTCCCAACTTAGACCACTAGCTAGCTCTAATACTGTACAACATTGAATTCTTCCTGAATTTTATTATAATGTTAAATATATGTAACCATAAAACTAGGTGTAGCTTCCCTAAGCTTACAGTACTCATGTAATTACAAGACAACAACAGATTGAGAAATTAAATATCACAAACTACAAAATGAAGAAAGGGGAAATTAATGATTTTTTATTTATTAATTTTTTTCTTTTGAGACAGGGTCTTTGCTCTGTCACCCAGGGTGGAGTGCAGTGGTGCAGTCATGGCTCACTGCAACCTTGACCTGGGCTTAGGCAATCCTCCCACCTCAGTCTCCTGAGTAGTTGGGACTATCAGAGTGTGCCACAACACTCAGCTAATTTTTTATTTTATTTCATTTATTTTTTGAGAGGGAGTTTTACTCTGTCACCCAGGTTGGAGTGCAGAGACATGATGTCAGCTCATTGCAACCTCCACCTCCTGGGTTCAAGCAATTCTCCTGCCTCAGCTTCCCAAGTCTGGGACCACAGGCATGTGCCCAGCTAATTTTTGTATTTTTAGTAGACATGGGTGATTCACGCCTGTAATCCCAGCACTTTGGGAGGCTGAAGCGGGCAGATTACTGAGGTCAGGAGATCAAGACCAGCCTGGCCAACACAGTGAAACCCTGTCTCTACTAAAAATACAAAAATTAGCCAGGTGTGGTGGCATGCGCCTGTAGTCCCAGGTACTTGGGAGGCTGAGGCAGGAGAATTGCTTGAACCTGGAAAGTGGAGGTTGTGGTGAGCCAAGACTGTGCCACTGCACTCCAGCCTGGGGGACACAGTGAGACTCTGTCTCAAAAAAAATAAAAAAATAAAAATAAAAAGAGAGATGGGTTTTCACCATGTTGGCCAGGCTGGTCTCAAACTCCTGACCTCAAGTGATCCACCTGCCTCGGCCTCCCAGAATGCTAGGATTACAGGCGTGACCCACTGTGCCCAGCCAATTTTTAAATTTTTTGTGGAGACAAGGTCTCACTGTGTTACCCAGGCTGGTCTTGAACTCCCGGGCTCAAGTGATCCTCCTGCCTTGGCCTCCCAGAAGTGCTGGCATTACAGGCGTAAGCTACGCTGCCCAGACAGAAATTAATGATTTAAATGTGATAGATGTCAGTGTTCTGAAAGTATCATATTTAATGGTATATAAGATACAAAGGTATGTATATGCCCAGTGCGTCACAATTTTCTGGAGAAATTTTTTAGAAAAAATTAAATTCTTTTTATCATGTAATGTGTGTTATATAAACCATTATTTTGTTAAAGTAAATACAGTATGTTACAATGTGAGAGTAAGTCCTAAGTTCTAATATGCAGTAATAATGTACTAATATTATTAGTAATGTGAAATATAGTACCACATAACTAAAAAGAAATATAATGTTATACATGAATACTGATAAACAGGTGGCAACAAAACCAGGAAATTTGCTGGAGCTAAAGCCCCATAATATGCATATTAATGTAACAGTAAAATTAATATGTTAGTATTTTAGTGAATTTAGGAAATCTAAACAGCAAATCATAATATAAAATAAATTTGAATGAATTTATTTTACAGGTAGCTCTGGTACATATACACATACAAGCAAATATTTCAGTAAAAAATGGAACAAAGTATTGAAAATTAAAATGTGAAGGAATTTCAACTTGATGCTTATGTAGAGTAAAATATTTTAGTATTTGAATACAGAGAGCAGCCAGAGAATTTGAATGAGGTCTAACAAAAACAACCATGTCAGTGAGAATCATGGTTAAATAACAATATAATTACTGATCCTCCTCAAGACTTACGAATAGAGCGCCGCCCGGGAGGCAGCGGCTGGAGGAGCGGACGGGCCCCGCGGGGCCCGAGGGCAAGGAGCAGCCGCCTGCCTTGGCCTCCCAAAGTGCCGAGATTGCAGCCTCTGCCCGGCCGCCACCCCGTCTGGGAAGTGAGGAGTGTCTCTGCCTGGCCGCCCATCGTCTGGGATGTGAGGAGCCCCTCTGCCTGGCTGCCCAGTCTGGAAAGTGAGGAGCGTCTCCGCCCGGCCGCCATCCCATCTAGGAAGTGAGGAGCGCCTCTTCCCAGCCGCCATCACATCTAGGAAGTGAGGAGCGTCTCTGCCCGGCCGCCCATCGTCTGAGATGTGGGGAGCGCCTCTGCCCCGCCGCCCCATCTGGGATGTGAGGAGCGCCTCTGCCCGGCCGAGACCCCGTCTGGGAGGTGAGGAGCGTCTCTGCCCGGCCGCCCCGTCTGAGAAGTGAGGAGACCCTCTGCCTGGCAACCGCCCCGTCTGAGAAGTGAGGAGCCTCTCCGCCCGGCAGCCACCCCGTCTGGGAAGTGAGGAGCGTCTCTGCCGGGCAGCCACCCCGTCCGGGAGGGAGGTGGGGGGGGTCAGCCCCCCACCTGGCCAGCCGCCCCATCCGGGAGGGAGGTGGGGGGTCAGCCCCCCCGCCCGGCCAGCCGTGCCGTCCGGGAGGGAGGTGGGGGGGTCAGCCCCCCGCCTGGCCAGCCGTGCCGTCCGGGAGGGAGGTGGGGGGGTCAGCCCCCCGCCCGGCTAGCCGCCCCGTCCGGGAGGTGAGGGGCACCTCTGCCCGGCCGCCCCTACTGGGAAGTGAGGAGCCCCTCTGCCCGGCCAGCCGCCCCGTCCGGGAGGGAGGTGGGGGGGGTCAGCCCCCCGCCCGGCCAGCCGCCCCGTCCGGGAGGGAGGTGGGGGGGTCGGCCCCCCGCCCGGCCAGCCGCCCCGTCCGGGAGGGAGGTGGGGGGGGGTCAGCCCCCCCGCCCAGCCAGCCGCCCTGTCCGGGAGGTGAGGGGCGCCTCTGCCCGGCCGCCCCTACTGGGAAGTGAGGAGCCCCTCTGCCCGGCCAGCCGCCCCGTCCGGGAGGGAGGTGGGGGGGTCGGCCCCCCGCCCGGCCAGCCGCCCCGTCCGGGAGGGAGGTGGGGGGGGGTCGGCCCCCCTGCCTGGCCAGCCGCCCCGTCCGGGAGGTGAGGGGCGCCTCTGCCCGGCCGCCCCTACTGGGAAGTGAGGAGCCCCTCTGCCCGGCCACCACCCCGTCTGGGAGGTGTGCCCAACAGCTCATTGAGAACGGGCCAGGATGACAATGGCGGCTTTGTGGAATAGAAAGGCGGGAAAGGTGGGGAAAAGATTGAGAAATCGGATGGTTGCCGTGTCTGTGTAGAAAGAAGTAGACATGGGAGACTTTTCATTTTGTTCTGCACTAAGAAAAATTCCTCTGCCTTGGGATCCTGTTGATCTGTGACCTTACCCCCAACCCTGTGCTCTCTGAAACATGTGCTGTGTCCACTCAGGGTTAAATGGATTAAGGGCGGTGCAAGATGTGCTTTGTTAAACAGATGCTTGAAGGCAGCATGCTCGTTAAGAGTCATCACCAATCCCTAATCTCAAGTAATCAGGGACACAAACACTGCGGAAGGCCGCAGGGTCCTCTGCCTAGGAAAACCAGAGACCTTTGTTCACTTGTTTATCTGCTGACCTTCCCTCCACTATTGTCCCATGACCCTGCCAAATCCCCCTCTGTGAGAAACACCCAAGAATTATCAATTAAAAAATAAATTTAAAAAAAAAATACAAAAAAAAAAAAAAAAAAAAAGACTTACGAATAGTTATTGATAAATGAATAGCTATTGGTAAAGCCAAGTAAATGATCATATTCAAAACCAGAAGGCCATCATCACAGCTCAAGTCTACATGATTTGATCTCTTTATCATTGTCATTCTTTGGATTCACTAGATTAGTCATCATCCTCAAAATTCTGCCCCAAGTTCTAATTACGTTCCAAACATTTAGGGGTTACATGAAGCTTGAACCTACTACCTTCTTTGCTTTTGAGCCATGAGTTGTAGGAATGATGAGTTTACACCTTACATGCTGGGGATTAATTTAAACTTTACCTCTAAGTCAGTTGGGTAGCCTTTGGCTTATTTTTGTAGCTAATTTTGTAGTTAATGGATGCACTGTGAATCTTGCTATGATAGTTTTCCTCCACACTTTGCCACTAGGGGTAGGTAGGTACTCAGTTTTCAGTAATTGCTTACCTAAGACCCTAAGCCCTATTTCTCTTGTACTGGCCTTTATCTGTAATATGGGCATATTTAATACAATATAATTTTTGGAGTTTTTTTGTTTGTTTGTTTGTTTGTTTTTTTGAGACGGAGTCTTGCTCTGTCGCCCAGGCTGGAGTGCAGTGGTGCCATCTCGGCTCACTGCAAGCTCCACCTCCCGAGTTCACGCCATTTTCCTGCCTCAGCCTCCCGAGTAGCTGGGACTACAGGCGCCCGCCACCATGCCCGGCTAATTTTTTGTATTTTTGGTAGAGACGGGGTTTCACCGTGTTAGCCAGAATGGTCTCGATCTCCTGACTTCGTGATCCACCCGCCTCGGCCTCCCAAAGTTCTGGGATTACAGGTGTGAGCCACCGCACCTGGCCAATTTTTGGAGTCTTTTAAAGTAAAAATATGTCTTGTAAGCTGGTAACTATGGTACATTTCCTTTTATTAATGTGGTGCTGACGGTCATATAGGTTCTTTTGAGTTTGGCATGCATATGCTACTTTTTGCAGTCCTTTCATTACATTTTTCTCTCTTCATTTGAAGAGCATGTTATATCTTTTAGCTTCACTTGGCTTAAAAGGTTCTCTCATTAGCCTAACACAGTGCATTGTTGGTACCACTTGGATCATAAGTGGAAAAACAGTCAAGAAATTGCACAGTAATACTTGTTTGTAAGAGGGATGATTCAGGTGAATCTGACACTAAGAAACTCCCCTACCTGAGGTCTGAGATTCCTCTGACATTGCTGTATATAGGCTTTTCCTTTGCAGCCTGTGACTGCGGACTATTTTTCTTAAGCAAGATATGCTAAAGTTTTGTGAGCCTTTTTCCAGAGAGAGGTCTCATATCTGCATCAAGTGAGAACATATAATGTCTGCATGTTTCCATATTTCAGGAATGTTTGCTTGTGTTTTATGCTTTTATATAGACAGGGAAACTTGTTCCTCAGTGACCCAAAAGAGGTGGGAATTGTTATTGGATATCATCATTGGCCCACGCTTTCTGACCTTGGGAAATCAATTAAGGGGTTCATAATCTCAATTCTGTCAGAATTGGTACAAGAAATAGCTGCATGTTTCTTGACATTCCACTTGGTAGGAAATAAGAATGTGAAACTCTTCAGTTGGTGTGTGTCCCTTGTTTTTTTGCAATTTCCTTCTTACTGTGTTAAAAAAAAGTATGATCTTGCTCTGAGAGGTGAGGCATTCTTAATCATGATCTTTAAAGATCAATAATATAATCCTTTCAAGGATTATGTCTTTATTATAATAAAGATAATTTGTCTTTAACAGAATCAATAATATAATCCCTTAAAGGATTATATCTTTGCTGGGCGCAGTGGCTCACACCTGTAATCCCAGCACTTTGGGTGGCCAAGGTGGAAGGATCACCAGGTCAGGAGTTCGAGACCAGTCTGGCCAACATAGTGAAACCCCATCTCTATTAAAAGTACAAAAAATAAGCTGGGTGTGGTGGTGTGCGCCTGTAATCCCAGCTACTCGGGAAGCTGAGGCAGGAGAATCACGTGAAGCCGGGAGGTGGAGGTTGCATTGAGCCAAGATCGTGCCATTGCACTCCAGCTCAGGTGACAGTGCAAGACTCTGTCTAAAAAAAAAAAGGATTATATCTTTATATTTGTTATAGATTCTTATCAGAAGACACTCAGGGTTCTACAGATTTTAGATGAAGATGCACAGCTCTCCAACATTAAAATTACTGAGTCTAGCATAGTGTGCAAAGAAAGCTAGTTATTTTATGCCTAATACCATACAGAAAATTCTAGGCCGGGCATGGTGGCTCACACCCGTAATTCCAGCACTTTGGAAGGCTGAGGCGGGTGGATCACTTGAGGCCAGGAGTTTGAGACCAGCCTGGCCAACATAGTGAAACCCCTTTCTGGGAAAATACAAAAATTAGCTGGGTGTGGTGATGTGTGCCTGTAGTCCCAGCTTGGGACCCGAGGTGGGAGGATGACTTGAGCCTAGGAGATCGAGGCTGCAGTAAACCAAGAGCACGCCACTGCAATCCAGCCTGGCTGACAGAGTGAGACTGTCTCAAAAAAAAAAAAAAGAAAATTTTGGTGATTGGATATCACTGGTATATTCTCACCACACACACACACACACACACAGACACACACACACACAAAATGACCAAATTTTAATTAACAAAACAAAACCTTACATAACATCAAATCTAAAAATTCACTTGGTATTTTCATCTGCTTCTTACATATAGAGCTTTAAAGCTTACTAAAAGACTTTTAAAAAGAAACATACTTTACTCATTTCCATCCCAATCTTTCCAAACAACATACTCACCTTTGGTGTGGAAATTTCTTGCCTTGCTAACACTTACTGGCCTAGTATTTTTTGACATTTTCATTCTCAGTGGGGCGGAATGGCTAAGTGTGTAGGTGGTGGAATCAGAATGCCTGGGTTTTAATCCCAGCTCTGCTGCTTACCAGCTGCGTCACTGGAGCAAGTTGCTTAACTTCTCTTTGTTTCCTCATCTATAACATGTTGGTAGTTACAGTAATACTTCAGAATTGTTGTGAGGAATAAGAGTTAATACAAAGAAAGCAAAGTACCTGGCATATTGTGCTCCATAAGTGAAACCACTACCATGATTTTAATAACTTATTCAGCCTGGGCAACATGGCAAAACCTCATCTCTACAAAAAATATAAAAATTAGCCAGGTGTGATGGTACACGCCAGCTACTCAGGAGGCTGAGGTGGGAGGATCGTCTGAGTCTGCAGTGAGCCATAATTGTGCCACTGCACTCCAGCCTGGGTGATACAGTAAGGCCCTGTCTCAAAAAAAAAAAAAAAATTTCTTTATGCTTAGACTGAACCTAAAATGCATTTTTATTTTTATCATCTTTTTTTCTTGTGCATTATTTTTGATGAAAATATATTGTCCTGTTTGATGGATAACTTAAAAAATTCTCTATCAAAGTATATATATGTAGCTATGTTAAAACCCTAAGAATGTCTTGTTTATTTGATGAACATTCCTGGTTATCAAATTTTATTCAGATTTATTTTCCCAGCCTTACGCAGAAATGGTTCAATCCAAATTTACCTTTTTAGCTCTATATGTATCATTAAATGATAAATTTAGACCACATTATGTTTTCAAGTAGATAAATTATCATAATACTTGAATTTATTTTTGTCATAGTGCTACGATACAATTTATGTTACAAAGTGAAAGAAGGAAAAATTTGGCACATTGCCTTGGTGCCTACTTTTGGTTGAGCTATAACAGTTTGGAAATAATGACAAAAATATAAATGTCCAAAATAAAACCATTAGAATTTCTATGCTTTTATGTTGCTTTGAGTTGTTGATTTGTTTTGTTTTTGTTTTTTTGAGACGGAGTCTCGCTCTGTCGCCCAGGCTGGAGTGCAGTGGCGCGGTCTCGGCTCACTGCAAGCTCCGCCTCCCGGGTTCACGCCATTCTCCTGCCCCAGCCTCCCGAGTAGCTGGGACTACAGGCGCCCGCCACCACGCCCGGCTAATTTTTTGTATTTTATAGTAGAGACGGGGTTTCACCGTGTTAGCCAGGATGGTCTCGATCTCCTGACCTCGTGATCCACCCGCCTCCGCCTCCCAAAGTGCTGGGATTACAGGCGTGAGCCACCGTGCCCAGCCCGAGTTGTTGATTTGTAATAAACTGCTCTTCAATTGGATATTTGTGTTAAAAATAACTTTTTAGGAAATACTTCCAGTTCACGTTAGAATGTAACTTGTACTTTGAATTTTCAGTAAACTAAGAAATACACATGTAAACTGTGAAAATATATTCTGCTTCGGCAATGAAAATTGTAATTTGAGGCCAGGCGTGGTGGCTCACGCCTGTAATCCCAGCACTTTGGGAGGCTGAGGTGGGTGGATCATCTGAGGTCGGAAGTTCGATACTAGCCTGGCCAACATGGTGAAACCCCGTCTCTACTAACAATACAAAAATTAGCCGGGCGTGGTAGTGCACAACTGTAATCCCAGCTACTTGGCAGGCTGAGGTGGGGGAATCGCTTGAACCCGGGAGGCGGATGTTGCAGTGCGCCAAGATTGCGCCATTGCACTCCAGCGTGGGTGAGACCCCATCTCAAAAAAAAAAAAAAAGAAAAAAAAGAAAAAGAAAATTGTAATTTGATATTTAATTGCCACTTTGGAAAATAAAATCATGCATTTATAAATATCCCACAAAGTTTTAGTAATAAAGATTGTTGATTGCCCTGCTTGCCAGTAAGAAGGAAGAGATTTTGAATACATATAATGCAGAACTGTGTTGTTTATGAATGCCAATTCATGAAGTCTTAACAATTGGTTCTTTATTTTTGTTTTCAATTTATGGCCGAGTTTGGTTTTGCTGTTTTGGACTGTCTCAACTCCCTGCTGATGCCACCATACAGAGTCAGATCAGGTACTAACTTGTTTACTTCAGCAGCAACCTAACTTGATTTTATTACCAGGATAGAGAGCAATATGGATTTCCAACTAGTTTTTAAGGCGTAGATGGTTTTCAAATGATTATTTGTTTTTTAAAGTTTTTGGTTTTGTTTTTAGGTTCCAGTTATACATAGAATAGGAAGTGTACAATAACATTAGGCAGAGGGTAAGGAGAAGAACTTTGGCACAGAAGAGAAAGGAATATTTAATATTTGGGCCTGCTGTTGCTATGATGAAAAACATTTACAAGGTCATACAACTTTAGGGAGCATTTCTGAATTGAGACTAGTATGAAAATGGAATTTAAAGTATCAAATGAAGCCTCCCATAGCCAAAATAATGTATGTTTTGGTTTTGCCCCCTACATATTTGTGAAAACTTTCATGCTAAAACAACAATATACCATTTACCTGCAGAACCTCAGACTTGTTTGATGTTGAAGTCATGCAGTAATTGCATGATTTTTTACTTTCGTTGAACATTGCGAAAGACGGAAAAAATCTGGGACGCCCCCTCTAACATACGCACACGACTTTAAGACACAGATAAAACATTCCTTACATTTGTCAAGATGGAAGCTTACTACTGCCCTTTGCTCTCCTTCAGGTCTTTTCACTTAACACTTTCTACAGTTATACTTAAGTATTTCAGACAAGAGTAAGCAAATATCACGCCTGGGGTTCTTCTTTCGAGGGTATTTTGGCTGGACTGTCACCCACGTTTGGAATGGAAAGTGCAGCACGAGCCGTACATTTTACATTTTTCAGCAACCACATCCCATCACTAGCCTTTGAAGTACAACGACACAGCTGTCTTCATTTTACAAGTGCAAAAACCGAGGTCCTGCGGGGTGACTGCCCCAGACGCCGCTGGTGACGGGCTGCGCCGAGGTCGAGACGCCAGGCTTCAGGTACACGTACCAGAAATGACGTCACAGGCGGTGCCAGGCGGGGATCCACGAGCTCTGGATGCTTGCTTGGCCGGAAGCGACGCCCCGCAAGGACCCGCCCCGCCCCGCCCCGCCCCGCGCGAGCCGGTAGTTGCGCCTCCCAGACTGCAGTTGGCCAGCTCTCGGGGTGCGGAGCCCGGCGGGCTAGGCGAGGCGCGGGCTGGCCCCGCCCCTCAGGCCGGCGAGTCCCCTTCTCAGAGACTTGGCTAGGCGCGGCGCGAGGCGGGCGCTGGGCGGGTGAGTCCCACTTCCCGACAGCCTGGCTCGGCCAGCGACTGGGCGGGGAGACCAAGGATGGAAGTGGGCTTACCGGCCATTACCCTCTTTCTCACCAGCGCCAGCAGCCCTGTGGTGGCGACGACGATGGACCAGGAGCCAGTGGGCGGTGTGGAACGAGGAGAAGCCGTCGCAGCCTCGGGAGCTGCGGCCGCCGCGGCATTCGGGGAATCTGCAGGGCAGGTAGGTGGGGCCGCCGAGGCTGACGTCCGGGGAGCCGAGCCGCCTCCTTGCCTTCTCCGCGGGCCGCTCTTTTAGCCTGCGCGGCCGTCCTCCGAGCAGGCCGCCCCAGCTTTGGAGTTCCTCCTCACTGCACCCCTGTTTCTGCTCACTGAGACCAGCTTGTGGGAAGGAGCGCCCCCCGCCTCACTCACCAACCCCTTGGCTGGCAGCACAGCAGACTCTGGGGCGGCCTCGGGTTCCTGGGGTGATAGTCCAGCTTCTGGTCTACCAGAGGAAGAAGAAAGGCGTGTCCCCCAAAGGCTGTCCTTGCAGTAGCTGGAAGCCAGGTGAGGGCGGCTTCAACCACTTCTCAGTCTCTTCTGGTGCGAGCGCCTGCCTGGGCATCTGCCCTTTGCTTGGCATATGCCAAACGTTTACCAGCTTTAATTCACTGGATCCTTACAGTAACCGCTCGAGGTGGGTGTTAGCCCCATTTCACCGCCGAGGCAACTAAGGCTCCGAGCTGCGCTGTCCAACATAAATAGAATGCAAGCTGCATTGAAAATTGTAATTTAAAATTTTCCAGTAGGCACGTTTTAAAAAAGTGAAACCGATATTAATTTTAATAGCATATCTTATTTAACCTAATTTATCAAAACAATTTCAACCTAAAATTACTATGAAAGTTATTAATGAAGTATTTGCATTCTCTTTTGGAGTCTTTTCTAAGTCTTTTAAATCCTGGGTGCATTTTACACGCATAGCATATCGCAGTTCTGGCTGACCACATTTCAAGTGCGCATTAGCCACATGTGGCTAGTGGTTACTGTATTGGACAGCGCTGGTTTAGAGAGTTAACGTTTCTTGCAACTTTTCAGTATTAGACAAAAAGACACTTTGGGAGGCCAAGGCGGGTGGATCACCTGAGGTCAGGAGTTCAAGACCAGTCTGGCCAACATGGTGAAACCCCTTCTCTACTAAAAATACAAAAATTAGCTGGGCGTGGTGGCGCTCGCCTGTAGTCCCAGCTACTCGGGAGGCTGAGGCAGGAGAATTGCTTGAACCCTGGAGGTGGAGGTTGCAGTGAGCCGAGATCACGCCACTGCACTCCAGGCTGGAGACAGAGCGAGACTCCGTCTCAAAACAGCAACAACAACAACAACAACAACAACAACAAAAAAAAAACCCTTGAGTTGCTCATGTATGTAACTCTTCCCATCCTCCATGAGAATGAAGCTTTTTCAGTAGCTTCATTTTTGAGACTAAGTACCTGAATGTTAGTAAGACATTTCCCCCAAACTGTGAGTATATCTCTGTGTATCTCTTATAGTATAAGATGTCGTTTGCATTAACAAAAGCTTATCCAGCCTGGGCAACAGAGCAAGAACCCATCTCTTAAATAAAAAACTAAAGAAACCCCAAAAACAAAAAACACAACTTTCCCACATACCAAACTCTATATGGAATACGTTTTTTCCCTCCTACTTAAGAAGGGGATTCAGGGGACAACATGAATTGATAAGGAAGCCACGTCATTTTCAGTTGAGTTGAGACCTATTGTTGGCAAGTGCACTTACACTTAACCTTTGAGTCCATGGTGCTTGATATGTTTTTCAATTTGATTTTTCCTGTTGTTACTAGAATTGTTTTTTTAAAATCACTACCTCCGCCCTGGATCTAATAGCAAAGTAAACACACGTGTACTTATATACCAGCTAAATGTTGTTTGAAGTGAGAGGCTCTTTGATTGGGGTTAGTGATATTCTGTTGTTTTCACATTCTTGGTTAACAAATAAGTACTTAACCAGTAAAGAAGGCTGTAGAACAAAAGATAAAAATTCACAGGAATACCCCACCACCACCCTTTCTTCATGTTCTCATTCCCCAAAGGTAACTATTAAGTTTTGGTGTAGTCTCTCTGGAATTTTATCATTCAATATTATATATTTCTTATATATTATATATATTATTAAATATTAAATATCTCTTCTTTCTTGTTAAACACCAATGAGTTCCATTTTCTGATTTGCCCTTTGTGCTTTCAGATTCACATTCCTGAATCAGAAACATCTTTGGGAACTCCAGTTCTATGCCCAGGGGGTTGAGCACAGTAACAGGGAAGTGGACATCTCAGGAGATGGAGAGGCCTCTATCTTACACTTCTTCCCAAGTTTGGCAGAACTGAGAAATCCCTAGTGCAATGTAGGGAAAGGGAGTAAGAGATAGGAGATAGGGTCTAGAATTAGGCCTCCAAACAGGCCATCCAGTACCTGTTGTGACATTCTTTTTTTTTTTTTTTTTAAGACGGAGTCTCACTCTGTGGCCCAGGCTGGAGTGCAGTGGCATGATCTTGGCTCACTGCAACCTCCACCTCCCGGGTTCACGCAATTCTCTTGCCTCAGCCTCCTGAGTAGCTAGGACTACAGGCGCACGCAACCACATCTGGCTAATTTTTGTATTTTTAGTAGAGGTGGGGTTTCACCATCTTGGTCAGGCTGGTCTTGAAGTCCTGACCTTGTGATCCACCTGCTGCCTTGGCCTCCCAAAGTGCTGGGATTACAGGTGTGAGCCACCGCACCCGGCCTCCTGTTGTGACATTCTATCCAGCAGCTTCTCTGAATAGACTTTTAACCAGAATCTCAGCCTCAATGTTTTTAAAGGAGTTAAAATTTCAGTACCACTCAGTGATTGATTTATTTGGTACCTCTGTTACCAAGCACTTACTATGTGCCAGGAACTCTAGGCTGAAAGATATAGCAGTACCTACCCCCATGTTGCTAATAGCCTAGTTGGGGAAGATGACAAAGAATAAATTCTAAGTCTAGTATGTGTTTTAAAGAAGTCTGGGTGCCATGGGAGTATATACAAAAAATTGCCATTAAAACCAGATCCTGAGCTGGGCAGAGTGGCTCACACCTATAATCCCAGCACTTTGGAAGGCTGAGGCCAGTGGATCACTTGAGGTCAGGAGTTCGAGACCAGCCTGGCCAACGTGATGAAACCCTCATCTCTACTAAAAATAGAAAAATTAGCTGGGCATTATGGCTCACGCCTGTAGTCCCAGCTACTCGGGAGGCTGAGGCAGGAGAATCGCTGAAACCCAGGAGGTAGAGGTTGCAGTGAGCCAAGATCGCACCACTGCATTCCAGCCTGGATGACAGAGCAAGACTCCTTTTCAAAAAAGAAAAAAACAGATCCTGAGAATAAAGATAAGCACATTTATAGTTTGGTTAACTATAAAATGGAGTAAAATGTTAATTGACATGGTACCTCATAATTTCCTGGTGTTATGAAACTATCTTTCAGATCTTTGGGGTTCGTTATGGAATTTGCATAATTGGCAGTGAAATTTTTCTTACTTGCAGATTTATAAAATGAAGCATTTGGAAAATTCACAGTGTAACTTTTTTTGTTTTTTGAGACAGAATCTCACTCTGTTGCCCAGGCTGAAGTTCATGGCGCGATCTCGGCTCGCTGCAACCTCCACCTCCCGGGTTCAAGCAATTCTCCTGCCTCAGCCTCCTGTGTAGCTGGGATTATAGGCACGCTCCACCGCGCCTGGCTAATTTTTGTATTTTTTTAGTAGAGGTGGGATTTCACCATGTTAGCCAGGGTGGTCTCACACCCTTGACCTCAAGTTGTCTGCCCGCCTCAGTCTCCCAAAGTGCTGGGGTTACAAGCATGAGCCACCATGCCCAGCCACAGTGTAAATTTTATTTGTAATTATTGGATTTCTGGTTCAAGTTGATGTTTGAAAAATAAAAAAAGAAAAATATTTTAAAAATATAATTATTGGGAATTTTGTATCAAATGATTTTCTGGTTGGTTTTACCTGTTAGTGCTTCCTTCATTGCCCCCCACCCCGCCTCCCAAATAGAGGTTGGAATCATTATCCCTCATCTGAAATACTCTAAAATCTGAAGCTTTTTGAGCACTGACATTCCTTCCTTTGCCTGTGTCATAGAAGGAAAAAATTAAGCCAATGAGAGATTGCTAGAGGTAGCAGTGAGAAGCCTCTACTGTCTTGGGGGTGGGATAGGGTGGGGCATGGTGGTATACTGTGAAGGATCTGAGCTCTCTATTCACTGACTGGAGCTGTTGCATTGACATTAGATCCATCCAGTTAGTAGGATGACTGGAGATCTAACTTAGCTCATCTGTCTTTCCTTTGCATAGGAAATTAAGGGATCCAAAAAGCTGAGTCATGGTCCAAAAGGAAACGTTGATGTCAGGACAGCCATAGCCAAATTTTATCTCAAGGGTAAACATGAGACTGGGTAGGGATGGCTGTCAGTGCCTGGGGATTGGTGGGGCTTGGGGGTAGGTAGAAGAAAAGTGTCCTGGGTTAACTACTTGTTTATTTTTTTCATGGACACAATAAATGACCTGATCTTTCCTTGTTAAGGGCTGGGATTTATTTGAACCCTCAGGACAGGCTAGAAAGAATTGTGACTTTTTTTCATGTTAATACATAGGTAGCCTATGTTACCAAATTTTATTTTTTAAGATAGTTTATTATTTTTATTTTTTGAGATGGAGTCTCGCTGTGTGACCCAGACTGGAGTGCAGTGGCACGATCTCAGCTCACTGCAACCGCCACCTCCCGGGTTTAAGTGATTCTCATTCCTCAGCTTCCCGAGTAGCTGGGACTACAGGTGCGTGCCACCACGCCCAGCTAATTTTTGTTTTTTTAGTGGAGACAGGGTTTCACCATGTTGGCCGGGCTGGTCTCCAACTCCTGACATCAGGTTATCTTGCCTTGGCCCCCCAAATTGCTGCCATTATAGGCCTGAGCCACAGCACCCAGCCTTATTTTTATTTTTTTGAGACAGTCTGGCTCTGTTGCCCAGGCTTGAGTGCAGTGGTGCGATCTCGGCTCACTGCAACATCCACCTCCTGGGTTCAAGTGATTCTCATGCCTCAGCCTCCCAAGTAGCTGAAATTACATACGTGTACCACCATGCCTAGCTGATTTTTGTATTTTTAGTAAAGTTGGGGTTTTGCCATGTTGGCCAGCCTGGTCTCGAACTCCTCACCTCATGTGATCCTCCTGCCTCAGCCTCCCAAAGTGCTAGGATTACAGGTATGAGCCACCACGGCTGGCCTGTTACCAAATTTTCATGATCTGCAGTTCAAATCCTGGCTAATGACTAAACTTACCTTTGGGAGGTAAAAGGCAGAGAAGAATCATATCTGTTTTCTAAGAAGGACCTTAGAAGATTAAGATGAAACAATGTATAAAAACAAAGTAGCTTATACTTGCATAACTGGGCAGTTCACTGTTTTTATCAGTATAATCCTTTTTTTGCAATAGCAATTCAAAGAGCTTTTCCAGTGGTTGAACAGCAGTCATGGGTTTAAATTATGTTTGCTTATAACCACAAGAATCTTTATAGAGAACAAAATGTTTGTACTCTGGACTATCCTAGAGAATTCTACGAACATAGACTGTAATCATGACATTACTGTAGTCCTGTATATGCAAAAAGAATAAAAGCCCTCCTTTGACTACTCCCTTGCCTTCTGCTTCTCCCCCATCTTAGTTTCTACCCATGGGGTAACCACTGTTGCCAGATTTTTCTTCACAATTGTATGTACTGTACCTTTTTGAAATCTGGAAGTTTAAACTTCAGGCAGTTTTCTTTTTTTTTTTCCGAGATGGAGTCTTGCTCTGTTGCCCAGACTGGAGTGCAGTGGCGCGCCTTCCAGGTTCATGCCATTCTTCTGCCTCAGCCTCCCGAGTAGTTGGGACTACAGGCACCCGCTGCTGCGCCCAGCTAATTTTTTATATTTTTAGTAGAGACAGGGTTTCACCGTGGTCTCGATCTCCTGACCTTGTGATCCGCCTGCCTCGGCCTCCCAAAATGCTGGGATTACAGGTATGAGCCCGCGCCTGGCCCAACTTCAGGCAGTTTTATTAGGAGTTTAAACTTGAGGCAAGAGGACAATGAAAAGAAGCTCTTCACCATCTCCCACTATATATATAGATATATATAGTGTAAATATATAGGAGTAAAATTTGTATTAGAATTCCAGCTCAGGCACAGTGACGTATGCCTGTAATCCTAAAACTTTGGGAGGCTGAAGTGGGAGGATTGCTTAAGGCCAGTAGTTGGAGACCAACCTGGGCAACATAGCCAGACACTGTCCCTATAGAAAAAAAAATTAGCCAAGTGTGGTGGCATGCTCCTATAGTCCCAGGTACTCAGGAGGTGGACACAGAAGGATCACTTGAGGCCAGGAATTTGAGATTGCAGTGAGCCGTGATTGCACTACTGCTCTCCAGCCTAGGCAACAGCCAGACCCTGTCTGGGGGAAAAAAAAATTCCATAGACTACTAAAGTTTAAGAACTTGTGAAATCTTTTTACTATCAGAAATCTCTTTTGTTACATATGTATTACTGGCCAAGACATCTGGAAGTTCAGAGATACAATGCTGATAATCTGCTTTCCAGATTTGGTTTACAAATGGTGGGTTTTATTTGGTCTGCCATAGTCTTGACACTGTACTCCAGCCTGAGCAATAGAGTGAGACCATGTCTCAGAACAAACCAAAACTGCTTAAAGATTTATTTCTTTACTACAATAAACCTACCAAAAGTTTTTCACGTGTAATGAAAGAAAATTAATCTCACTTGAAACTCATTTTCTTAAAATATCGTTGATATAGATGAGTAACGAAAGAGGCTTTGAAAATGTAGAACTGGGAGTCATAGGAAAAAAGAAGAAAGTCCCAAGGAGAGTCATCCACTTTGTTAGTGGTGAAACAATGGAAGAATATAGCACAGATGAAGACGAAGTTGATGGCCTGGAGAAGAAAGATGTTTTGCCTACTGTTGATCCGGTAGGTTTGATATTGATGATTCTTTCCTCAGTGGGCTTTGTTTTGATTTATTTTTTTTCCCTAAACATTGAGTGGAAGGGACCTTTTGAGGTTTAAATCAACTATATTCTTATTATAAAATTATGTATGGTGATTTTGATAGAAAATAATATTTTTACATGATATGGACGGAAATATTTCCAGCATTTCAGTAGCCTGAAACAGCTTGTTTTTCAGTGTCAGAGTACTGTGTTAGTATGGATAGATTTAAGATTGATCAGCCAGGCGCGGTGGCTCACACCTGTAATCCCAGCACTTTGGGAAGCTGAGGTGGGTGGATCACCTGAGGTCAGGAGTTTGAGAACAGCCTGGCCAACATGGCAAAACGCCATCTCTACTAAAAATACAAAAAATTAGCTGGACGTATTGGTGGACACCTGTAATCCCAGCTACTTGGGAGGCTGAGGCAGGAGAATTGCTTGAATCTGGGAGGTGGAGGTTGCGGTGAACCAAGGTTATGCCATTGCACTCCAGCCTCGGGGACAGAGCGAGACTCTGTCTCAAAAAAAAGATTTATCTTACTAAATTGAGTGCTTGAATCCCAGTTCCTTTGATTTAAGGACTGTACTGCCATGATAGTTTCCACCCAAAACTTAGGGAGTTGTCAGCTTTTTAAAATACTGCCTCAACAGGAGAATGGCATGAACCCGGGAGGCAGAGCTTGCAGTGAGCCGAGATCGCGCCACTGCACTACAGCCTGGGCAACAGAGTGAGACTCCATCTCAAAAACAAAACAAAACAAAACAAAAGTTTGCTTCAAGTTTTGATTGGAAGATAAGAATATACATTTCTGAACTTTGTGTGCCTTATCAACTAACTTGGAGAATTTCTAAATTATACAAGATGTGACTGTACAATTATGAGACTAGCTATATATTTATAAAGAAATTTTTATTTATTTATAAAGAAATGCCCTTCAAGTAATTATTTTGAGAGTCCAGGTAATCACATATTTACTGACTTTCTAACAGGTACTATTTTAGGTGCCGGTGATATAGCAGTGGGTGATATAAATTTCTGCTCTCATATACTAGTGAGAAGACAGGCAATAAATAAATATATACTATAATTATCAGGCTATGAAAAGTGCTATAAAGAAAATTAAGCATAGTTACAGAATAGAGAATTGTTTATATTTGATTTTAAAAATGTTACTCCTTTTCATCAGATTTGGCTTTAAATATTTGGCTATTAGAAAATCATGCCAGGTGTGGTGGCTGACACCTGTAATCCCAGCGCTTTGGGAGGTCGAGGCAGGCAGATCACCTGAGGTCGGGAGTTCAAGACCAGCCTGACCAACATGGAGAAACCCCATCTCTACTAAAAATACAAAAAAATTAGCCAGGCATGGTGGTGCATGCCTGTAATCCCAGCTACCCAGGAGGCTGAGGCAGGAGAATCGCTTGAACCCAGGAGGCGAAGGTTGCGGTGGGCCAAGATCGTGCCATTGCACTCCAGCCTGGGCAATAAGAGCGAAACTTGGTCTCAAAAAATAAAAAAATAAAAAATAAAATAAAAAATGATAAGCAGGCCAGGAGCAATGGTTCACGCCTATAATCGCAGCACTTTGGGAGGCCGAGGTGGGTGGATCACCTGAGGTCAGGAGTTCGAGACCAGCCTGGCCAACATGGTGAAACTCTGTCTCTACTAAAAATACAAAAAATTAGGCAGGCGTGATGGCAGGCGCCTGTAATCCCAGCTACTCAGGAGGCTGAGGCAGGAGAATTGCTTCAACCCGGGAAGCAGAGGTTGCAGTGAGCCGAGATCGTGCCATTGTACTCCAGCCTGGTCAACAAGGGTGAAACTCCATCTAAAAAAAAAAAAAAAATCGGATATTCTACACAGAAAATATTCAAAGATTGTACCATATACTTTGAAGGTAGTTCCAAATGCAGGTAGAATATTAGGGGTACATAACTAGGACTAGAATTGCTGGGTCATGCAATAACTGTTTTTTTTTTTTTTTTGAGACAGGGTCTGTCACTCAGGCTGGAGTTCAGTGGCACAATCTTGGCTCACTGAAGCCTCTGCCTCCTGGGTTTAAGCGATTCTCGTGCCTCAGCCTCCCAAGTAGCTGGGATTGCAGGCATACACCTCCACGCCCGGCTAATTTTTGTATTTTTTTTAGTAGAGATGCAGTTTCACCATGTTGGTTAAGCTGGTCTCGAGCTCCTGCCTCAGCCTCCCAAAGTGCTGGGATTACAGGCATGAGCCACCACACACAGCCCTAAGTCTATGTTTAGATGTCTGGGGAACTGCCTGACTGTTTTCCAAAGTGGCTGCACTATTTTAAATTCCTACCAGCAGTGTGTAAGGATAATGATTTCTCCACATATTCAGCATCACTTGTTACTATGTGTCTTTTTATTTTTTTGTTCTCTTGTGCCTTTGCTATGTATCTTCTTGATTTTAGCAACCCTAGTGAATATGTTATTTCATTGTCGTTTTGATTTACATTCCCTTGATGGTCAGTGATGTTGAGCATCCTTTCAGGTGCATATTGGCCATTTGTAATCTTCCTTTGCTTATTTTGATTAGGTTATTTATTTATTTTTATTTTTTGAGAGGGAGTCTGGCTCTGTCACCCAGACTGGAGTGCAGTGGCGTGATCTTAGCTTACTGCAACCTCTGCCTCCCTGGTTTAAGCAACTTTCCTGCCTCAGCCTCCTGAGTAGCTGGGACTACAGAAACGCACCACCACACCCAGCTAATTTTTGTATTTTTAGTAGAGACATGCTTTCACTATGTTGGCCAGGCTGGTCTTAAACTCCTGACCTCAAGTGATCTGCCCACCTCAGCTTCTCAAAGTGCTGGGATTACAGGCGTGAGCCACTGCGCCCAGGCAACTATTTTTTATTTTTTATTTTTTTATTTTTATTTTTTGAGATAGAGTCTCACTCTGTCACCCAGGCTAGAGTGCGGTGGTATGATCTTGGCTTACTGCAACCTCTGCCTCCTGGGTTCAAGCAATTCTCCTGCTTCAGCCTCCCAAGTAGCTGGGACTACAGGCACATGCCACAACGTCTGGCTAATTTTTTTTGTATTTTTAGTAGAGTTGGGGTTTCAACATGTTGGTCAGGCTGGTCTTGAATTCCTGACCTCAAATGATCCCCTGTCTCAGCCTCCCAAAGTGCTAGGATTACAGGTGTGAGCCAGCGCCTGGCCTTAATTATTTTTTGAATGTTCGGAAGACTTCAGCTGTGAAGCCTCCTTGGCTTTTCTTTGTGGGTAGTTTTTTTGATTACTAATTCAGTCTCTTTACTTGCTATAGGTCTATTAAGATTGTTCCTTTTTGAGTCAGTTGTGTATGAGTTTGTGTCTTTCTAGGAATTTGTCCATTTTATCTGTTATCTTATTTGTTGGCATACAGTAGTATTTCATTATGATTCTTTTTATTTTTCATAAGGTTGATTTTCCTGTTCATTTTGGATTCTAGTAATTTTGGGCATTTACTCTTTCTTTTTGGTCAATCTAGCTAAAGGTTTGCCAATTTTGTTGGTCTTTCACGAGAACCACCTTTTGGTTTCATGATTTTCTTTGTTGTTTTTCTGTTCTCTATTAATTTCTGCTCTTGCCTGTATTATTTCCTTCCTCTGTTTGCTTTAAGTGTAGTTTGTGTTTCATTTTCCAGTGTCCTAGGGCAGAAGTCTAGGTTATTGCTAGTTTCTTAATTGGGCATTTACGAATACAAGTTTCCCTTTAAGTACTGCCTTAGTTTTATTCCATAAATTTTTGTTGTTGTTCTTGTTGTTTACAAATGGGGTCCTGCTATATTGCCTAGGCTGGCTTCGAACTCATGGGCTCAAGCAATCCTCCTGCTTCAGCCTCACAAGTAGTAGGGTTTACAGATGTGCACCACCATGCCCAGCTTCCCATAAGTTTTTGTATGTTATACCTTCTTTTTTTTTTTGAGACGGAGTCTCACTCTGTCACCCAGGCTGGAGAGTGGCATGATCTTGGCTCACTGCAACCTCTGCCTCCTGGATTCAAGCAGTTCTCCTGCCTCAGCTTCCCGAGTAGTTGGGATTACAGGTGCACGCCACCATGCCAAATTAATTTTTTGTATTTTTAGTAGAGGCAGGGTTTCACCATGTTGGCCAGGCTGGTCTCAAACTCCTGACCTAGGTGATCTGCCCGCCTCGGCCTCCCAAAGTGCTGGGATTATAGGTGTGAGCCACTGCGCCCAGCCTATACCTTCATTTTTATTTAAAGTATTTTCTTTTTTTTCCTTTTGGTTTTCTTCCTTGACCCATTGGTTATTTAGAAGTACATTTTTTACTTCCCATGTATTTGTTTGTCTATTTTTTCTTTTATTGATTTCTGATTTCATGCCATTCTGATCAGAGAACATACTTTATATTATTTGACCCTTTAAATGTATTGACGTTTGTTTTATAGCCTGCCTAGCAGGTGGTCTGTCTTAGAACGTTCCATATGTACTTGAGAAGAATGTATATTCTGTTGTTGAAAGTGTTCTATAGGTGTCTGTGAGGTCTAATTGATTTTATAGTATTGTTCAAGCTTTCTGTTTCCTTGCTGATCATCTGCCCTGTTGTCCTACTTTTTATTATTATTATTATTATCATTATTATTATTTTTCGAGACAGAGTTTCACTCTTGTTGCCTAGGCTGGAGTGCAGTGACACGATTTCAGCTCACTGCAACCTCTGCCTCCCAGGTTCAAGTGATTCTCATGCTTCAGCCTCCCATGTAGCTGAGATTACAGGCTTGCACCTGGCTAAGTTTTGTATTTTTAGTAGAGACGGGGTTTCACCATGTTGGCCAGGATGGTCTCGATCTCTTGACCTCATGATCCGCCCACCTTGGCCTCCCAAAGAGCTGGTATTACAGGTGTGAGCCACCGTGTCCAGCCCCTATTTATTATTAAAAATGAGATATTGCAGTCTTCAACTATTATTGTTGAATTGTCTATTTCTCCCTCTCTTTCTGTCAGATTTGTTTAATGTACTTTGGTGCTCTGTTATTAAATTAACTGCATATGTATTTATAATTTCATATCTTCCTGATAGATTGACCCTTTTATCATTATAAAATGTCCTTCTTTACCTCTAGTTACGTTTTTTGTTTTCAAGTCTATTTTAGGTCTGGCATGGTGGCTCATGCCTGTAATCCCAGCACTTTGGGAGGCTGAGGCAGAAGGATTTCTTGAGCCCAGGAGTTTGAGACCAGCCTGGGAAATGTAATGAGACCTTGTCTCTACAAAAGATAAAAAACATTAGCCATGCGTGGTGGCACACACCTGTGGGCTCAGCTACTTGGAGAGGTGAGTTGGGAGGATCGCTGGAGCCCAGAAGTTTGAGGCTGCAGTGAACTGGGATCTCACCACTACATTCCAGTCTAGGTGACAGAGTAAGACCTTGCCTCAGAAAAAAAAGGAAAAAAAAAGTCTGTTTTGTCTGCTACTGATATTGCCATGTGAGCTTTTTTTTGTTTTCTTTTTTTTTGGGACGGAGTCACTCTGTCGCCCAGGCTGGACTGCAGTGGCATGATCTCGGCTCACTGCAAGCTCCGCCTCCCGGGTTCACGCCATTCTCCTGCCTCAGCCTCCCGAGTAGCTGGGATTACAGGTGCGTGCCACCACACCCAGCTAATTTTTTGTATTTTTAGTATTCACCATGTTAGCCAGAATGATCTCAATCTCCTGACCTTGTGATCCACCTGCCTCGGCCTCCCAAAATGCTGGGATTATAGGTGTGAGCCACCACGCCTGGCCAGTGTGAGCTTTTTTATAGTTTGTTTTGTATATCTTCTTCCATCCCTTTTACTGTGAATCTGTTTGTATTTTTTAATCTAAAGTATCTCTTGTAGACAGCATATAGTTGGATCTTGTTTTTTTTAATCCAATCTAACAATCTCTGCCCTTTGATTCAGTTGTTAATCCATTCATATTTTATGTTGATTTAGTTGGATTTACATCTGCCATTTTACCTTTTATTTTCTATGTCTCATGTCTTTTTGCTCCTTTCTTTTCTACTGTTATCTTTTGGATTAAGTGAATATTTTCTACAGAAGCATTTACATTTCTTTTTTTTTTTTTTTTTTTGAGACAGAGTCTCACTCATCGCCAGGCTGGAGTGCAGTGGCGCAATCTCGGCTCACTGCAACCTCTGCCTCCCAGGTTGGGTGATTCTCCTGCCTCAGCCTCCCGAGTAGCTGGGATTACAGATGCACGCCACCACGTCCTGCTAATTTTTGTATTTTTTAATTTTTGTATTTTAGTAGAGACGGGGTTTCACCATGTTGGTCAGGTTGGTCTCGAACTCTTGACCTTGTGATCCACCTGCCTCAGTCTCCCAAAGTGCTGGGATTACAGGCGTGAGCCACCACACTCCACCAATTTTGTGTTTTTAGTAGAGACAACCAAGCTGGTCTTGAACTCCTAACCTCAAATGATCCACCTTCCTTGGCTTCCCAAAGTGCTGGGATTACAGGCGTGAGCCACTGCGCCTGGCTGTTTTTTTTGTTTTGTTTTGTTTTTTAAGATGGAGTTTCACTCTTGTCGCCCAGGCGGGAGTGCAGTGGCGTGATCTCGGCTCACTGCAACCTCTGCTTCCTGGATTCAGGTGATTCTCCTGCCTCAGCCTCTGGAGTAACTGGGCTTACTGGCATGCACCACCATGCCCGGGCTAATTACTGTATTTTTGGTAGAGACTGGGTTTCACCATGTTGGCCAGGCTGGTCTGGAACTCCTGACCTCATTTGATCCACCTGCCTTGGCCTCCTAAAGTGCTGGGATTACAGGCATGAGCCACTGCGCCTGGCCAGTTTTTGTTTTGTTTTGTTTTTAATAATTTCTGTCTCTTTTTTGATACTCTCTGCTTGATGTGATACTGTTATACCTTCCTTTATTTTTAATTTATTATTTTCTTAGGTCTTCAAACATATTTATAAAAGCTATTTGAATTTTTTTTTCTGTTAAATCCAGCATCTTGTCAGTCTCACAGGTATTTTTTGTTGCCTGATTTTTTTCCCTATGTATGGGTCATACTTTTCTGTTTCTTTGCATGTCTCATAATTTTTTGTTGGAAACTAGATATTTTAGATTATATATTATAGCAACTCTGGGTACTGTGCCCCCATATCTTGTCATTGTTATTTGCCTGTTTATTTGTTTAGTGACTGCTGTGTTCTTTTAGTGAAGTCTATTCTCCACTCCTATTCTTTCCTGCAAATTAGCTAGCCTATAGTTTAGCCTGTATTTTTATTAAATCTAAGAATCTTCTCCCAGTTACAGTAGTCCCCCCTTTATTTGTAGTTTTGCTTTTTGTGGTTACCCATGGTCAGTTGTGCTCTGAAAATATTAAATGGAAAATTCCAGAAATAAACAATTGATAAATTTTAAGTTGATCACCGTTCTGAGTAGCATCATAAAATCTCATACTGTCACACTTGGTACCTCCTTCATCAGAAGAAGGGTGCATACAGTACAACATGATATTTTGGGAGACCACATTCATATAACTATTATTACAGTGTATTGTGATAATTGTTCTATTATTAGCTATTGTTAATCTCTTATTGTGACTAATCTATAAATTAAAATTTATCATAGGCATGTGTATATAGGAAAAAACAGTATAGGGTTCAGTATTATCCGCAGTTTCAGTCACCCATGGGAGGTCTTGGAACACAGCCCCTGCAGATAAAGGGGGACCACTGTACATTTTGCTACAATCTCCAGTGTTTTTGAGAACACCCTTAGCCTTGGACTTTTCTAGGTGTGTTGCAAATGAAGTCAGTTCCTTTGGGAAGAGATTAGGAGTTGTCTGCTTTGTTTCCTGTCCTGGCTGGCTCCCCTACCCCAGCCCCGCCCTTCTGCCTCTCACTCAGGGCAATCTCTGAGCCAAGGTTTTGGAGCTGGGGGTGGGGACAATGGCTCATTTCTGTCTGAATAACACCTTCACTTTAGGAGCTGAGCATTTATGGGAGGTGGGGTCAGTAGCTTTAAGTATTTTTTTTTTTTTTTAGTCTTTGTTTTACAAATGTCTATTTGTTTTTTTCTCATTTCTTTTTTTTTTTTTTTATCTCACTCATAGATGGGAATTGAACAATGAGAACACATGGACACAGGAAGGGGAACATCACACTCTGGGGACTGTTGTGGGGTGGGGGGAGGGGGGAGGGACAGCATTAGGAGATATACCTAATGCTAAATGACAAGTTAATGGGTGCAGCACACCAGCATGGCACATGTATACATATGTAACTAACTGGCACATTGTGCACATGTACCCTAAAACTTAAAGTATAATAATATTAAAAAAAAAAGCTGTAAGTATTTTTGACTTGCCTCTGCTGGCGTAGAACTTGCCTCTGCTGCCTTATGAACTGGGTAAAGGCGATCAGGGCCCTGGTGTTCTCAGTGGTGCCATGCTCAAGGTAGAGCCTCCATTCTGTGAGCAGAGGCTGGTGGAAGAAGAGAGTCACCCCCTGTCAACCACACTTACCTGGAAATTGGCCTCAGTAATAGATGAGAAGTGCTGGTTAATATTCTGTTCCTCCTGAGAAGAAAACCCAACTGGAAGCTGAGGGGAGGGGGAACCCTGTATTCTTGGCTGTACCAGTCTGAAGTGCAGTTTCTGCCTTCCTTTGCTGGGAGGGTGCTGAGAGGGAGTGGTCTTAGTTCAGTTACCACAGACGTTTGCTTTTGTTACCAAATTTTCATAGATTTTCTTGAATAGATGTTTATTCATTTATATGCCATTAAGACCATTTCCAGGTGCTTTAAATGTTTATTCTTTAATAAATTTCATCAGTTTTACTGGGAAGTGGGCCCAGAGTTCCTCATGCTGTTATGATAGAGGTCTATATCCACTATTAAGGTCTTTAATGACCATGTATATAGCATATTCATGTTGGAATTTCCCTGAGTTGTGAAGCCCAATCCAACAGATCCCTGGGTGATAAGAAATCTTTTTATATTTTCTTCACTGAGAGGTACCATGAGATGTCAGAAACTTGGTTTTTAGTTCTGGCTCTGTCCTGTAGTAGTCACCTTGCTTTGACAAAGACTTAACTTTCATTGTAGTTAAAGTTCCATGATTACAAAGAAGAGAGATAACTTGCCTCACCTACCTGTAGTTGTTTTTAAAGATTAAATGAGATAATATCTATGAAAACTCACTGAAAAGTGACTTGGCTGAGCACAGTGCCTCATGCCTATAATCTTTGCTTTGGAGGGCTGAGGCAAGAGGATTGCTTGAGCCCAGGAATTCAAGGCTGCAGTGAGCCATGATCATGCCACTGTACTCCAGCCCGGGCAACAAAGTGAGACCCTGTCTCAAAAAAAAAAAAAAGAAAAGAAAAATATATGGTAGTATTAATTAATAAAGCAAATATAGCAAGTAGCACAAGAAATTTTATTTGCGGTTTTTTTTTTTTTTTTACTTAAGGTAATTTTAGAACTCGATTTGAGATTGAAACCCCATAACTTATTTTTTAAATTTTCTCTATAGTTCCTATTTAGTATCATTTAAAAAAAAAAAAAGGTCGGGTGCGGTGGACCACGCCTGTAATCCCAGCACTTTGGGAGGCTGAGGTAGGCGGATGAATGGCAGGAGAATGGCTTGAACCCGGGAGTCGGAGATTGCAGTGAGCCAAGATCGCGCCACTGCACTCCAGCCTGGCAACAGAGTGAGACTCCATCTCAAAAAAAAAAAAAAAAAAAGATCTAGTTCTATATTCAGATTTTAGTATCATTTTAGAGTTTATAAAATTGATTTATGACTCCAATTTTTAAATATCAATTTTAAAGCTTTAAAATTATATTTTCCCTTTGGGGCCAGGCATGGTGGCTCTTGCCTGTAATCCCAGCACTTTGGGAAGCCAAGGTGGGTGGATCCCTGAGGTCAGGAGTTTGAGACCTGCCTGGCCAACATGGTGAAACCCCGTCTCTACTAAAAAAAAAATACAAAAAATTAGCCAGGCATGGGGGCGGGTGCCTGTAATCCCAGCCGCTTGGGAGGCTGAGGCAGGAGAATCGCTTGAACCTGGGAGGTGGAGGTTGCAGTGAGTCAAGATCCCGCCATTGCACTCCAGCCTGGGCAACAAGAGTGAAACGCCATCTCAAAATAAATAAATAAATTTTCTCCATAGTTCCTATTTAGTGTCATTTTCTTTTTGAAATAACAAATCTAGTCCTGCACCCAGATTTAGTATCATTTTAGAGTTTATAAAATTGATTTGCTTTATGATTCCAATTTTGAAATATCAAGTTTAAAGCTTTAAAATTATATTTTTTCTTTTGGGCCACATTACATGGCTCTTGCCTGTAATCCCAGCACTTTGGGAGGCTGAGGTGGGCAGATCACTTGAGGCCAGGAGTTTGAGACCAGCCTGGCCAACATGGTAAAACCCTGAAACTCCATCTCTACTAAAAATACAAAAATTAGCTGGGCTTGGTGGCACAAGCCTGTAATCCCAGCTACTCGGGAGGCTGAGGCAGGAGAATCGCTTGAATCCAGGAGGCAGAGATTGCAGTGAGCAGAGACCACCCTACTGTGCTCCAGCCTTAACCACAGAGCGAGACTCTGTCTCAAAAAAAAAAAAAAAAAAAAAATCCCTTTTGGTACTTCATGCCTTTAAGAGTGCAATGGGCCAGGTGCAGTGGCTCACACCTGTAATCCCAGCACTTTGGGAGGCCAAGGTGGGCAGATCACTGAGGTCAGGAGTTTGAGACCAGCCTGGCCATCATGGGGAAACCTCGTCTCTACTAAAAATACAAAAATTAGCTGGGCGTGGTAGCATGCACCTGTAATACCAGCTACTCGGGAGGCTGAGGCAGGAGAATCCCTTGAACCTGGGAGATGGAGGTTGCAGTGAGCCGAGATCGAGCGACTGCACTCCAGCCTGGGCAACAGAACATGACTTTGTCTCGAAAACAAACAAACAAAAAAGTACAATGATTTTTTTAGGCAATATGAGCTGTTACTGTACTGTCAGTTGGTAGCTTTATGTTATAACTCAGCCTGAAGCTGAGAGAGGACATTTTACTTGAATTCTAAGTAAAATTTTCACAGAAAAACCTAATAAAGTTAATGAAGAATTTATACTTAGGAAATGTGACTATACATGTTGACTAAATTAACCGAGATAGAATAATAATTACTTAAGTCTTTAGCAAAAAGAGATACAATTTATTTCTCTGATTTTTTTTTTGAGATGGAATCTTGCTCTGTTGTCCAGGCTGGAGTGCAGTGGCGCCATCTTGACTCACTGCAAGCTCCGCCTCCCAGGTTCACACCATTCTCCTTGCCTCAGCCTCCCGAGTAGCTGGGAATGCAGGCACCCGCCACCATGACCAGCTAATTTTTTTGTATTTTTAGTAGAGACAGGGTTTCACCGTGTTAGCCAGGATGGTCTCGATCTGCTGACCTCGTGATCCGCCCGCTTCAGCCTCCCAAAGTGCAATCCCAAAGTGTAATCCCAGATTACAGGCGTGAGCCACCGAGCCGGGCCTATTTCTCTGATATTTTTTATAGCTGCCTGAATTGCAAATGACTTCATCTGGTTAATTTTTTATGTACGCTCATGTTAATATTAGTCTGTCACCATATTTTTTTTTGTTGTTTTTTAATGCTGTAGCTTAATGTAGAATTACATTCATAAAGTAAACTTGCTGGTGGTTTTATTTCCCTTAAATAACTATAATATTTTTGGAGGGAAACTTTTTTTTTTTTGAGACGGAGTCTCTCTCTCTCTCGCCCAGGCTGGAGTGCGGTGGTGCGATCTTGGCTCACTGCAAGCTCTGCCTTGGAGGGAAACTTTAAATATTAATAGAATACATTATGGTTTAATATATTAAACCATAATGTATTCAGCCACTCAGGAGATTTTTCCATTGAATCTTTTTTTTTTTTTTTTTTTTGCTAGACAACATTCTCATTTCTGTTCAGAAAAAATTTTTAAAGCTTAGAACTAACCAAAGACTTCCACCTGAATAGTTTTTTTCAATTTTTCTCTGATAAGATAAGCACATCTTAAATGCCATTTAGGGAAGTTGCCAACTGAGTATTTGATTACTTTTTGAATCCTTTTATATAGACAGAATGGTGCTCAGGCAGAATATTCTTTAAATAAAAATGTGTTACCTGCTATGCATTTCCTTCAACTTCCACCAGCAATAGATGGCTGTTAATTTTGTTTTTCATTAATGTAGACTTTGTTTTAAAAGGTATAAGAAGCAATTTTTTTTTTTTTTTTTGAGACAGTCACCCTGTCGCTCAGGCTGGAGTGCAGTGGTACGACCTCGGCTCACTGCAACCTCCACCTCCCAGGGTCAAATGATTCTCCTGTCTCAGCTTCCCGAGTAGCTGGGATTACAGGTACCTGCCACCATGCCCAGCTAATTTTTGTGTTTTTAGTAGAGACAGGATTTCACCATCTTGGCCAGACTGGTCAACAGGAGTTGGCCAGACTCCTGACCTCGTAATCCACCCACCTTGGCCTCCCAAAGTGCTGAGATTACAGGTGTGAGCCACTGCACCCTGCCTAGAAACAAAGTATTAAAGCCATTGTCTGATAATATGAAAATCGTAGGAATTCTAATCCTTTTTTTTAAATTTTTTTCTTTTTGAGACAAGGTCTTCCTCTGTTGCCCAGGCTGTAGTAAAGTGGCATGATGATGGCTCACTGTAGCCTTGACCTCCTGGGCTCAAACGATCTTTCCACCTCAGCCTCCTAAGTAGCTGGGACTACAGATATAGGCCACCACACCTGTCTAATTTTTAAAATTTTTTGTAGAGATAA